>NC_000008.11:44229097-44551617 GCF_000001405.40 Homo sapiens
AGCTATCTCAGGAACTTGTTTATGATGCATCTAATCAACTAACAGTGTTGAACCTTTGTACTGACAGAGCAGTTTGAAACACTCTTTTTTTGGAATCTGCAAGTGGATATTTGGATCGCTTTGAGGATTTCGTTGGAAACGGGATGCAATATAAAACGTACACAGCAGCATACTCAGAAAATACTTTGCCATATTTCCATTCAAGTCACAGAGTGGAACATTCCCATTCATAGAGCAGGTTGGAAACACTCTTTTTGGAGTATCTGGAAGTGGACATTTGGAGCGCTTTCTGAACTATGGTGAAAAAGGAAATATCTTCCAATGAAAACAAGACAGAAGCATTCTGAGAAATTTATTTGTGATGTGTGTCCTCAACAAACGGACTTGAACCTTTCGTTTCATGCAGTACTTCTGGAACACTCTTTTTGAAGATTCTGCATGCGGATATTTGGATAGCTTTGAGGATTTCGTTGGAAACGGGCTTACATGTAAAAATTAGACAGCAGCATTCTCAGAAACTTCTTTGTGGTGTCTGCATTCAAGTCACAGAATTGAACTTCCCCTCACATAGAGCAGTTGTGCAGCACTCTATTTGTAGTATCTGGAAGTGGACATTTGGAGGGCTTTGTAGCCTATCTGGAAAAAGGAAATATCTTCCCATGAATGCGAGATAGAAGTAATCTGAGAAACATGTTTATGCTGTATCTACTCAACTAACTGTGCTGAACATTTCTATTGATAGAGCATTTTGAGACACTCTTCTTTTGGAATCTGCAAGTGGATATTTGGATAGATTTGAGGATTTCGTTGGAAACGGGATTATATATAAAAAGTAGACAGCAGCATTCTCAGAAACTTCTTTGTGATGTTTGCATCCAGCTCTCAGAGTTGAACATTCCCTTTCATAGAGTAGGTTTGAAACCCTCTTTTTATAGTGTCTGGAAGCGGGCATTTGGAGCGCTTTCAGGCCTATGCTTAAAATAGGAAATATCTACCTACAGAAACTAGACAGAAGCATTCTGAGAATCACGTTTGTGATGTGGGTACTCAACTAACAGTGTTGATCCATTCTTTTGATACAGCAGTTTTGAACCACACTTTTTGTAGAATCTGCAAGAGGATATTTGGATAGCTGTGAGGATTTCGTTGGAAACGGGAATGTCTTCAAAGAAAATCTAGACAGAAGCATTCTCAGAAACACCTTCGTGATGTTTGCAATCAAGTCACAGAGTTGAACCTTCCGTTTCATAGAGCAGGTTGGAAACACTCTTATTGTAGTATCTGGAAGTGGACATTTGGAGCGCTTTCAGGCCTATGGTGAAAAAGGAAATATCTTCCCATAAAAACGACATAGAAGCTATCTCAGGAACTTGTTTATGATGCATCTAATCAACTAACAGTGTTGAACCTTTGTACTGACAGAGCAGTTTGAAACACTCTTTTTTTGGAATCTGCAAGTGGATATTTGGATCGCTTTGAGGATTTCGTTGGAAACGGGATGCAATATAAAACGTACACAGCAGCATACTCAGAAAATACTTTGCCATATTTCCATTCAAGTCACAGAGTGGAACATTCCCATTCATAGAGCAGGTTGGAAACACTCTTTTTGGAGTATCTGGAAGTGGACATTTGGAGCGCTTTCTGAACTATGGTGAAAAAGGAAATATCTTCCAATGAAAACAAGACAGAAGCATTCTGAGAAACTTATTTGTGATGTGTGTCCTCAACAAACGGACTTGAACCTTTCGTTTCATGCAGTACTTCTGGAACACTCTTTTTGAAGATTCTGCATTCGGATATTTGGATAGCTTTGAGGATTTCGTTGGAAACGGGCTTACATGTAAAAATTAGACAGCAGCATTCTCAGAAACTTCTTTGTGGTGTCTGCATTCAAGTCACAGAATTGAACTTCCCCTCACATAGAGCAGTTGTGCAGCACTCTATTTGTAGTATCTCGAAGTGGACATTTGGAGGGCTTTGTAGCCTATCTGGAAAAAGGAAATATCTTCCCATGAATGCGAGATAGAAGTAATCTCAGAAACATGTTTATGCTGTATCTACTCAACTAACTGTGCTGAACATTTCTATTGATAGAGCAGTTTTGAGACACTCTTCTTTTGGAATCTGCAAGTGGATATTTGGATAGATTTGAGGATTTCGTTGGAAACGGGATTATATATAAAAAGTAGACAGCAGCATTCTCAGAAACTTCTTTGTGATGTTTGCATCCAGCTCTCAGAGTTGAACATTCCCTTTCATAGAGTAGGTTTGAAACCCTCTTTTTATAGTGTCTGGAAGCGGGCATTTGGAGCGCTTTCAGGCCTATGCTTAAAATAGGAAATATCTACCTATAGAAACTAGACAGAAGCATTCTGAGAATCACGTTTGTGATGTGGGTACTCAACTAACAGTGTTGATCCATTCTTTTGATACAGCAGTTTTGAACCACACTTTTTGTAGAATCTGCAAGAGGATATTTGGATAGCTGTGAGGATTTCGTTGGAAACGGGAATGTCTTCAAAGAAAATCTAGACAGAAGCATTCTCAGAAACACCTTCGTGATGTTTGCAATCAAGTCACAGAGTTGAACCTTCCGTTTCATAGAGCAGGTTGGAAACACTCTTATTGTAGTATCTGGAAGGGGACATTTGGAGCGCTTTCAGGCCTATGGTGAAAAAGGAAATATCTTCCCATAAAAACGACATAGAAGCTGTCTCAGGAACTTGTTTATGATGCATCTAATCAACTAACAGTGTTGAACCTTTGTACTGACAGAGCAGTTTGAAACACTCTTTTTTTGGAATCTGCAAGTGGATATTTGGATCGCTTTGAGGATTTCGTTGGAAACGGGATGCAATATAAAACGTACACAGCAGCATACTCAGAAAATACTTTGCCATATTTCCATTCAAGTCACAGACTGGAACATTCCCATTCATAGAGCAGGTTGGAAACACTCTTTTTGGAGTATCTGGAAGTGGACATTTGGAGCGCTTTCTGAACTATGGTGAAAAAGGAAATATCTTCCAATGAAAACAAGACAGAAGCATTCTGAGAAACTTATTTGTGATGTGTGTCCTCAACAAACGGACTTGAACCTTTCGTTTCATGCAGTACTTCTGGAACACTCTTTTTGAAGATTCTGCATGCGGATATTTGGATAGCTTTGAGGATTTCGTTGGAAACGGGCTTACATGTAAAAATTAGACAGCAGCATTCTCAGAAACTTCTTTGTGGTGTCTGCATTCAAGTCACAGAATTGAACTTCCCCTCACATAGAGCAGTTGTGCAGCACTCTATTTGTAGTATCTGGAAGTGGACATTTGGAGGGCTTTGTAGCCTATCTGGAAAAAGGAAATATCTTCCCATGAATGCGAGATAGAAGTAATCTCAGAAACATGTTTATGCTGTATCTACTCAACTAACTGTGCTGAACATTTCTATTGATAGAGCAGTTTTGAGACACTCTTCTTTTGGAATCTGCAAGTGGATATTTGGATAGATTTGAGGATTTCGTTGGAAACGGGATTATATATCAAAAGTAGACAGCAGCATTCTCAGACACTTCTTTGTGATGTTTGCATCCAGCTCTCAGAGTTGAACATTCCCTTTCATAGATTAGGTTTGAAACCCTCTTTTTATAGTGTCTGGAAGCGGGCATTTGGAGCGCTTTCAGGCCTATGCTTAAAATAGGAAATATCTACCTACAGAAACTAGACAGAAGCATTCTGAGAATCACGTTTGTGATGTGGGTACTCAACTAACAGTGTTGATCCATTCTTTTGATACAGCAGTTTTGAACCACACTTTTTGTAGAATCTGCAAGAGGATATTTGGATAGCTGTGAGGATTTCGTTGGAAACGGGAATGTCTTCAAAGAAAATCTAGACAGAAGCATTCTCAGAAACACCTTCGTGATGTTTGCAATCAAGTCACAGAGTTGAACCTTCCGTTTCATAGAGCAGGTTGGAAACACTCTTATTGTAGTATCTGGAAGTGGACATTTGGAGCGCTTTCAGGCCTATGGTGAAAAAGGAAATATCTTCCCATAAAAACGACATAGAAGCTACCTCAGGAACTTGTTTATGATGCATCTAATCAACTAACAGTGTTGAACCTTTGTACTGACAGAGCAGTTTGAAACACTCTTTTTTTGGAATCTGCAAGTGGATATTTGGATCACTTTGAGGATTTCGTTGGAAACGGGATGCAATATAAAACGTAGACAGCAGCATACTCAGAAAATACTTTGCCATATTTCCATTCAAGTCACAGAGTGGAACATTCCCATTCATAGAGCAGGTTGGAAACACTCTTTTTGGAGTATCTGGAAGTGGACATTTGGAGCGCTTTCTGAACTATGGTGAAAAAGGAAATATCTTCCAATGAAAACAAGACAGAAGCATTCTGAGAAACTTATTTGTGATGTGTGTCCTCAACAAACGGACTTGAACCTTTCGTTTCATGCAGTACTTCTGGAACACTCTTTTTGAAGATTCTGCATGCGGATATTTGGATAGCTTTGAGGATTTCGTTGGAAACGGGCTTACATGTAAAAATTAGACAGCAGCATTCTCAGAAACTTCTTTGTGGTGTCTGCATTCAAGTCACAGAATTGAACTTCCCCCTCACATAGAGCAGTTGTGCAGCACTCTATTTGTAGTATCTGGAAGTGGACATTTGGAGGGCTTTGTAGCCTATCTGGAAAAAGGAAATATCTTCCCATGAATGCGAGATAGAAGTAATCTGAGAAACATGTTTATGCTGTATCTACTCAACTAACTGTGCTGAACATTTCTATTGATAGAGCAGTTTTGAGACACTCTTCTTTTGGAATCTGCAAGTGGATATTTGGATAGATTTGAGGATTTCGTTGGAAACGGGATTATATATAAAAAGTAGACAGCAGCATTCTCAGAAACTTCTTTGTGATGTTTGCATCCAGCTCTCAGAGTTGAACATTCCCTTTCATAGAGTAGGTTTGAAACCCTCTTTTTATAGTGTCTGGAAGCGGGCATTTGGAGCGCTTTCAGGCCTATGCTGAAAAAGGAAATATCTACCTATAGAAACTAGACAGAAGCATTCTGAGAATCACGTTTGTGATGTGGGTACTCAACTAACAGTGTTGATCCATTCTTTTGATACAGCAGTTTTGAACCACACTTTTTGTAGAATCTGCAAGTGGATATTTGGATAGCTGTGAGGATTTCGTTGGAAACGGGAATGTCTTCATAGAAAATTTAGACAGAAGCATTCTCAGAACCTTGATTGTGATGTGTGTTCTCCACTAACAGAGTTGAACCTTTCTTTTGACAGAACTGTTCTGAAACATTCTTTTTATAGAATCTGGAAGTGGATATTTGGAAAGCTTTGAGGATTTCGTTGGAAACGGGAATATCTTCAAATAAAATCTAGCCAGAAGCATTCTAAGAAACATCTTAGGGATGTTTACATTCAAGTCACAGAGTTGAACATTCCCTTTCACAGAGCAGGTTTGAAACAATCTTCTCGTACTATCTGGCAGTGGACATTTTGAGCTCCTTGGGGCCTATGCTGAAAAAGGAAATATCTTCCGACAAAAACTAGACAGAAGCATTCGCAGAATCACGTTTGTGATGTGTGCACTCAACTGTCAGAATTGAACCTTGGTTTGGACAGAGCACTTTTGAAACACTCTTTTTGTAGAATCTGCAGGTGGATATTTGGCTAGCTTTGAGGATTTCGTTGGAAACGGTAATGTCTTCAAAGAAAATCTAGACAGAAGCATTCTCAGAAACACCTTCGTGATGTTTGCAATCAAGTCACAGAGTTGAACCTTCCGTTTCATAGAGCAGGTTGGAAACACTCTTTTTGTAGTATCTGGAAGTGGACATTTGGAGGGCTTTGTAGCCTATCTGGAAAAAGGAAATATCTTCCCATGAATGCGAGATAGAAGTAATCTCAGAAACACGTTTATGCTGTATCTACTCAACTAACTGTGCTGAACATTTCTATTGATAGAGCAGTTTTGAGACACTCTTCTTTTGGAATCTGCAAGTGGATATTTGGATAGATTTGAGGATTTCGTTGGAAACGGGATTATATATAAAAAGTAGACAGCAGCATTCTCAGAAACTTCTTTGTGATGTTTGCATCCAGCTCTCAGAGTTGAACATTCCCTTTCATAGAGTAGGTTTGAAACCCTCTTTTTATAGTGTCTGCAAGCGGGCATTTGGAGCGCTTTCAGGCCTATGCTTGAAATAGGAAATATCTACCTACAGAAACTAGACAGAAGCATTCTGAGAATCACGTTTGTGATGTGGGTACTCAACTAACAGTGTTGATCCATTCTTTTGATACAGCAGTTTTGAACCACACTTTTTGTAGAATCTGCAAGAGGATATTTGGATAGCTGTGAGGATTTCGTTGGAAACGGGAATGTCTTCAAAGAAAATCTAGACAGAAGCATTCTCAGAAACACCTTCGTGATGTTTGCAATCAAGTCACAGAGTTGAACCTTCCGTTTCATAGAGCAGGTTGGAAACACTCTTATTGTAGTATCTGGAAGTGGACATTTGGAGCGCTTTCAGGCCTATGGTGAAAAAGGAAATATCTTCCCATAAAAACGACATAGAAGCTATCTCAGGAACTTGTTTATGATGCATCTAATCAACTAACAGTGTTGAACCTTTGTACTGACAGAGCACTTTGAAACACTCTTTTTTTGGAATCTGCAAGTGGATATTTGGATCACTTTGAGGATTTCGTTGGAAACGGGATGCAATATAAAACGTACACAGCAGCATACTCAGAAAATACTTTGCCATGTTTCCATTCAAGTCACAGAGTGGAACATTCCCATTCATAGAGCAGGTTGGAAACACTCTTTTTGGAGTATCTGGAAGTGGACATTTGGAGCGCTTTCTGAACTATGGTGAAAAAGGAAATATCTTCCAATGAAAACAAGACAGAAGCATTCTGAGAAACTTATTTGTGATGTGTGTCCTCAACAAACGGACTTGAACCTTTCGTTTCATGCAGTACTTCTGGAACACTCTTTTTGAAGATTCTGCATGCGGATATTTGGATAGCTTTGAGGATTTCGTTGGAAACGGCCTTACATGTAAAAATTAGACAGCAGCATTCTCAGAAACTTCTTTGTGGTGTCTGCATTCAAGTCACAGAATTGAACTTCCCCTCACATAGAGCAGTTGTGCAGCACTCTATTTGTAGTATCTGGAAGTGGACATTTGGAGGGCTTTGTAGCCTATCTGGAAAAAGGAAATATCTTCCCATGAATGCGAGATAGAAGTAATCTCAGAAACGTGTTTATGCTGTATCTACTCAACTAACTGTGCTGAACATTTCTATTGATAGAGCAGTTTTGAGACACTCTTCTTTTGGAATCTGCAAGTGGATATTTGGATAGATTTGAGGATTTCGTTGGAAACGGGATTATATATAAAAAGTAGACAGCAGCATTCTCAGAAACTTCTTTGTGATGTTTGCATCCAGCTCTCAGAGTTGAACATTCCCTTTCATAGAGTAGGTTTGAAACCCTCTTTTTATAGTGTCTGGAAGCGGGCATTTGGAGCGCTTTCAGGCCTATGCTTAAAATAGGAAATATCTACCTACAGAAACTAGACAGAAGCATTCTGAGAATCACGTTTGTGATGTGGGTACTCAACTAACAGTGTTGATCCATTCTTTTGATACAGCAGTTTTGAACCACACTTTTTGTAGAATCTGCAAGAGGATATTTGGATAGCTGTGAGGATTTCGTTGGAAACGGGAATGTCTTCAAAGAAAATCTAGACAGAAGCATTCTCAGAAACACCTTCGTGATGTTTGCAATCAAGTCACAGAGTTGAACCTTCCGTTTCATAGAGCAGGTTGGAAACACTCTTTTTGTAGTATCTGGAAGTGGACATTTGGAGGGCTTTGTAGCCTATCTGGAAAAAGGAAATATCTTCCCATGAATGCGAGATAGAAGTAATCTCAGAAACATGTTTATGCTGTATCTACTCAACTAACTGTGCTGAACATTTCTATTGATAGAGCAGTTTTCAGACACTCTTCTTTTGGAATCTGCAAGTGGATATTTGGATAGATTTGAGGATTTCGTTGGAAACGGGATTATATATAAAAAGTAGACAGCAGCATTCTCAGAAACTTCTTTGTGATGTTTGCATCCAGCTCTCAGAGTTGAACATTCCCTTTCATAGAGTAGGTTTGAAACCCTCTTTTTATAGTGTCTAGAAGCGGGCATTTGGAGCGCTTACAGGCCTATGCTTAAAATAGGAAATATCCACCTACAGAAACTAGACAGAAGCATTCTGAGAATCACGTTTGTGATGTGGGTACTCAACTAACAGTGTTGATCCATTCTTTTGATACAGCAGTTTTGAACCACACTTTTTGTAGAATCTGCAAGTGGATATTTGGATAGCTGTGAGGATTTCGTTGGAAACGGGAATGTCTTCATAGAAAATTTAGACAGAAGCATTCTCAGAACCTTGATTGTGATGTGTGTTCTCCACTAACAGAGTTGAACCTTTCTTTTGACAGAACTGTTCTGAAACATTCTTTTTATAGAATCTGAAAGTGGATATTTGGAAAGCTTTGAGGATTTCGTTGGAAACGGGAATATCTTCAAATCAAATCTAGCCAGAAGCATTCTAAGAAACATCTTACGGATGTTTACATTCAAGTCACGGAGTTGAACATTCCCTTTCACAGAGCAGGTTTGAAACAATCTTCTCGTACTATCTGGCAGTGGACATTTTGAGCTCCTTGGGGCCTATGCTGAAAAAGGAAATATCTTCCAACAAAAACTAGACAGAAGCATTCGCAGAATCACGTTTGTGATGTGTGCACTCAACTGTCAGAATTGAACCTTGGTTTGGACAGAGCACTTTTGAAACACTCTTTTTGTAGAATCTGCAGGTGGATATTTGGCTAGCTTTGAGGATTTCGTTGGAAACGGTAATGTCTTCAAAGAAAATCTAGACAGAAGCATTCTCAGAAACACCTTCGTGATGTTTGCAATCAAGTCACAGAGTTGAACCTTCCGTTTCATAGAGCAGGTTGGAAACACTCTTTTTGTAGTATCTGGAAGTGGACATTTGGAGGGCTTTGTAGCCTATCTGGAAAAAGGAAATATCTTCCCATGAATGCGAGATAGAAGTAATCTCAGAAACATGTTTATGCTGTATCTACTCAACTAACTGTGCTGAACATTTCTATTGATAGAGCAGTTTTGAGACACTCTTCTTTTGGAATCTGCAAGTGGATATTTGGATAGATTTGAGGATTTCGTTGGAAACGGGATTATATATAAAAAGTAGACAGCAGCATTCTCAGAAACTTCTTTGTGATGTTTGCATCCAGCTCTCAGAGTTGAACATTCCCTTTCATAGAGTAGGTTTGAAACCCTCTTTTTATAGTGTCTGGAAGCGGGCATTTGGAGCGCTTTCAGGCCTATGCTTAAAATAGGAAATATCTACCTACAGAAACTAGACAGAAGCATTCTGAGAATCACGTTTGTGATGTGGGTACTCAACTAACAGTGTTGATCCATTCTTTTGATACAGCAGTTTTGAACCACACTTTTTGTAGAATCTGCAAGTGGATATTTGGATAGCTGTGAGGATTTCGTTGGAAACGGTAATGTCTTCAAAGAAAATCTAGACAGAAGCATTCTCAGAAACACCTTCGTGATGTTTGCAATCAAGTCACAGAGTTGAACCTTCCGTTTCATAGAGCAGGTTGGAAACACTCTTATTGTAGTATCTGGAAGTGGACATTTGGAGCGCTTTCAGGCCTATGGTGAAAAAGGAAATATCTTCCCATAAAAACGACATAGAAGCTATCTCAGGAACTTGTTTATGATGCATCTAATCAACTAACAGTGTTGAACCTTTGTACTGACAGAGCAGTTTGAAACACTCTTTTTTTGGAATCTGCAAGTGGATATTTGGATCGCTTTGAGGATTTCGTTGGAAACGGGATGCAATATAAAACGTACACAGCAGCATACTCAGAAAATACTTTGCCATATTTCCATTCAAGTCACAGAGTGGAACATTCCCATTCATAGAGCAGGTTGGAAACACTCTTTTTGGAGTATCTGGAAGTGGACATTTGGAGCGCTTTCTGAACTATGGTGAAAAAGGAAATATCTTCCAATGAAAACAAGACAGAAGCATTCTGAGAAACTTATTTGTGATGTGTGTCCTCAACAAACGGACTTGAACCTTTCGTTTCATGCAGTACTTCTGGAACACTCTTTTTGAAGATTCTGCATGCGGATATTTGGATAGCTTTGAGGATTTCGATGGAAACGGGCTTACATGTAAAAATTAGACAGCAGCATTCTCAGAAACTTCTTTGTGGTGTCTGCATTCAAGTCACAGAATTGAACTTCCCCTCACATAGAGCAGTTGTGCAGCACTCTATTTGTAGTATCTGGAAGTGGACATTTGGAGGGCTTTGTAGCCTATCTGGAAAAAGGAAATATCTTCCCATGAATGCGAGATAGAAGTAATCTCAGAAACATGTTTATGCTGTATCTACTCAACTAACTGTGCTGAACATTTCTATTGATAGAGCAGTTTTGAGACACTCTTCTTTTGGAATCTGCAAGTGGATATTTGGATAGATTTGAGGATTTCGTTGGAAACGGGATTATATATAAAAAGTAGACAGCAGCATTCTCAGAAACTTCTTTGTGATGTTTGCATCCAGCTCTCAGAGTTGAACATTCCCTTTCATAGAGTAGGTTTGAAACCCTCTTTTTATAGTGTCTGGAAGCGGGCATTTGGAGCGCTTTCAGGCCTATGCTGAAAAAGGAAATATCTACCTATAGAAACTAGACAGAAGCATTCTGAGAATCACGTTTGTGATGTGGGTACTCAACTAACAGTGTTGATCCATTCTTTTGATACAGCAGTTTTGAACCACACTTTTTGTAGAATCTGCAAGTGGATATTTGGATAGCTGTGAGGATTTCGTTGGAAACGGGAATGTCTTCTTAGAAAATTTAGACAGAAGCATTCTCAGAACCTTGATTGTGATGTGTGTTCTCCACTAACAGAGTTGAACCTTTCTTTTGACAGAACTGTTCTGAAACATTCTTTTTATAGAATCTGGAAGTGGATATTTGGAAAGCTTTGAGGATTTCGTTGGAAACGGGAATATCTTCAAATCAAATCTAGCCAGAAGCATTCTAAGAAACATCTTAGGGATGTTTACATTCAAGTCACAGAGTTGAACATTCCCTTTCACAGAGCAGGTTTGAAACAATCTTCTCGTACTATCTGGCAGTGGACATTTTGAGCTCCTTGGGGCCTATGCTGAAAAAGGAAATATCTTCCGACAAAAACTAGACAGAAGCATTCGCAGAATCACGTTTGTGATGTGTGCACTCAACTGTCAGAATTGAACCTTGGTTTGGACAGAGCACTTTTGAAACACTCTTTTTGTAGAATCTGCAGGTGGATATTTGGCTAGCTTTGAGGATTTCGTTGGAAACGGTAATGTCTTCAAAGAAAATCTAGACAGAAGCATTCTCAGAAACACCTTCGTGATGTTTGCAATCAAGTCACAGAGTTGAACCTTCCGTTTCATAGAGCAGGTTGGAAACACTCTTTTTGTAGTATCTGGAAGTGGACATTTGGAGGGCTTTGTAGCCTATGTGGAAAAAGGAAATATCTTCCCATGAATGCGAGATAGAAGTAATCTCAGAAACATGTTTATGCTGTATCTACTCAACTAACTGTGCTGAACATTTCTATTGATAGAGCAGTTTTGAGACACTCTTCTTTTGGAATCTGCAAGTGGATATTTGGAGAGATTTGAGGATTTCGTTGGAAACGGGATTATATATAAAAAGTAGACAGCAGCATTCTCAGAAACTTCTTTGTGATGTTTGCATCCAGCTCTCAGAGTTGAACATTCCCTTTCATAGAGTAGGTTTGAAACCCTCTTTTTATAGTGTCTGGAAGCGGGCATTTGGAGCGCTTTCAGGCCTATGCTTAAAATAGGAAATATCTACCTACAGAAACTAGACAGAAGCATTCTGAGAATCTCGTTTGTGATGTGGGTACTCAACTAACAGTGTTGATCCATTCTTTTGATACAGCAGTTTTGAACCACACTTTTTGTAGAATCTGCAAGAGGATATTTGGATAGCTGTGAGGATTTCGTTGGAAACGGGAATGTCTTCAAAGAAAATCTAGACAGAAACATTCTCAGAAACACCTTCGTGATGTTTGCAATCAAGTCACAGAGTTGAACCTTCCGTTTCATAGAGCAGGTTGGAAACACTCTTTTTGTAGTATCTGGAAGTGGACATTTGGAGCGCTTTCAGGCCTATGGTGAAAAAGGAAATATCTTCCCATAAAAACGACATAGAATCTATATCAGGAACTTGTTTATGATGCATCTAATCAACTAACAGTGTTGAACCTTTGTACTGACAGAGCAGTTTGAAACACTCTTTTTTTGGAATCTGCAAGTGGATATTTGGATCGCTTTGAGGATTTCGTTGGAAACGGGATGCAATATAAAACGTACACAGCAGCATACTCAGAAAATACTTTGCCATATTTCCATTCAAGTCACAGAGTGGAACATTCCCATTCATAGAGCAGGTTGGAAACACTCTTTTTGGAGTATCTGGAAGTGGACATTTGGAGCGCTTTCTGAACTATGGTGAAAAAGGAAATATCTTCCAATGAAAACAAGACAGAAGCATTCTGAGAAACTTATTTGTGATGTGTGTCCTCAACAAACGGACTTGAACCTTTCGTTTCATGCAGTACTTCTGGAACACTCTTTTTGAAGATTCTGCATGCGGATATTTGGATAGCTTTGAGGATTTCGTTGGAAACGGGCTTACATGTAAAAATTAGACAGCAGCATTCTCAGAAACTTCTTTGTGGTGTCTGCATTCAAGTCACAGAATTGAACTTCCCCTCACATAGAGCAGTTGTGCAGCACTCTATTTGTAGTATCTGGAAGTGGACATTTGGAGGGCTTTGTAGCCTATCTGGAAAAAGGAAATATCTTCCCATGAATGCGAGATAGAAGTAATCTCAGAAACATGTTTATGCTGTATCTACTCAACTAACTGTGCTGAACATTTCTATTGATAGAGCAGTTTTGAGACACTCTTCTTTTGGAATCTGCAAGTGGATATTTGGATAGATTTGAGGATTTCGTTGGAAACGGGATTATATATAAAAAGTAGACAGCAGCATTCTCAGAAACTTCTTTGTGATGTTTGCATCCAGCTCTCAGAGTTGAACATTCCCTTTCATAGAGTAGGTTTGAAACCCTCTTTTTATAGTGTCTGGAAGCGGGCATTTGGAGCGCTTTCAGGCCTATGCTGAAAAAGGAAATATCTACCTATAGAAACTAGACAGAAGCATTCTGAGAATCACGTTTGTGATGTGGGTACTCAACTAGCAGTGTTGATCCATTCTTTTGATACAGCAGTTTTGAACCACACTTTTTGTAGAATCTGCAAGTGGATATTTGGATAGCTGTGAGGATTTCGTTGGAAACGGGAATGTCTTCATAGAAAATTTAGACAGAAGCATTCTCAGAACCTTGATTGTGATGTGTGTTCTCCACTAACAGAGTTGAACCTTTCTTTTGACAGAACTGTTCTGAAACATTCTTTTTATAGAATCTGGAAGTGGATATTTGGAAAGCTTTGAGGATTTCGTTGGAAACGGGAATATCTTCAAATAAAATCTAGCCAGAAGCATTCTAAGAAACATCTTAGGGATGTTTACATTCAAGTCACAGAGTTGAACATTCCCTTTCACAGAGCAGGTTTGAAACAATCTTCTCGTACTATCTGGCAGTGGACATTTTGAGCTCTTTGGGGCCTATGCTGAAAAAGGAAATATCTTCCGACAAAAACTAGTCAGAAGCATTCGCAGAATCACGTTTGTGATGTGTGCACTCAACTGTCAGAATTGAACCTTGGTTTGGAGAGAGCACTTTTGAAACACACTTTTTGTAGAATCTGCAGGTGGATATTTGGCTAGCTTTGAGGATTTCGTTGGAAACGGTAATGTCTTCAAAGAAAATCTAGACAGAAGCATTCTCAGAAACACCTTCGTGATGTTTGCAATCAAGTCACAGAGTTGAACCTTCCGTTTCATAGAGCAGGTTGGAAACACACTTTTTGTAGTATCTGGAAGTGGACATTTGGAGGGCTTTGTAGCCTATCTGGAAAAAGGAAATATCTTCCCATGAATGCGAGATAGATGTAATCTCAGAAACATGTTTATGCTGTATCTACTCAACTAACTGTGCTGAACATTTCTATTGATAGAGCAGTTTTGAGACACTCTTCTTTTTGAATCTGCAAGTGGATATTTGGATAGATTTGAGGATTTCGTTGGAAACGGGATTATATATAAAAAGTAGACAGCAGCATTCTCAGAAACTTCTTTGTGATGTTTGCATCCAGCTCTCAGAGTTGAACATTCCCTTTCATAGAGTAGGTTTGAAACCCTCTTTTTATAGTGTCTGGAAGCGGGCATTTGGAGCGCTTTCAGGCCTATGCTGAAAAAGGAAATATCTACCTATAGAAACTAGACAGAAGCATTCTGAGAATCACGTTTGTGATGTGGGTACTCAACTAACAGTGTTGATCCATTCTTTTGATACAGCAGTTTTGAACCACACTTTTTGTAGAATCTGCAAGTGGATATTTGGATAGCTGTGAGGATTTCGTTGGAAACGGGAATGTCTTCATAGAAAATTTAGACAGAAGCATTCTCAGAACCTTGATTGTGATGTGTGTTCTCCACTAACAGAGTTGAACCTTTCTTTTGACAGAACTGTTCTGAAACATTCTTTTTATAGAATCTGGAAGTGGATATTTGGAAAGCTTTGAGGATTTCGTTGGAAACGGGAATATCTTCAAATAAAATCTAGCCAGAAGCATTCTAAGAAACATCTTAGGGATGTTTACATTCAAGTCACAGAGTTGAACATTCCCTTTCACAGAGCAGGTTTGAAACAATCTTCTCGTACTATCTGGCAGTGGACATTTTGAGCTCCTTGGGGCCTATGCTGAAAAAGGAAATATCTTCCGACAAAAACTAGACAGAAGCATTCGCAGAATCACGTTTGTGATGTGTGCACTCAACTGTCAGAATTGAACCTTGGTTTGGACAGAGCACTTTTGAAACACTCTTTTTGTGGAATCTGCAGGTGGATATTTGGCTAGCTTTGAGGATTTCGTTGGAAACGGTAATGTCTTCAAAGAAAATCTAGACAGAAGCATTCTCAGAAACACCTTCGTGATGTTTGCAATCAAGTCACAGAGTTGAACCTTCCGTTTCATAGAGCAGGTTGGAAACACTCTTTTTGTAGTATCTGGAAGTGGACATTTGGAGGGCTTTGTAGCCTATCTGGAAAAAGGAAATATCTTCCCATGAATGCGAGATAGAAGTAATCTCAGAAACATGTTTATGCTGTATCTACTCAACTAACTGTGCTGAACATTTCTATTGATAGAGCAGTTTTGAGACACTCTTCTTTTGGAATCTGCAAGTGGATATTTGGATAGATTTGAGGATTTCGTTGGAAACGGGATTATATATAAAAAGTAGACAGCAGCATTCTCAGAAACTTCTTTGTGATGTTTGCATCCAGCTCTCAGAGTTGAACATTCCCTTTCATAGAGTAGGTTTGAAACCCTCTTTTTATAGTGTCTGGAAGCGGGCATTTGGAGCGCTTTCAGGCCTATGCTGAAAAAGGAAATATCTACCTATAGAAACTAGACAGAAGCATTCTGAGAATCACGTTTGTGATGTGGGTACTCAACTAACAGTGTTGATCCATTCTTTTGATACAGCAGTTTTGAACCACACTTTTTGTAGAATCTGCAAGTGGATATTTGGATAGCTGTGAGGATTTCGTTGGAAACGGGAATGTCTTCATAGAAAATTTAGACAGAAGCATTCTCAGAACCTTGATTGTGATGTGTGTTCTCCACTAACAGAGTTGAACCTTTCTTTTGACAGAACTGTTCTGAAACATTCTTTTTATAGAATCTGGAAGTGGATATTTGGAAAGCTTTGAGGATTTCGTTGGAAACGGGAATATCTTCAAATCAAATCTAGCCAGAAGCATTCTAAGAAACATCTTAGGGATGTTTACATTCAAGTCACAGAGTTGAACATTCCCTTTCACAGAGCAGGTTTGAAACAATCTTCTCGTACTATCTGGCAGTGGACATTTTGAGCTCCTTGGGGCCTATGCTGAAAAAGGAAATATCTTCCGACAAAAACTAGACAGAAGCATTCGCAGAATCACGTTTGTGATGTGTGCACTCAACTGTCAGAATTGAACCTTGGTTTGGAGAGAGCACTTTTGAAACACTCTTTTTGTAGAATCTGCAGGTGGATATTTGGCTAGCTTTGAGGATTTCGTTGGAAACGGTAATGTCTTCAAAGAAAATCTAGACAGAAGCATTCTCAGAAACACCTTCGTGATGTTTGCAATCAAGTCACAGAGTTGAACCTTCCGTTTCATAGAGCAGGTTGGAAACACTCTTTTTGTAGTATCTGGAAGTGGACATTTGGAGGGCTTTGTAGCCTATCTGGAAAAAGGAAATATCTTCCCATGAATGCGAGATAGAAGTAATCTCAGAAACATGTTTATGCTGTATCTACTCAACTAACTGTGCTGAACATTTCTATTGATAGAGCAGTTTTGAGACACTCTTCTTTTGGAATCTGCAAGTGGATATTTGGATAGATTTGAGGATTTCGTTGGAAACGGGATTATATATAAAAAGTAGACAGCAGCATTCTCAGAAACTTCTTTGTGATGTTTGCATCCAGCTCTCAGAGTTGAACATTCCCTTTCATAGAGTAGGTTTGAAACCCTCTTTTTATAGTGTCTGGAAGCGGGCATTTGGAGCGCTTTCAGGCCTATGCTGAAAAAGGAAATATCTACCTATAGAAACTAGACAGAAGCATTCTGAGAATCACGTTTGTGATGTGGGTACTCAACTAACAGTGTTGATCCATTCTTTTGATACAGCAGTTTTGAACCACACTTTTTGTAGAATCTGCAAGTGGATATTTGGATAGCTGTGAGGATTTCGTTGGAAACGGGAATGTCTTCATAGAAAATTTAGACAGAAACATTCTCAGAACCTTGATTGTGATGTGTGTTCTCCACTAACAGAGTTGAACCTTTCTTTTGACAGAACTGTTCTGAAACATTCTTTTTATAGAATCTGGAAGTGGATATTTGGAAAGCTTTGAGGATTTCGTTGGAAACGGGAATATCTTCAAATAAAATCTAGCCAGAAGCATTCTAAGAAACATCTTAGGGATGTTTACATTCAAGTCACAGAGTTGAACATTCCCTTTCACAGAGCAGGTTTGAAACAATCTTCTCGTACTATCTGGCAGTGGACATTTTGAGCTCCTTGGGGCCTATGCTGAAAAAGGAAATATCTTCCGACAAAAACTAGACAGAAGCATTCGCAGAATCACGTTTGTGATGTGTGCACTCAACTGTCAGAATTGAACCTTGGTTTGGACAGAGCACTTTTGAAACACTCTTTTTGTAGAATCTGCAGGTGGATATTTGGCTAGCTTTGAGGATTTCGTTGGAAACGGTAATGTCTTCAAAGAAAATCTAGACAGAAGAATTCTCAGAAACACTTTCGTGATGTTTGCAATCAAGTCACAGAGTTGAACCTTCCGTTTCATAGAGCAGGTTGGAAACACTCTTTTTGTAGTATCTGGAAGTGGACATTTGGAGGGCTTTGTAGCCTATCTGGAAAAAGGAAATATCTTCCCATGAATGCGAGATAGAAGCTATCTCAGGAACTTGTTTATGATGCATCTAATCAACTAACAGTGTTGAACCTTTGTACTGACAGAGCACTTTGAAACACTCTTTTTTTGGAATCTGCAAGTGGATATTTGGATCTCTTTGAGGATTTCGTTGGAAACGGGATGCAATATAAAACGTACACAGCAGCATACTCAGAAAATACTTTGCCATATATCAATTCAAGTCACAGAGTGGAACATTCCCATTCATAGAGCAGGTTTGACACACTCTTTTTGTAGTATCTGGAAGTGGACATTTGGAGCGCTTTCTGAACTATGGTGAAAAAGGAAATATCTTCCAATGAAAACAAGACAGAAGCATTCTGAGAAACTTATTTGTGATGCGTGTCCTCAACTAAAGGACTCGAACCTTTCGTTTCATGCAGTACTTCTGGAACACTCTTTTTGAAGATTCTGCATGCGGATATTTGGTTAGCTGTGAGGATTTCGTTGGAAACGAGCTTACATATAAAAATTAGACAGCAGCATTCTCAGAAACTTCTTTGTGGTGTCTGCATTCAAGTCACAGAATTGAACATCCCCTCACATAGAGCAGTTGTGCAGCACTCTATTTGTAGTATCTCGAAGTGGACATTTGGAGGGCTTTGTAGCCTATCTGGAAAAAGGAAATATCTTCCCATGAATGCGAGATAGAAGTAATCTCAGAAACATGTTTATGCTGTATCTACTCAACTAACTGTGCTGAACATTTCTATTGATAGAGCAGTTTTGAGACACTCTTCTTTTGGAATCTGCAAGTGGATATTTGGCTAGATTTGAGGATTTCGTTGGAAACGGGATTATATATAAAAAGTAGACAGCAGCATTCTCAGAAACTTCTTTGTGATGTTTGCATCCAGCTCTCAGAGTTGAACATTCCCTTTCATAGAGTAGGTTTGAAACCCCCTTTTTATAGTGTCTGGAAGCGGGCATTTGGAGCGCTTTCAGGCCTATGCTGAAAAAGGAAATATCTACCTACAGAAACTAGACAGAAGCATTCTGAGAATCACGTTTGTGATGTGGGTACTCAACTAACAGTGTTGATCCATTCTTTTGATACAGCAGTTTTGAACCACCCTTTTTGTAGAATCTGCAAGTGGATATTTGGATAGCTGTGAGGATTTCGTTGGAAACGGGAATGTCTTCATAGAAAATTTAGACAGAAGCATTCTCAGAACCTGGATTGTGATGTGTGTTCTCCACTAACAGAGTTGAACCTTTCTTTTGACAGAACTGTTTTGAAACATTCTTTTTAGAGAATCTGGAAGTGGATATTTGGAAAGCTTTGAGGATTTCGTTGGAAACGGGAATATCTTCAAATCAAATCTAGCCAGAAGCATTCTAAGAAACATCTTAGGGATGTGTACATTCAAGTCACAGAGTTGAACATTCCCCTTTCTCAGAGCAGGTTTGAAACAATCTTCTCGTACTATCTGGCAGTGGACATTTTGAGCTCCTTGGGGCCTATGCTGAAAAAGGAAATATCTTCCGACAAAAACTAGACAGAAGCATTCGCAGAATCACGTTTGTGATGTGTGCACTCAACTGTCAGAATTGAACCTTGGTTTGGACAGAGCACTTTTGAAACACTCTTTTTGTAGAATCTGCAGGTGGATATTTGGCTAGCTTTGAGGATTTCGTTGGAAACGGTAATGTCTTCAAAGAAAATCTAGACAGAAACATCCTCAGAAACACCTTCGTGATGTTTGCAATCAAGTCACAGAGTTGAACCTTCCGTTTCATAGAGCAGGTTGGAAACACTCATTTTGTAGTATCTGGAAGTGGACATTTGGAGCGCTTTCAGGCCTATGGTGTAAAAGGAAATATCTTCCCATAAAAGCGACATAGAAGCTATCTCAGGAACTTGTTTATGATGCATCTAATCAACTAACAGTGTTGAACCTTTGTACTGACAGAGCAGTTTGAAACACTCTTTTTTTGGAATCTGCAAGTGGATATTTGGATCGCTTTGAGGATTTCGTTGGAAACGGGATGCAATATAAAACGTACACAGCAGCATACTCAGAAAATACTTTGCCATATTTCCATTCAAGTCACAGAGTGGAACATTCCCATTCATAGAGCAGGTTGGAAACACTCTTTTTGGAGTATCTGGAAGTGGACATTTGGAGCGCTTTCTGAACTATGGTGAAAAAGGAAATATCTTCCAATGAAAACAAGACAGAAGCATTCTGAGAAACTTATTTGTGATGCGTGTCCTCAACTAACGGACTTGAACCTTTCGTTTCATGCAGTACTTCTGGAACACTCTTTTTGAAGATTCTGCATGCGGATATTTGGATAGCTTTGAGGATTTCGTTGGAAACGGGCTTACATATAAAAATTAGACAGCAGCATTCTCAGAAACTTCTTTGTGGTGTCTGCATTCAAGTCACAGAATTGAACATCCCCTCACATAGAGCAGTTGTGCAGCACTCTATTTGTAGTATCTGGAAGTGGACATTTGGAGGGCTTTGTAGCCTATCTGGAAAAAGGAAATATCTTCCCATGAATGCGAGATAGAAGTAATCTCAGAAACATGTTTATGCTGTATCTACTCAACTAACTGTGCTGAACATTTCTATTGATAGAGCAGTTTTGAGACACTCTTCTTTTGGAATCTGCAAGTGGATATTTGGATAGATTTGAGGATTTCGTTGGAAACGGGATTATATATAAAAAGTAGACAGCAGCATTCTCAGAAACTTCTTTGTGATGTTTGCATCCAGCTCTCAGAGTTGAACATTCCCTTTCATAGAGTAGGTTTGAAACCCTCTTTTTATAGTGTCTGGAAGTGGGCATTTGGAGCGCTTTCAGGCCTATGCTGAAAAAGGAAATATCTACCTATAGAAACTAGACAGAAGCATTCTGAGAATCACGTTTGTGATGTGGGTACTCAACTAACAGTGTTGATCCATTCTTTTGATACAGAAGTTTTGAACCACACTTTTTGTAGAATCTGTAAGTGGATATTTGGATAGCTGTGAGGATTTCGTTGGAAACGGGAATGTCTTCATAGAAAATTTAGACAGAAGCATTCTCAGAACCTTGATTGTGATGTGTGTTCTCCACTAACAGCAGTTGAACCTTTCTTTTGACAGAACTGTTCTGAAACATTCTTTTTATAGAATCTGGAAGTGGATATTTGGAAAGCTTTGAGGATTTCGTTGGAAACGGGAATATCTTCAAATCAAATCTAGCCAGAAGCATTCTAAGAAACATCTTAGGGATGTTTACATTCAAGTCACAGAGTTGAACATTCCCTTTCACAGAGCAGGTTTGAAACAATCTTCTCGTACTATCTGGAAGTGGACATTTTGAGCTCCTTGGGGCCTATGCTGAAAAAGGAAATATCTTCCGACAAAAACTAGACAGAAGCATTCGCAGAATCACGTTTGTGATGTGTGCACTCAACTGTCAGAATTGAACCTTGGTTTGGACAGAGCACTTTTGAAACACTCTTTTTGTAGAATCTGCAGGTGGATATTTGGCTAGCTTTGAGGATTTCGTTGGAAACGGTAATGTCTTCAAAGAAAATCTAGACAGAAACATTCTCAGAAACACCTTCGTGATGTTTGCAATCAAGTCACAGAGTTGAACCTTCCGTTTCATAGAGCAGGTTGGAAACACTCTTTTTGTAGTATCTGGAAGTGGACATTTGGAGCGCTTTCAGGCCTATGGTGAAAAAGGAAATATCTTCCCATAAAAACGACATAGAAGCTATCTCAGGAACTTGTTTATGATGCATCCAATCAACTAACAGTGTTGAACCTTTGTACTGACAGAGCAGTGTGAAACACTCTTTTTTTGGAATCTGCAAGTGGATATTTGGATCGCTTTGATGATTTCGTTGGAAACGGGATGCAATATAAAACGTACACAGCAGCATACTCAGAAAATACTTTGCCATATTTCCATTCAAGTCACAGAGTGGAACATTCCCATTCATAGAGCAGGTTTGACACACTCTTTTTGTAGTATCTGGAAGTGGACATTTGGAGCGCTTTCTGAACTATGGTGAAAAAGGAAATATCTTCCAATGAAAACAAGACAGAAGCATTCTGAGAAACTTATTTGTGATGTGTGTCCTCAACTAACGGACTTGAACCTTTCGTTTCATGCAGTACTTCTGGAACACTCTTTTTGAAGATTCTGCATACGGATCTTTGGATAGCTTTGAGGATTTCGTTGGAAACGGGCTTACATATAAAAATTAGACAGCAGCATTCTCAGAAACTTCTTTGTGGTGTCTGCATTCAAGTCACAGAATTGAACATCCCTTCACATAGAGCAGTTTTGCAGCACTCTATTTGTAGTATCTCGAAGTGGACATTTGGAGGGCTTTGTAGCCTATCTGGAAACACGAAATATCTTCCCATGAATGCGAGATAGAAGTAATCTCAGAAACATGTTTATGCTGTATCTACTCAACTAACTGTGCTGAACATTTCTATTGATAGAGCAGTTTTGAGACACTCTTCTTTTGGAATCTGCAAGTGGATATTTGGAAAGATTTGAGGATTTCGTTGACAACGGGATTATATATAAAAAGTAGACAGCCGCATTCTCAGAAACTTCTTTGTGATGTTTGCATCCAGCTCTCAGAGTTGAACATTCCCTTTCGTAGAGTAGGTTTGAAACCCTCTTTTTATAGTGTCTGGAAGCGGGCATTTGGAGCGCTTTCAGGCCTATGCTGAAAAAGGAAATATCTACCTATAGAAACTAGACAGAAGCATTCTGAGAATCACGTTTGTGATGTGGGTACTCAACTAACAGTGTTGATCCATTCTTTTGATACAGCAGTTTTGAACCACACTTTTTGTAGAATCTGCAAGTGGATATTTGGATAGCTGTGAGGATTTCGTTGGAAACGGGAATGTCTTCATAGAAAATTTAGACAGAAGCATTCTCAGAACCTTGATTGTGATGTGTGTTCTCCACTAACAGAGTTGAACCTTTCTTTTGACAGAACTGTTCTGAAACATTCTTTTTATAGAATCTGGAAGTGGATATTTGGAAAGCTTTGAGGATTTCGTTGGAAACGGGAATATCTTCAAATCAAATCTAGCCAGAAGCATTCTAAGAAACATCTTAGGGATGTTTACATTCAAGTCACAGAGTTGAACATTCCCTTTCACAGAGCAGGTTTGAAACAATCTTCTCGTACTATCTGGCAGTGGACATTTTGAGCTCTTTGGGGCCTATGCTGAAAAAGGAAATATCTTCCGACAAAAACTAGTCAGAAGCATTCGCAGAATCCCGTTTGTGATGTGTGCACTCAACTGTCAGAATTGAACCTTGGTTTGGAGAGAGCACTTTTGAAACACAGTTTTTGTAGAATCTGCAGGTGGATATTTGGCTAGCTTTGAGGATTTCGTTGGAAACGGTAATGTCTTCAAAGAAAATCTAGACAGAAGCATTCTCAGAAACACCTTCGTGATGTTTGCAATCAAGTCACAGAGTTGAACCTTCCGTTTCATAGAGCAGGTTGGAAACACTCTTATTGTAGTATCTGGAAGTGGACATTTGGAGCGCTTTCAGGCCTATGGTGAAAAAGGAAATATCTTCCCATAAAAACGACATAGAAGCTATCTCAGGAACTTGTTTATGATGCATCTAATCAACTAACAGTGTTGAACCTTTGTACTGACAGAGCAGTTTGAAACACTCTTTTTTTGGAATCTGCAAGTGGATATTTGGATCGCTTTGAGGATTTCGTTGGAAACGGGATGCAATATAAAACATACACAGCAGCATACTCAGAAAATACTTTGCCATATTTCCATTCAAGTCACAGAGTGGAACATTCCCATTCATAGAGCAGGTTGGAAACACTCTTTTTGGAGTATCTGGAAGTGGACATTTGGAGCGCTTTCTGAACTATGGTGAAAAAGGAAATATCTTCCAATGAAAACAAGACAGAAGCATTCTGAGAAACTTATTTGTGATGTGTGTCCTCAACAAACGGACTTGAACCTTTCGTTTCATGCAGTACTTCTGGAACACTCTTTTTGAAGATTCTGCATGCGGATATTTGGATAGCTTTGAGGATTTCGTTGGAAACGGGCTTACATGTAAAAATTAGACAGCAGCATTCTCAGAAACTTCTTTGTGGTGTCTGCATTCAAGTCACAGAATTGAACTTCCCCTCACATAGAGCAGTTGTGCAGCACTCTATTTGTAGTATCTCGAAGTGGACATTTGGAGGGCTTTGTAGCCTATCCTGGAAAAAGGAAATATCTTCCCATGAATGCGAGATAGAAGTAATCTCAGAAACATGTTTATGCTGTATCTACTCAACTAACTGTGCTGAACATTTCTATTGATAGAGCAGTTTTGAGACACTCTTCTTTTGGAATCTGCAAGTGGATATTTGGATAGATTTGAGGATTTCGTTGGAAACGGGATTATATATCAAAAGTAGACAGCAGCATTCTCAGAAACTTCTTTGTGATGTTTGCATCCAGCTCTCAGAGTTGAACATTCCCTTTCATAGAGTAGGTTTGAAACCCTCTTTTTATAGTGTCTGGAAGCGGGCATTTGGAGCGCTTTCAGGCCTATGCTGAAAAAGGAAATATCTACCTATAGAAACTAGACAGAAGCATTCTGAGAATCACGTTTGTGATGTGGGTACTCAACTAACAGTGTTGATCCATTCTTTTGATACAGCAGTTTTGAACCACACTTTTTGTAGAATCTGCAAGTGGATATTTGGATAGCTGTGAGGATTTCGTTGGAAACGGGAATGTCTTCATAGAAAATTTAGACAGAAGCATTCTCAGAACCTTGATTGTGATGTGTGTTCTCCACTAACAGAGTTGAACCTTTCTTTTGACAGAACTGTTCTGAAACATTCTTTTTATAGAATCTGCAAGTGGATATTTGGAAAGCTTTGAGGATTTCGTTGGAAACGGGAATATCTTCAAATAAAATCTAGCCAGAAGCATTCTAAGAAACATCTTAGGGATGTTTACATTCAAGTCACAGAGTTGAACATTCCCTTTCACAGAGCAGGTTTGAAACAATCTTCTCGTACTATCTGGCAGTGGACATTTTGAGCTCCTTGGGGCCTATGCTGAAAAAGGAAATATCTTCCGACAAAAACTAGACAGAAGCATTCGCAGAATCACGTTTGTGATGTGTGCACTCAACTGTCAGAATTGAACCTTGGTTTGGACAGAGCACTTTTGAAACACTCTTTTTGTAGAATCTGCAGGTGGATATTTGGCTAGCTTTGAGGATTTCGTTGGAAACGGTAATGTCTTCAAAGAAAATCTAGACAGAAGCATTCTCAGAAACACCTTCGTGATGTTTGCAATCAAGTCACAGAGTTGAACCTTCCGTTTCATAGAGCAGGTTGGAAACACTCTTTTTGTAGTATCTGGAAGTGGACATTTGGAGGGCTTTGTAGCCTATGTGGAAAAAGGAAATATCTTCCCATGAATGCGAGATAGAAGTAATCTCAGAAACATGTTTATGCTGTATCTACTCAACTAACTGTGCTGAACATTTCTATTGATAGAGCAGTTTTGAGACACTCTTCTTTTGGAATCTGCAAGTGGATATTTGGATAGATTTGAGGATTTCGTTGGAAACGGGATTATATATCAAAAGTAGACAGCAGCATTCTCAGAAACTTCTTTGTGATGTTTGCATCCAGCTCTCAGAGTTGAACATTCCCTTTCATAGAGTAGGTTTGAAACCCTCTTTTTATAGTGTCTGGAAGCGGGCATTTGGAGCGCTTTCAGGCCTATGCTGAAAAAGGAAATATCTACCTATAGAAACTAGACAGAAGCATTCTGAGAATCACGTTTGTGATGTGGGTACTCAACTAACAGTGTTGATCCATTCTTTTGATACAGCAGTTTTGAACCACACTTTTTGTAGAATCTGCAAGTGGATATTTGGATAGCTGTGAGGATTTCGTTGGAAACGGGAATGTCTTCATAGAAAATTTAGACAGAAGCATTCTCAGAACCTTGATTGTGATGTGTGTTCTCCACTAACAGAGTTGAACCTTTCTTTTGACAGAACTGTTCTGAAACATTCTTTTTATAGAATCTGGAAGTGGATATTTGGAAAGCTTTGAGGATTTCGTTGGAAACGGGAATATCTTCAAATAAAATCTAGCCAGAAGCATTCTAAGAAACATCTTAGGGATATTTACATTCAAGTCACAGAGTTGAACATTCCCTTTCACAGAGCAGGTTTGAAACAATCTTCTCGTACTATCTGGAAGTGGACATTTTGAGCTCCTTGGGGCCTATGCTGAGAAAGGAAATATCTTCCGACAAAAACTAGACAGAAGCATTCGCAGAATCACGTTTGTGATGTGTGCACTCAACTGTCAGAATTGAACCTTGGTTTGGACAGAGCACTTTTGAAACACTCTTTTTGTAGAATCTGCAGGTGGATATTTGGCTAGCTTTGAGGATTTCGTTGGAAACGGTAATGTCTTCAAAGAAAATCTAGACAGAAGCATTCTCAGAAACACCTTCGTGATGTTTGCAATCAAGTCACAGAGTTGAACCTTCCGTTTCATAGAGCAGGTTGGAAACACTCTTTTTGTAGTATCTGGAAGTGGACATTTGGAGCGCTTTCAGGCCTATGGTGAAAAAGGAAATATCTTCCCATAAAAACGACATAGAAGCTATCTCAGGAACTTGTTTATGATGCATCTAATCAACTAACAGTGTTGAACCTTTGTACTGACAGAGCAGTTTGAAACACTCTTTTTTTCGAATCTGCAAGTGGATATTTGGATCGCTTTGAGGATTTCGTTGGAAACGGGATGCAATATAAAACGTACACAGCAGCATACTCAGAAAATACTTTGCCATATTTCCATTCAAGTCACAGAGTGGAACATTCCCATTCATAGAGCAGGTTGGAAACACTCTTTTTGGAGTATCTGGAAGTGGACATTTGGAGCGCTTTCTGAACTATGGTGAAAAAGGAAATATCTTCCAATGAAAACACGACAGAAGCATTCTGAGAAATTTATTTGTGATGTGTGTCCTCAACAAACGGACTTGAACCTTTCGTTTCATGCAGTACTTCTGGAACACTCTTTTTGAAGATTCTGCATGCGGATATTTGGATAGCTTTGAGGATTTCGTTGGAAACGGGCTTACATGTAAAAATTAGACAGCAGCATTCTCAGAAACTTCTTTGTGGTGTCTGCATTCAAGTCACAGAATTGAACTTCCCCTCACATAGAGCAGTTGTGCAGCACTCTATTTGTAGTATCTGGAAGTGGACATTTGGAGGGCTTTGTAGCCTATCTGGAAAAAGGAAATATCTTCCCATGAATGCGAGATAGAAAGTAATCTCAGAAACATGTTTATGCTGTATCTACTCAACTAACTGTGCTGAACATTTCTATTGATAGAGCAGTTTTGAGACACTCTTCTTTTGGAATCTGCAAGTGGATATTTGGATAGATTTGAGGATTTCGTTGGAAACGGGATTATATATCAAAAGTAGACAGAGCATTCTCAGAAACTTCTTTGTGATGTTTGCATCCAGCTCTCAGAGTTGAACATTCCCTTTCATAGAGTAGGTTTGAAACCCTCTTTTTATAGTGTCTGGAAGTGGGCATTTGGAGCGCTTTCAGGCCTATGCTGAAAAAGGAAATATCTACCTATAGAAACTAGACAGAAGCATTCTGAGAATCACGTTTGTGATGTGGGTACTCAACTAACAGTGTTGATCCATTCTTTTGATACAGAAGTTTTGAACCACACTTTTTGTAGAATCTGCAAGTGGATATTTGGATAGCTGTGAGGATTTCGTTGGAAACGGGAATGTCTTCATAGAAAATTTAGACAGAAGCATTCTCAGAACCTTCATTGTGATGTGTGTTCTCCACTAACAGAGTTGAACCTTTCTTTTGACAGAACTGTTCTGAAACATTCTTTTTATAGAATCTGGAAGTGGATATTTGGAAAGCTTTGAGGATTTCGTTGGAAACGGGAATATCTTCAAATCAAATCTAGCCAGAAGCATTCTAAGAAACATCTTAGGGATGTTTACATTCAAGTCACAGAGTTGAACATTCCCTTTCACAGAGCAGGTTTGAAACAATCTTCTCGTACTATCTGGCAGTGGACATTTTGAGCTCCTTGGGGCCTATGCTGAAAAAGGAAATATCTTCCGACAAAAACTAGACAGAAGCATTCGCAGAATCACGTTTGTGATGTGTGCACTCAACTGTCAGAATTGAACCTTGGTTTGGACAGAGCACTTTTGAAACACTCTTTTTGTAGAATCTGCAGGTGGATATTTGGCTAGCTTTGAGGATTTCGTTGGAAACGGTAATGTCTTCAAAGAAAATCTAGACAGAAGCATTCTCAGAAACACCTTCGTGATGTTTGCAATCAAGTCACAGAGTTGAACCTTCCGTTTCATAGAGCAGGTTGGAAACACTCTTTTTGTAGTATCTGGAAGTGGACATTTGGAGGGCTTTGTAGCCTATCTGGAAAAAGGAAATATCTTCCCATGAATGCGAGATAGAAGTAATCTCAGAAACATGTTTATGCTGTATCTACTCAACTAACTGTGCTGAACATTTCTATTGATAGAGCAGTTTTGAGACACTCTTCTTTTGGAATCTGCAAGTGGATATTTGGATAGATTTGAGGATTTCGTTGGAAACGGGATTATATATAAAAAGTAGACAGCAGCATTCTCAGAAACTTCTTTGTGATGTTTGCATCCAGCTCTCAGAGTTGAACATTCCCTTTCATAGAGTAGGTTTGAAACCCTCTTTTTATAGTGTCTGGAAGCGGGCATTTGGAGCGCTTTCAGGCCTATGCTGAAAAAGGAAATATCTACCTATAGAAACTAGACAGAAGCATTCTGAGAATCACGTTTGTGATGTGAGTACTCAACTAACAGTGTTGATCCATTCTTTTGATACAGCAGTTTTGAACCACACTTTTTGTAGAATCTGCAAGTGGATATTTGGATAGCTGTGAGGATTTCGTTGGAAACGGGAATGTCTTCATAGAAAATTTAGACAGAAGCATTCTCAGAACCTTGATTGTGATGTGTGTTCTCCACTAACAGAGTTGAACCTTTCTTTTGACAGAACTGTTCTGAAACATTCTTTTTATAGAATCTGGAAGTGGATATTTGGAAAGCTTTGAGGATTTCGTTGGAAACGGGAATATCTTCAAATAAAATCTAGCCAGAAGCATTCTAAGAAACATCTTAGGGATGTTTACATTCAAGTCACAGAGTTGAACATTCCCTTTCACAGAGCAGGTTTGAAACAATCTTCTCGTACTATCTGGCAGTGGACATTTTGAGCTCCTTGGGGCCTATGCTGAAAAAGGAAATATCTTCCGACAAAAACTAGACAGAAGCATTCGCAGAATCACGTTTGTGATGTGTGCACTCAACTGTCAGAATTGAACCTTGGTTTGGACAGAGCACTTTTGAAACACTCTTTTTGTAGAATCTGCAGGTGGATATTTGGCTAGCTTTGAGGATTTCGTTGGAAACGGTAATGTCTTCAAAGAAAATCTAGACAGAAGCATTCTCAGAAACACCTTCGTGATGTTTGCAATCAAGTCACAGAGTTGAACCTTCCGTTTCATAGAGCAGGTTGGAAACACTCTTTTTGTAGTATCTGGAAGTGGACATTTGGAGGGCTTTGTAGCCTATCTGGAAAAAGGAAATATCTTCCCATGAATGCGAGATAGAAGTAATCTCAGAAACATGTTTATGCTGTATCTACTCAACTAACTGTGCTGAACATTTCTATTGATAGAGCAGTTTTCAGACACTCTTCTTTTGGAATCTGCAAGTGGATATTTGGATAGATTTGAGGATTTCGTTGGAAACGGGATTATATATAAAAAGTAGACAGCAGCATTCTCAGAAACTTCTTTGTGATGTTTGCATCCAGCTCTCAGAGTTGAACATTCCCTTTCATAGAGTAGGTTTGAAACCCTCTTTTTATAGTGTCTGGAAGCGGGCATTTGGAGCGCTTTCAGGCCTATGCTGAAAAAGGAAATATCTACCTATAGAAACTAGACAGAAGCATTCTGAGAATCACGTTGGTGATGTGGGTACTCAACTAACAGTGTTGATCCATTCTTTTGATACAGCAGTTTTGAACCACACTTTTTGTAGAATCTGCAAGTGGATATTTGGATAGCTGTGAGGATTTCCTTGGAAACGGGAATGTCTTCATAGAAAATTTAGACAGAAGCATTCTCAGAACCTTGATTGTGATGTGTGTTGTCCAATAACAGGGTTGAACCTTTCTTTTGACAGAACTGTTTTGAAACATTCTTTTTATAGAATCTGGAAGTGGATATTTGGAAAGCTTTGAGGATTTCGTTGGAAACGGGAATATCTTCAAATAAAATCTAGCCAGAAGCATTCTAAGAAACATCTTAGGGATGTTTACATTCAAGTCACAGAGTTGAACATTCCCTTTCACAGAGCAGGTTTGAAACAATCTTCTCGTACTATCTGGAAGTGGACATTTTGAGCTCCTTGGGGCCTATGCTGAAAAAGGAAATATCTTCCGACAAAAACTAGACAGAAGCATTCGCAGAATCACGTTTGTGATGTGTGCACTCAACTGTCAGAATTGAACCTTTGTTTGGACAGAGCACTTTTGAAACACTCTTTTTGTAGAATCTGCAGGTGGATATTTGGCTAGCTTTGAGGATTTCGTTGGAAACGGTAATGTCTTCAAAGAAAATCTAGACAGAAAGCATTCTCAGAAACACCTTCGTGATGTTTGCAATCAAGTCACAGAGTTGAACCTTCCGTTTCATAGAGCAGGTTGGAAACACTCTTTTTGTAGTATCTGGAAGTGGACATTTGGAGCGCTTTCAGGCCTATGGTGAAAAAGGAAATATCTTCCCATAAAAACGACATAGAAGCTATCTCAGGAACTTGTTTATGATGCATCTAATCAACTAACAGTGTTGAACCTTTGTACTGACAGAGCAGTTTGAAACACTCTTTTTTTGGAATCTGCAAGTGGATATTTGGATCGCTTTGAGGATTTCGTTGGAAACGGGATGCAATATAAAACGTACACAGCAGCATACTCAGAAAATACTTTGCCATATTTCCATTCAAGTCACAGAGTGGAACATTCCCATTCATAGAGCAGGTTTGAAACACTCTTTTTGGAGTATCTGGAAGTGGACATTTGGAGCGCTTTCTGAACTATGGTGAAAAAGGAAATATCTTCCAATGAAAACAAGACAGAAGCATTCTGAGAAACTTATTTGTGATGTGTGTCCTCAACAAACGGACTTGAACCTTTCGTTTCATGCAGTACTTCTGGAACACTCTTTTTGAAGATTCTGCATGCGGATATTTGGATAGCTTTGAGGATTTCGTTGGAAACGGGCTTACATGTAAAAATTAGACAGCAGCATTCTCAGAAACTTCTTTGTGGTGTCTGCATTCAAGTCACAGAATTGAACATCCCCTCACATAGAGCAGTTGTGCAGCACTCTATTTGTAGTATCTGGAAGTGGACATTTGGAGGGCTTTGTAGCCTATCTGGAAAAAGGAAATATCTTCCCATGAATGCGAGATAGAAGTAATCTCAGAAACATGTTTATGCTGTATGTACTCAACTAACTGTGCTGAACATTTCTATTGATAGAGCAGTTTTGAGACACTCTTCTTTTGGAATCTGCAAGTGGATATTTGGATAGATTTGAGGATTTCCTTGGAAACGGGATTATATATAAAAAGTAGACAGCAGCATTCTCAGAAACTTCTTTGTGATGTTTGCATCCAGCTCTCAGAGTTGAACATTCCCTTTCATAGAGTAGGTTTGAAACCCTCTTTTTATAGTGTCTGGAAGCGGGCATTTGGAGCGCTTTCAGGCCTATGCTGAAAAAGGAAATATCTACCTATAGAAACTAGACAGAAGCATTCTGAGAATCACGTTTGTGATGTGGGTACTCAACTAACAGTGTTGATCCATTCTTTTGATACAGCAGTTTTGAACCACACTTTTTGTAGAATCTGCAAGTGGATATTTGGATAGCTGTGAGGATTTCGTTGGAAACGGGAATGTCTTCATAGAAAATTTAGACAGAAGCATTCTCAGAACCTTGATTGTGATGTGTGTTCTCCACTAACAGAGTTGAACCTTTCTTTTGACAGAACTGTTCTGAAACATTCTTTTTATAGAATCTGGAAGTGGATATTTGGAAAGCTTTGAGGATTTCGTTGGAAACGGGAATATCTTCAAATAAAATCTAGCCAGAAGCATTCTAAGAAACATCTTAGGGATGTTTACATTCAAGTCACAGAGTTGAACATTCCCTTTCACAGAGCAGGTTTGAAACAATCTTCTCGTACTATCTGGCAGTGGACATTTTGAGCTCCTTGTGGCCTATGCTGAAAAAGGAAATATCTTCCGACAAAAACTAGACAGAAGCATTCGCAGAATCACGTTTGTGATGTGTGCACTCAACTGTCAGAATTGAACCTTGGTTTGGACAGAGCACTTTTGAAACACTCTTTTTGTAGAATCTGCAGGTGGATATTTGGCTAGCTTTGAGGATTTCGTTGGAAACGGTAATGTCTTCAAAGAAAATCTAGACAGAAGCATTCTCAGAAACACCTTCGTGATGTTTGCAATCAAGTCACAGAGTTGAACCTTCCGTTTCATAGAGCAGGTTGGAAACACTCTTTTTGTAGTATCTGGAAGTGGACATTTGGAGGGCTTTGTAGCCTATGTGGAAAAAGGAAATATCTTCCCATGAATGCGAGATAGAAGTAATCTCAGAAACATGTTTATGCTGTATCTACTCAACTAACTGTGCTGAACATTTCTATTGATAGAGCAGTTTTCAGACACTCTTCTTTTGGAATCTGCAAGTGGATATTTGGATAGATTTGAGGATTTCGTTGGAAACGGGATTATATATAAAAAGTAGACAGCAGCATTCTCAGAAACTTCTTTGTGATGTTTGCATCCAGCTCTCAGAGTTGAACATTCCCTTTCATAGAGTAGGTTTGAAACCCTCTTTTTATAGTGTCTGGAAGCGGGCATTTGGAGCGCTTTCAGGCCTATGCTGAAAAAGGAAATATCTACCTATAGAAACTAGACAGAAGCATTCTGAGAATCACGTTTGTGATGTGGGTACTCAACTAACAGTGTTGATCCATTCTTTTGATACAGCAGTTTTGAACCACACTTTTTGTAGAATCTGCAAGTGGATATTTGGATAGCTGTGAGGATTTCGTTGGAAACGGTAATGTCTTCATAGAAAATTTAGACAGAAGCATTCTCAGAACCTTGATTGTGATGTGTGTTCTCCACTAACAGAGTTGAACCTTTCTTTTGACAGAACTGTTCTGAAACATTCTTTTTATAGAATCTGGAAGTGGATATTTGGAAAGCTTTGAGGATTTCATTGGAAACGGGAATATCTTCAAATAAAATCTAGCCAGAAGCATTCTAAGAAACATCTTAGGGATGTTTACATTCAAGTCACAGAGTTGAACATTCCCTTTCACAGAGCAGGTTTGAAACAATCTTCTCGTACTATCTGGCAGTGGACATTTTGAGCTCCTTGGGGCCTATGCTGAAAAAGGAAATATCTTCCGACAAAAACTAGACAGAAGCATTCGCAGAATCACGTTTGTGATGTGTGCACTCAACTGTCAGAATTGAACCTTGGTTTGGACAGAGCACTTTTGAAACACTCTTTTTGTAGAATCTGCAGGTGGATATTTGGCTAGCTTTGAGGATTTCGTTGGAAACGGTAATGTCTTCACAGAAAATCTAGACAGAAACATTCTCAGAAACACCTTCGTGATGTTTGCAATCAAGTCACAGAGTTGAACCTTCCGTTTGATAGGGCAGGTTGGAAACACTCTTTTTGTAGTATCTGGAAGTGGACATTTGGAGCGCTTTCAGGCCTATGGTGAAAAAGGAAATATCTTCCCATAAAAACGACATAGAAGCTATCTCAGGAACTTGTTTATGATGCATCCAATCAACTAACAGTGTTGAACTTTTGTACTGACAGAGCAGTGTGAAACACTCTTTTTTTTGGAATCTGCAAGTGGATATTTGGATCGCTTTGAGGATTTCGTTGGAAACGGGATGCAATATAAATCGTACACAGCAGCATACTCAGAAAATACTTTGCCATATTTCCATTCAAGTCACAGAGTGGAACATTCCCATTCATAGAGCAGGTTGGAAACACTCCTTTTGTAGTATCTGGAAGTGGACATTTGGAGCGCTTTCTGAACTATGGTGAAAAAGGAAATATCTTCCAATGAAAACAAGACAGAAGCATTCTGAGAAACTTATTTGTGATGTGAGTCCTCAACTAACGGACTTGAACCTTTCGTTTCATGCAGTACTTCTGGAACACTCTTTTTGAAGATTCTGCATGCGGATATTTGGATAGCTTTGAGGATTTCGTTGGAAACGGGCTTACATATAAAAATTAGACAGCAGCATTCTCAGAAACTTCTCTGTGGTGTCTGCATCCAAGTCACAGAATTGAACATCCCCTCACATAGAGCAGTTGTGCAGCACTCTATTTGTAGTATCTCGAAGTGGACATTTGGAGGGCTTTGTAGCCTATCTGGAAAAAGGAAATATCTTCCCATGAATGCGAGATAGAAGTAATCTCAGAAACATGTTTATGCTGTATCTACTCAACTAACTGTGCTGAACATTTCTATTGATAGAGCAGTTTTGAGACACTCTTCTTTTGGAATCTGCAAGTGGATATTTGGATAGATTTGAGGATTTCGTTGGCAACGGGATTATATATAAAAAGTAGACAGCCGCATTCTCAGAAACTTCTTTGTGATGTTTGCATCCAGCTCTCAGAGTTGAACATTCCCTTTCGTAGAGTAGGTTTGAAACCCTCTTTTTATAGTGTCTGGAAGCGGGCATTTGGAGCGCTTTCAGGCCTATGCTGAAAAAGGAAATATCTACCTATAGAAACTAGACAGAAGCATTCTGAGAATCACGTTTGTGATGTGGGTACTCAACTAACAGTGTTGATCCATTCTTTTGATACAGCAGTTTTGAACCACACTTTTTGTAGAATCTGCAAGTGGATATTTGGATAGCTGTGAGGATTTCCTTGGAAACGGGAATGTCTTCATAGAAAATTTAGACAGAAGCATTCTCAGAACGTTGATTGTGATGTGTGTTCTCCACTAACAGGGTTGAACCTTTCTTTTGACAGAACTGTTCTGAAACATTCTTTTTATAGAATCTGGAAGTGGATATTTGGAAAGCTTTGAGGATTTCGTTGGAAACGGGAATATCTTCAAATCAAATCTAGCCAGAAGCATTCTAAGAAACATCTTAGGGATGTTTACATTCAAGTCACAGAGTTGAACATTCCCTTTCACAGGGCAGGTTTGAAACAATCTTCTCGTACTATCTGGAAGTGGACATTTTGAGCTCCTTGGGGCCTATGCTGAAAAAGGAAATATCTTCCGACAAAAACTAGACAGAAGCATTCGCAGAATCACGTTTGTGATGTGTGCACTCAACTGACAGAATTGAACCTTTGTTTGGACAGAGCACTTTTGAAACACTCTTTTTGTAGAATCTGTAGGTGGATATTTGACTAGCTTTGAGGATTTCGTTGGAAACGGTAATGTCTTCAAAGAAAATCTAGACAGAAACATTCTCAGAAACACCTGCGTGATGTTTGCAATCAAGTCACAGAGTTGAACCTTCCGTTTCGTAGAGCAGGTTGGAAACACTCTTTTTGTAGTATCTGGAAGTGGACATTTGGTGCGCTTTCAGGCCTATGGTGAAGAAGGAAATATCTTCCCATAAAAACGACATAGAAGCTATCTCAGGAACTTGTTTATGATGCATCCAATCAACTAACAGTGTTGAACCTTTGTACTGACAGAGCAGTGTGAAACACTCTTTTTTTTGGAATCTGCAAGTGGATATTTGGATCGCTTTGAGGATTTCGTTGGAAACGGGATGCAATATAAAACGTACACAGCAGCATACTCAGAAAATACTTTGCCATATTTCCATTCAAGTCACAGAGTGGAACATTCCCATTCATAGAGCAGGTTTGACACACTCTTTTTGTAGTATCTGGAAGTGGACATTTGGAGCGCTTTCTGAACTATGGTGAAAAAGGAAATATCTTCCAATGAAAACAAGACAGAAGCATTCTGAGAAACTTATTTGTGATGTGTGTCCTCAACTAACGGACTTGAACCTTTCGTTTCATGCAGTACTTCTGGAACACTCTTTTTGAAGATTCTGCATGCGGATATTTGGATAGCTTTGAGGATTTCGTTGGAAACGGGCTTACATATAAAAATTAGACAGCAGCATTCTCAGAAACTTCTCTGTGGTGTCTGCATCCAAGCCACAGAATTGAACATCCCCTCACATACAGCAGTTGTGCAGCACTCTATTTGTAGTATCTCGAAGTGGACATTTGGAGGGCTTTGTAGCCTATCTGGAAAAAGGAAATATCTTCCCATGAATGCGAGATAGAAGTAATCTCAGAAACATGTTTATGCTGTATCTACTCAACTAACTGTGCTGAACATTTCTATTGATAGAGCAGTTTTGAGACACTCTTCTTTTGGAATCTGCAAGTGGATATTTGGATAGATTTGAGGATTTCGTTGGCAACGGGATTATATATAAAAAGTAGACAGCAGCATTCTCAGAAACTTCTTTGTGATGTTTGCATCCAGCTCTCAGAGTTGAACATTCCCTTTCATAGAGTAGGTTTGAAACCCTCTTTTTATAGTGTCTGGAAGCGGGCATTTGGAGCGCTTTCAGGCCTATGCTGAAAAAGGAAATATCTACCTATAGAAACTAGACAGAAGCATTCTGAGAATCACGTTTGTGATGTGGGTACTCAACTAACAGTGTTGATCCATTCTTTTGATACAGCAGTTTTGAACCACACTTTTTGTAGAATCTGCAAGTGGATATTTGGATAGCTGTGAGGATTTCGTTGGAAACGGGAATGTCTTCATAGAAAATTTAGACAGAAGCATTCTCAGAACCTTGATTGTGGTGTGTGTTCTCCACTAACAGAGTTGAACCTTTCTTTTGACAGAACTGTTCTGAAACATTCTTTTTATAGAATCTGGAAGTGGATATTTGGAAAGCTTTGAGGATTTCATTGGAAACGGGAATATCTTCAAATAAAATCTAGCCAGAAGCATTCTAAGAAACATCTTAGGGATGTTTACATTCAAGTCACAGAGTTGAACATTCCCTTTCACAGAGCAGATTTGAAACAATCTTCTCGTACTATCTGGCAGTGGACATTGTGAGCTCCTTGGGGCCTATGCTGAAAAAGGAAATATCTTCCGACAAAAACTAGACAGAAGCATTCGCAGAATCACGTTTGTGATGTGTGCACTCAACTGTCAGAATTGAACCTTGGTTTGGACAGAGCACTTTTGAAACACTCTTTTTGTAGAATCTGCAGGTGGATATTTGGCTAGCTTTGAGGATTTCGTTGGAAACGGTAATGTCTTCAAAGAAAATCTAGACAGAAGCATTCTCAGAAACACCTTCGTGATGTTTGCAATCAAGTCACAGAGTTGAACCTTCCGTTTCATAGAGCAGGCTGGAAACACTCTTTCTGTAGTATCTGGAAGTGGACATTTGGAGGGCTTTGTAGCCTATCTGGAAAAAGGAAATATCTTCCCATGAATGCGAGATAGAAGTAATCTCAGAAACATGTTTATGCTGTATCTACTCAACTAACTGTGCTGAACATTTCTATTGATAGAGCAGTTTTGAGACACTCTTCTTTTGGAATCTGCAAGTGGATATTTGGATAGATTTGAGGATTTCGTTGGAAACGGGATTATATATAAAAAGTAGACAGCAGCATTCTCAGAAACTTCTTTGTGATGTTTGCATCCAGCTCTCAGAGTTGAACATTCCCTTTCATAGAGTAGGTTTGAAACCCTCTTTTTATAGTGTCTGGAAGCGGGCATTTGGAGCGCTTTCAGGCCTATGCTTAAAATAGGAAATATCTACCTACAGAAACTAGACAGAAGCATTCTGAGAATCACGTTTGTGATGTGGGTACTCAACTAACAGTGTTGATCCATTCTTTTGATACAGCAGTTTTGAACCACACTTTTTGTAGAATCTGCAAGAGGATATTTGGATAGCTGTGAGGATTTCGTTGGAAACGGGAATGTCTTCAAAGAAAATCTAGACAGAAGCATTCTCAGAAACACCTTCGTGATGTTTGCAATCAAGTCACAGAGTTGAACCTTCCGTTTCATAGAGCAGGTTGGAAACACTCTTATTGTAGTATCTGGAAGTGGACATTTGGAGCGCTTTCAGGCCTATGGTGAAAAAGGAAATATCTTCCCATAAAAACGACATAGAAGCTATCTCAGGAACTTGTTTATGATGCATCTAATCAACTAACAGTGTTGAACCTTTGTACTGACAGAGCAGTTTGAAACACTCTTTTTTTGGAATCTGCAAGTGGATATTTGGATCGCTTTGAGGATTTCGTTGGAAACGGGATGCAATATAAAACGTACACAGCAGCATACTCAGAAAATACTTTGCCATATTTCCATTCAAGTCACAGAGTGGAACATTCCCATTCATAGAGCAGGTTTGAAACACTCTTTTTGGAGTATCTGGAAGTGGACATTTGGAGCGCTTTCTGAACTATGGTGAAAAAGGAAATATCTTCCAATGAAAACAAGACAGAAGAATTCTGAGAAACTTATTTGTGATGTGTGTCCTCAACAAACGGACTTGAACCTTTCGTTTCATGCAGTACTTCTGGAACACTCTTTTTGAAGATTCTGCATGCGGATATTTGGATAGCTTTGAGGATTTCGTTGGAAACGGTCTTACATGTAAAAATTAGACAGCAGCATTCTCAGTAAACTTCTTTGTGGTGTCTGCATTCAAGTCACAGAATTGAACTTCCCCTCACATAGAGCAGTTGTGCAGCACTCTATTTGTAGTATCTGGAAGTGGACATTTGGAGGGCTTTGTAGCCTATCTGGAAAAAGGAAATATCTTCCCATGAATGCGAGATAGAAGTAATCTGAGAAACATGTTTATGCTGTATCTACTCAACTAACTGTGCTGAACATTTCTATTGATAGAGCAGTTTTGAGACACTCTTCTTTTGGAATCTGCAAGTGGATATTTGGATAGATTTGAGGATTTCGTTGGAAACGGGATTATATATAAAAAGTAGACAGCAGCATTCTCAGAAACTTCTTTGTGATGTTTGCATCCAGCTCTCAGAGTTGAACATTCCCTTTCATAGAGTAGGTTTGAAACCCTCTTTTTATAGTGTCTGGAAGCGGGCATTTGGAGCGCTTTCAGGCCTATGCTGAAAAAGGAAATATCTACCTATAGAAACTAGACAGAAGCATTCTGAGAATCACGTTTGTGATGTGGGTACTCAACTAACAGTGTTGATCCATTCTTTTGATACAGCAGTTTTGAACCACACCTTTTGTAGAATCTGCAAGTGGATATTTGGATAGCTGTGAGGATTTCGTTGGAAACGGGAATGTCTTCATAGAAAATTTAGACAGAAGCATTCTCAGAACCTTGATTGTGATGTGTGTTCTCCACTAACAGAGTTGAACCTTTCTTTTGACAGAACTGTTCTGAAACATTCTTTTTATAGAATCTGGAAGTGGATATTTGGAAAGCTTTGAGGATTTCGTTGGAAACGGGAATATCTTCAAATCAAATCTAGCCAGAAGCATTCTAAGAAACATCTTAGGGATGTTTACATTCAAGTCACAGAGTTGAACATTCCCTTTCACAGAGCAGGTTTGAAACAATCTTCTCGTACTATCTGGCAGTGGACATTTTGAGCTCCTTGGGGCCTATGCTGAAAAAGGAAATATCTTCCGACAAAAACTAGACAGAAGCATTCGCAGAATCACGTTTGTGATGTGTGCACTCAACTGTCAGAATTGAACCTTGGTTTGGACAGAGCACTTTTGAAACACTCTTTTTGTAGAATCTGCAGGTGGATATTTGGCTAGCTTTGAGGATTTCGTTGGAAACGGTAATGTCTTCAAAGAAAATCTAGACAGAAGCATTCTCAGAAACACCTTCGTGATGTTTGCAATCAAGTCACAGAGTTGAACCTTCCGTTTCATAGAGCAGGTTGGAAACACTCTTTTTGTAGTATCTGGAAGTGGACATTTGGAGGGCTTTGTAGCCTATCTGGAAAAAGGAAATATCTTCCCATGAATGCGAGATAGAAGTAATCTCAGAAAGATGTTTATGCTGTATCTACTCAACTAACTGTGCTGAACATTTCTATTGATAGAGCAGTTTTGAGACACTCTTCTTTTGGAATCTGCAAGTGGATATTTGGATAGATTTGAGGATTTCGTTGGAAACGGGATTATATATAAAAAGTAGACAGCAGCATTCTCAGAAACTTCTTTGTGATGTTTGCATCCAGCTCTCAGAGTTGAACATTCCCTTTCATAGAGTAGGTTTGAAACCCTCTTTTTATAGTGTCTGGAAGCGGGCATTTGGAGCGCTTTGAGGCCTATGCTGAAAAAGGAAATATCTACCTATAGAAACTAGACAGAAGCATTCTGAGAATCACGTTTGTGATGTGGGTACTCAACTAACAGTGTTGATCCATTCTTTTGATACAGCAGTTTTGAACCACACTTTTTGTAGAATCTGCAAGTGGATATTTGGATAGCTGTGAGGATTTCGTTGGAAACGGGAATGTCTTCATAGAAAATTTAGACAGAAGCATTCTCAGAACCTTGATTGTGATGTGTGTTCTCCACTAACAGAGTTGAACCTTTCTTTTGACAGAACTGTTCTGAAACATTCTTTTTATAGAATCTGGAAGTGGATATTTGGAAAGCTTTGAGGATTTCGTTGGAAACGGGAATATCTTCAAATCAAATCTAGCCAGAAGCATTCTAAGAAACATCTTAGGGATGTTTACATTCAAGTCACAGAGTTGAACATTCCCTTTCACAGAGCAGGTTTGAAACAATCTTCTCGTACTATCTGGCAGTGGACATTTTGAGCTCCTTGGGGCCTATGCTGAAAAAGGAAATATCTTCCGACAAAAACTAGACAGAAGCATTCGCAGAATCACGTTTGTGATGTGTGCACTCAACTGTCAGAATTGAACCTTGGTTTGGACAGAGCACTTTTGAAACACTCTTTTTGTAGAATCTGCAGGTGGATATTTGGCTAGCTTTGAGGATTTCGTTGGAAACGGTAATGTCTTCAAAGAAAATCTAGACAGAAGCATTCTCAGAAACACCTTCGTGATGTTTGCAATCAAGTCACAGAGTTGAACCTTCCGTTTCATAGAGCAGGTTGGAAACACTCTTTTTGTAGTATCTGGAAGTGGACATTTGGAGGGCTTTGTAGCCTATCTGGAAAAAGGAAATATCTTCCCATGAATGCGAGATAGAAGTAATCTCAGAAACATGTTTATGCTGTATCTACTCAACTAACTGTGCTGAACATTTCTATTGATAGAGCAGTTTTGAGACACTCTTCTTTTGGAATCTGCAAGTGGATATTTGGATAGATTTGAGGATTTCGTTGGAAACGGGATTATATATAAAAATAGACAGCAGCATTCTCAGAAAACTTCTTTGTGATGTTTGCATCCAGCTCTCAGAGTTGAACATTCCCTTTCATAGAGTAGGTTTGAAACCCCCTTTTTATAGTGTCTGGAAGCGGGCATTTGGAGCGCTTTCAGGCCTATGCTGAAAAAGGAAATATCTACCTACAGAAACTAGACAGAAGCATTCTGAGAATCTCGTTTGTGATGTGGGTACTCAACTAACAGTGTTGATCCATTCTTTTGATACAGCAGTTTTGAACCACACTTTTTGTAGAATCTGCAAGAGGATATTTGGATAGCTGTGAGGATTTCGTTGGAAACGGGAATGTCTTCAAAGAAAATCTAGACAGAATCATTCTGAGGAACACCTTCGTGATGTTTGCAATCAAGTCACAGAGTTGAACCTTCCGTTTCATAGAGCAGGTTGGAAACACTCTTATTGTAGTATCTGGAAGTGGACATTTGGAGCGCTTTCAGGCCTATGGTGAAAAAGGAAATATCTTCCCATAAAAACGACATAGAAGCTGTCTCAGGAACATGTTTATGATGCATCTAATCAACTAACAGTGTTGAACCTTTGTACTGACAGAGCAGTTTGAAACACTCTTTTTTTGGAATCTGCAAGTGGATATTTGGATCGCTTTGAGGATTTCGTTGGAAACGGGATGCAATATAAAACGTACACAGCAGCATACTCAGAAAATACTTTGCCATATTTCCATTCAAGTCACAGAGTGGAACATTCACATTCATAGAGCAGGTTTGAAACACTCTTTTTGGAGTATCTGGAAGTGGACATTTGGAGCGCTTTCTGAACTATGGTGAAAAAGGAAATATCTTCCAATGAAAACAAGACAGAAGCATTCTGAGAAACTTATTTGTGATGTGTGTCCTCAACAAACGGACTTGAACCTTTCGTTTCATGCAGTACTTCTGGAACACTCTTTTTGAAGATTCTGCATGCGGATATTTGGATAGCTTTGAGGATTTCGTTGGAAACGGGCTTACATGTAAAAATTAGACAGCAGAATTCTCAGAAACTTCTTTGTGGTGTCTGCATTCAAGTCACAGAATTGAACATCCCCTCACATAGAGCAGTTGTGCAGCACTCTATTTGTAGTATCTGGAAGTGGACATTTGGAGGGCATTGTAGCCTATCTGGAAAAAGGAAATATCTTCCCATGAATGCGAGATAGAAGTAATCTCAGAAACATGTTTATGCTGTATCTACTCAACTAACTGTGCTGAACATTTCTATTGATAGAGCAGTTTTCAGACACTCTTCTTTTGGAATCTGCAAGTGGATATTTGGATAGATTTGAGGATTTCGTTGGAAACGGGATTATATATAAAAAGTAGACAGCAGCATTCTCAGAAACTTCTTTGTGATGTTTGCATCCAGCTCTCAGAGTTGAACATTCCCTTTCATAGAGTAGGTTTGAAACCCTCTTTTTATAGTGTCTGGAAGCGGGCATTTGGAGCGCTTTCAGGCCTATGCTTAAAATAGGAAATATCTACCTACAGAAACTAGACAGAAGCATTCTGAGAATCACGTTTGTGATGTGGGTACTCAACTAACAGTGTTGATCCATTCTTTTGATACAGCAGTTTTGAACCACACTTTTTGTAGAATCTGCAAGAGGATATTTGGATAGCTGTGAGGATTTCGTTGGAAACGGGAATGTCTTCAAAGAAAATGCTAGACAGAAGCATTCTCAGTAACCTTGATTGTGATGTGTGTTCTCCACTAACAGAGTTGAACCTTTCTTTTGACAGAACTGTTCTGAAACATTCTTTTTATAGAATCTGGAAGTGGATATTTGGAAAGCTTTGAGGATTTCGTTGGAAACGGGAATATCTTCAAATCAAATCTAGCCAGAAGCATTCTAAGAAACATCTTAGGGATGTTTACATTCAAGTCACAGAGTTGAACATTCCCTTTCACAGAGCAGGTTTGAAACAATCTTCTCGTACTATCTGGCAGTGGACATTTTGAGCTCCTTGGGGCCTATGCTGAAAAAGGAAATATCTTCCGACAAAAACTAGACAGAAGCATTCGCAGAATCACGTTTGTGATGTGTGCACTCAACTGTCAGAATTGAACCTTGGTTTGGACAGAGCACTTTTGAAACACTCTTTTTGTAGAATCTGCAGGTGGATATTTGGCTAGCTTTGAGGATTTCGTTGGAAACGGTAATGTCTTCAAAGAAAATCTAGACAGAAGCATTCTCCGAAACACCTTCGTGATGTTTGCAATCAAGTCACAGAGTTGAACCTTCCGTTTCATAGAGCAGGTTGGAAACACTCTTTTTGTAGTATCTGGAAGTGGACATTTGGAGCGCTTTCAGGCCTATGGTGAAAAAGGAAATATCTTCCCATAAAAACGACATAGAAAGCTATCTCAGGAACTTGTTTATGATGCATCCAATCAACTAACAGTGTTGAACCTTTGTACTGACAGAGCAGTGTGAAACACTCTTTTTTTTGGAATCTGCAAGTGGATATTTGGATCGCTTTGAGGATTTCGTTGGAAACGGGATGCAATATAAAACGTAAACAGCAGCATACTCAGAAAATTCTTTGCCATATTTCCATTCAAGTCACAGAGTGGAACATTCCCATTCATAGAGCAGGTTGGAAACACTCTTTTTGGAGTATCTGGAAGTGGACATTTGGAGGGCTTTCTGAACTATGGTGAAAAAGGAAATATCTTCCAATGAAAACAAGACAGAAGCATTCTGAGAAACTTATTTGTGATGTGTGTCCTCAACTAACGGACTTGAACCTTTCGTTTCATGCAGTATTTCTGGAACACACTTTTTTAAGTTTCTGCATGCGGATATTTGGATAGCTTTGAAGATTTCGTTGGAAACGGGCTTACATATAAAAATTAGACAGCAGCATTCTCAGAAACTTCTTTGTGGTGTCTGCATTCAAGTCACAGAATTGAACATCCCCTCACATAGAGCAGCTGTGCAGCACTCTATTTGTAGTATCTGGAAGTGGACATTTGGAGGGCTTTGTAGCCTATCTGGAAAAAGGAAATATCTTCCCATGAATGCGAGATAGAAGTAATCTCAGAAACATGTTTATGCTGTATCTACTCAACTAACTGTGCTGAACATTTCTATTGATAGAGCAGTTTTGAGACACTCTTCTTTTGGAATCTGCAAGTGGATATTTGGATAGATTTGAGGATTTCCTTGGAAACGGGATTATATATCAAAAGTAGACAGCAGCATTCTCAGAAACTTCTTTGTGATGTTTGCATCCAGCTCTCAGAGTTGAACATTCCCTTTCGTAGAGTAGGTTTGAAACCCTCTTTTTATAGTGTCTGGAAGCGGGCATTTGGAGCGCTTTCAGGCCTATGCTGAAAAAGGAAATATCTACCTATAGAAACTAGACAGAAGCATTCTGAGAATCACGTTGGTGATGTGGGTACTCAACTAACAGTGTTGATCCATTCTTTTGATACAGCAGTTTTGAACCACACTTTTTGTAGAATCTGCAAGTGGATATTTGGATAGCTGTGAGGATTTCCTTGGAAACGGGAATGTCTTCATAGAAAATTTAGACAGAAGCATTCTCAGAACCTTGATTGTGATGTGTGTTCTCCACTAACAGGGTTGAACCTTTCTTTTGACAGAACTGTTTTGAAACATTCTTTTTATAGAATCTGGAAGTGGATATTTGGAAAGCTTTGAGGATTTCCTTGGAAACGGGAATATCTTCAAATAAAATCTAGCAAGAAGCATTCTAAGAAACATCTTAGGGATGTTTACATTCAAGTCACAGAGTTGAACATTCCCTTTCACAGAGCAGGTTTGAAACAATCTTCTCGTACTATCTGGAAGTGGACATTTTGAGCTCCTTGGGGCCTATGCTGAGAAAGGAAATATCTTCCGACAAAAACTAGACAGAAGCATTCGCAGAATCACGTTTGTGATGTGTGCACTCAACTGTCAGAATTGAACCTTTGTTTGGACACAGCACTTTTGAAACACTCTTTTTGTAGAATCTGCAGGTGGATATTTGGCTAGCTTTGAGGATTTCGTTGGAAACGGTAATGTCTTCAAAGAAAATCTAGACAGAAACATTCTCAGAAACACCTTCGTGATGTTTGCAATCAAGTCACAGAGTTGAACCTTCCGTTTCATAGAGCAGGTTGGAAACACTCTTTTTGTAGTATCTGGAAGTGGACATTTGGAGCGCTTTCAGGCCTATGGTGAAAAAGGAAATATCTTCCCATAAAAACGACATAGAAGCTATCTCAGGAACTTGTTTATGATGCATCCAATCAACTAACAGTGTTGAACCTTTGTACTGACAGAGCAGTGTGAAACACTCTTTTTTTTGGAATCTGCAAGTGGATATTTGGATCGCTTTGAGGATTTCGTTGGAAACGGGATGCAATATAAAACGTACACAGCAGCATACTCAGAAAATACTTTGCCATATTTCCATTCAAGTCACAGAGTGGAACATTCCCATTCATGGAGCAGGTTGGAAACACTCCTTTTCTAGTATCTGGAAGTGGTCATTTGGAGCGCTTTCTGAACTATGATGAAAAAGGAAATATCTTCCAATGAAAACAAGACAGAAGCATTCTGAGAAACTTATTTTTGATGTGTGTCCTCCACTAACGGACTTGAACCTTTCGTTTCATGCAGTACTTCTGGAACACTCTTTTTGAAGATTCTGCATGCGGATATTTGGATAGCTTTGAGGATTTCTTTGGAAACGGGCTTACATATAAAAATTAGACAGCAGCATTATCAAAACTTCTTTGTGGTGTCTGTATTCAAGTCACAGAATTGAACATCCCCTCACATAGAGCAGCTGTGCAGCACTCTATTTGTAGTATCTCGAAGTGGACATTTGGAGGGCTTTGTAGCCTATCTGGATAAAGGAAATATCTTCCCATGAATGCGAGATAGAAGTAATATCAGAAACATGTTTATGCTGTATCTACTCAACTAACTGTGCTGAACATTTCTATTGATAGAGCAGTTTTGAGACACTCTTCTTTTGGAATCTGCAAGTGGATATTTGGATAGATTTCAGGATTTCGTTGGCAACGGGATTATATATAAAAAGTAGACAGCCGCATTCTCAGAAACTTCTTTGTGATGTTTGCATCCAGCTCTCAGAGTTGAACATTCCCTTTCGTAGAGTAGGTTTGAAACCCTCTTTTTATAGTGTCTGGAAGCGGGCATTTGGAGCGCTTTGAGGCCTATGCTGAAAAAGGAAATATCTACCTATAGAAACTAGACAGAAGCATTCTGAGAATCACGTTTGTGATGTGGGTACTCAACTAACAGTGTTGATCCATTCTTTTGATACAGCAGTTTTGAACCACACTTTTTGTAGAATCTGCAAGTGGATATTTGGATAGCTGTGAGGATTTCGTTGGAAACGGGAATGTCTTCATAGAAAATTTAGACAGAAGCATTCTCAGAACCTTGATTGTGATGTGTGTTCTCCACTAACAGAGTTGAACCTTTCTTTTGACAGAACTGTTCTGAAACATTCTTGTTATAGAATCTGGAAGTGGATATTTGGAAAGCTTTGAGGATTTCGTTGGAAACGGGAATATCTTCAAATCAAATCTAGCCAGAAGCATTCTAAGAAACATCTTAGGGATGTTTACATTCAAGTCACAGAGTTGAACATTCCCTTTCACAGAGCAGGTTTGAAACAATCTTCTCGTACTATCTGGCAGTGGACATTTTGAGCTCCTTGGGGCCTATGCTGAAAAAGGAAATATCTTCCGACAAAAACTAGACAGAAGCATTCGCAGAATCACGTTTGTGATGTGTGCACTCAACTGTCAGAATTGAACCTTGGTTTGGACAGAGCACTTTTGAAACACTCTTTTTGTAGAATCTGCAGGTGGATATTTGGCTAGCTTTGAGGATTTCGTTGGAAACGGTAATGTCTTCAAAGAAAATCTAGACAGAAGCATTCTCAGAAACACCTTCGTGATGTTTGCAATCAAGTCACAGAGTTGAACCTTCCGTTTCATAGAGCAGGTTGGAAACACTCTTTTTGTAGTATCTGGAAGTGGACATTTGGAGGGCTTTGTAGCCTATCTGGAAAAAGGAAATATCTTCCCATGAATGCGAGATAGAAGTAATCTCAGAAACATGTTTATGCTGTATCTACTCAACTAACTGTGCTGAACATTTCTATTGATAGAGCAGTTTTGAGACACTCTTCTTTTGGAATCTGCAAGTGGATATTTGGATAGATTTGAGGATTTCGTTGGAAACGGGATTATATATAAAAAGTAGACAGCAGCATTCTCAGAAACTTCTTTGTGATGTTTGCATCCAGCTCTCAGAGTTGAACATTCCCTTTCATAGAGTAGGTTTGAAACCCTCTTTTTATAGTGTCTGGAAGCGGGCATTTAGAGCGCTTTCAGGCCTATGCTGAAAAAGGAAATATCTACCTATAGAAACTAGACAGAAGCATTCTGAGAATCACGTTTGTGATGTGGGTAGTCAACTAACAGTGTTGATCCATTCTTTTGATACAGCAGTTTTGAACCACACTTTTTGTAGAATCTGCAAGTGGATATTTGGATAGCTGTGAGGATTTCGTTGGAAACGGGAATGTCTTCATAGAAAATTTAGACAGAAGCATTCTCAGAACCTTGATTGTGATGTGTGTTCTCCACTAACAGAGTTGAACCTTTCTTTTGACAGAACTGTTCTGAAACATTCTTGTTATAGAATCTGGAAGTGGATATTTGGAAAGCTTTGAGGATTTCGTTGGAAACGGGAATATCTTCAAATAAAATCTAGCCAGAAGCATTCTAAGAAACATCTTAGGGATGTTTACATTCAAGTCACAGAGTTGAACATTCCCTTTCACAGAGCAGGTTTGAAACAATCTTCTCGTACTATCTGGCAGTGGACATTTTGAGCTCCTTGGGGCCTATGCTGAAAAAGGAAATATCTTCCGACAAAAACTAGACAGAAGCATTCGCAGAATCACGTTTGTGATGTGTGCACTCAACTGTCAGAAATGAACCTTGGTTTGGACAGAGCACTTTTGAAACACTCTTTTTGTAGAATCTGCAGGTGGATATTTGGCTAGCTTTGAGGATTTCGTTGGAAACGGTAATGTCTTCAAAGAAAATCTAGACAGAAGCATTCTCAGAAACACCTTCGTGATGTTTGCAATCAAGTCACAGAGTTGAACCTTCCGTTTCATAGAGCAGGTTGGAAACACTCTTTTTGTAGTATCTGGAAGTGGACATTTGGAGGGCTTTGTAGCCTATGTGGAAAAAGGAAATATCTTCCCATGAATGCGAGATAGAAGTAATCTCAGAAACATGTTTATGCTGTATCTACTCAACTAACTGTGCTGAACATTTCTATTGATAGAGCAGTTTTGAGACACTCTTCTTTTGGAATCTGCAAGTGGATATTTGGATAGATTTGAGGATTTCGTTGGAAACGGGATTATATATAAAAAGTAGACAGCAGCATTCTCAGAAACTTCTTTGTGATGTTTGCATCCAGCTCTCAGAGTTGAACATTCCCTTTCATAGAGTAGGTTTGAAACCCTCTTTTTATAGTGTCTGGAAGCGGGCATTTGGAGCGCTTTCAGGCCTATGCTGAAAAAGGAAATATCTACCTATAGAAACTAGACAGAAGCATTCTGAGAATCACGTTTGTGATGTGGGTACTCAACTAACAGTGTTGATCCATTCTTTTGATACAGCAGTTTTGAACCACACTTTTTGTAGAATCTGCAAGTGGATATTTGGATAGCTGTGAGGATTTCGTTGGAAACGGGAATGTCTTCATAGAAAATTTAGACAGAAGCATTCTCAGAACCTTGATTGTGATGTGTGTTCTCCACTAACAGAGTTGAACCTTTCTTTTGACAGAACTGTTCTGAAACATTCTTTTTATAGAATCTGGAAGTGGATATTTGGAAAGCTTTGAGGATTTCGTTGGAAACGGGAATATCTTCAAATAAAATCTAGCCAGAAGCATTCTAAGAAACATCTTAGGGATGTTTACATTCAAGTCACAGAGTTGAACATTCCCTTTCACAGAGCAGGTTTGAAACAATCTTCTCGTACTATCTGGCAGTGGACATTTTGAGCTCCTTGGGGCCTATGCTGAAAAAGGAAATATCTTCCGACAAAAACTAGACAGAAGCATTCGCAGAATCACGTTTGTGATGTGTGCACTCAACTGTCAGAATTGAACCTTGGTTTGGAGAGAGCACTTTTGAAACACTCTTTTTGTAGAATCTGCAGGTGGATATTTGGCTAGCTTTGAGGATTTCGTTGGAAACGGTAATGTCTTCAAAGAAAATCTAGACAGAAGCATTCTCAGAAACACCTTCGTGATGTTTGCAATCAAGTCACAGAGTTGAACCTTCCGTCTCATAGAGCAGGTTGGAAACACTCTTTTTGTAGTATCTGGAAGTGGACATTTGGAGGGCTTTGTAGCCTATCTGGAAAAAGGAAATATCTTCCCATGAATGCGAGATAGAAGTAATCTCAGAAACATGTTTATGCTGTATCTACTCAACTAACTGTGCTGAACATTTCTATTGATAGAGCAGTTTTGAGACACTCTTCTTTTGGAATCTGCAAGTGGATATTTGGATAGATTTGAGGATTTCGTTGGAAACGGGATTATATATAAAAAGTAGACAGCAGCATTCTCAGAAACTTCTTTGTGATGTTTGCATCCAGCTCTCAGAGTTGAACATTCCCTTTCATAGAGTAGGTTTGAAACCCTCTTTTTATAGTGTCTGGAAGCGGGCATTTGGAGCGCTTTCAGGCCTATGCTTAAAATAGGAAATATCTACCTACAGAAACTAGACAGAAGCATTCTGAGAATCACGTTTGTGATGTGGGTACTCAACTAACAGTGTTGATCCATTCTTTTGATACAGCAGTTTTGAACCACACTTTTTGTAGAATCTGCAAGAGGATATTTGGATAGCTGTGAGGATTTCGTTGGAAACGGGAATGTCTTCAAAGAAAATCTAGACAGAAGCATTCTCAGAAACACCTTCGTGATGTTTGCAATCAAGTCACAGAGTTGAACCTTCCGTTTCATAGAGCAGGTTGGAAACACTCTTATTGTAGTATCTGGAAGTGGACATTTGGAGCGCTTTCAGGCCTATGGTGAAAAAGGAAATATCTTCCCATAAAAACGACATAGAAGCTATCTCAGGAACTTGTTTATGATGCATCTAATCAACTAACAGTGTTGAACCTTTGTACTGACAGAGCAGTTTGAAACACTCTTTTTTTGGAATCTGCAAGTGGATATTTGGATCGCTTTGAGTATTTCGTTGGAAACGGGATGCAATATAAAACGTACACAGCAGCATACTCAGAAAATACTTTGCCATATTTCCATTCAAGTCACAGACTGGAACATTCCCATTCATAGAGCAGGTTTGAAACACTCTTTTTGGAGTATCTGGAAGTGGACATTTGGAGCGCTTTCTGAACTATGGTGAAAAAGGAAATATCTTCCAATGAAAACAAGACAGAAGCATTCTGAGAAACTTATTTGTGATGTGTGTCCTCAACAAACGGACTTGAACCTTTCGTTTCATGCAGTACTTCTGGAACACTCTTTTTGAAGATTCTGCATTCGGATATTTGGATAGCTTTGAGGATTTCGTTGGAAACGGGCTTACATGTAAAAATTAGACAGCAGCATTCTCAGAAACTTCTTTGTGGTGTCTGCATTCAAGTCACAGAATTGAACTTCCCCTCACATAGAGCAGTTGTGCAGCACTCTATTTGTAGTATCTCGAAGTGGACATTTGGAGGGCTTTGTAGCCTATCTGGAAAAAGGAAATATCTTCCCATGAATGCGAGATAGAAGTAATCTCAGAAACATGTTTATGCTGTATCTACTCAACTAACTGTGCTGAACATTTCTATTGATAGAGCAGTTTTCAGACACTCTTCTTTTGGAATCTGCAAGTGGATATTTGGATAGATTTGAGGATTTCGTTGGAAACGGGATTATATATAAAAAGTAGACAGCAGCATTCTCAGAAACTTCTTTGTGATGTTTGCATCCAGCTCTCAGAGTTGAACATTCCCTTTCATAGAGTAGGTTTGAAACCCTCTTTTTATAGTGTCTGGAAGCGGGCATTTGGAGCGCTTTCAGGCCTATGCTGAAAAAGGAAATATCTACCTATAGAAACTAGACAGAAGCATTCTGAGAATCACGTTTGTGATGTGGGTACTCAACTAACAGTGTTGATCCATTCTTTTGATACAGCAGTTTTGAACCACACTTTTTGCAGAATCTGCAAGAGGATATTTGGATAGCTGTGAGGATTTCGTTGGAAACGGGAATGTCTTCAAAGAAAATCTAGACAGAAGCATTCTCAGAAACACCTTCGTGATGTTTGCAATCAAGTCACAGAGTTGAACCTTCCGTTTCATAGAGCAGGTTGGAAACACTCTTATTGTAGTATCTGGAAGTGGACATTTGGAGCGCTTTCAGGCCTATGGTGAAAAAGGAAATATCTTCCCATAAAAACGACATAGAAGCTATCTCAGGAACTTGTTTATGATGCATCTAATCAACTAACAGTGTTGAACCTTTGTACTGACAGAGCAGTTTGAAACACTCTTTTTTTGGAATCTGCAAGTGGATATTTGGATCGCTTTGAGGATTTCGTTGGAAACGGGATGCAATATAAAACGTACACAGCAGCATACTCAGAAAATACTTTGCCATATTTCCATTCAAGTCACAGAGTGGAACATTCCCATTCATAGAGCAGGTTTGAAACACTCTTTTTGGAGTATCTGGAAGTGGACATTTGGAGCGCTTTCTGAACTATGGTGAAAAAGGAAATATCTTCCAATGAAAACAAGACAGAAGCATTCTGAGAAACTTATTTGTGATGTGTGTCCTCAACAAACGGACTTGAACCTTTCGTTTCATGCAGTACTTCTGGAACACTCTTTTTGAAGATTCTGCATGCGGATATTTGGATAGCTTTGAGGATTTCGTTGGAAACGGGCTTACATGTAAAAATTAGACAGCAGCATTCTCAGAAACTTCTTTGTGGTGTCTGCATTCAAGTCACAGAATTGAACTTCCCCTCACATAGAGCAGTTGTGCAGCACTCTATTTGTAGTATCTGGAAGTGGACATTTGGAGGGCTTTGTAGCCTATCTGGAAAAAGGAAATATCTTCCCATGAATGCGAGATAGAAGTAATCTCAGAAACATGTTTATGCTGTATCTACTCAACTAACTGTGCTGAACATTTCTATTGATAGAGCAGTTTTGAGACACTCTTCTTTTGGAATCTGCAAGTGGATATTTGGATAGATTTGAGGATTTCGTTGGAAACGGGATTATATATAAAAAGTAGACAGCAGCATTCTCAGAAACTTCTTTGTGATGTTTGCATCCAGCTCTCAGAGTTGAACATTCCCTTTCATAGAGTAGGTTTGAAACCCTCTTTTTATAGTGTCTGGAAGCGGGCATTTGGAGCGCTTTCAGGCCTATGCTTAAAATAGGAAATATCTACCTACAGAAACTAGACAGAAGCATTCTGAGAATCACGTTTGTGATGTGGGTACTCAACTAACAGTGTTGATCCATTCTTTTGATACAGCAGTTTTGAACCACACTTTTTGTAGAATCTGCAAGAGGATATTTGGATAGCTGTGAGGATTTCGTTGGAAACGGGAATGTCTTCAAAGAAAATCTAGACAGAAGCATTCTCAGAAACACCTTCGTGATGTTTGCAATCAAGTCACAGAGTTGAACCTTCCGTTTCATAGAGCAGGTTGGAAACACTCTTATTGTAGTATCTGGAAGTGGACATTTGGAGCGCTTTCAGGCCTATGGTGAAAAAGGAAATATCTTCCCATAAAAACGACATAGAAGCTATCTCAGGAACTTGTTTATGATGCATCTAATCAACTAACAGTGTTGAACCTTTGTACTGACAGAGCAGTTTGAAACACTCTTTTTTTGGAATCTGCAAGTGGATATTTGGATCGCTTTGAGGATTTCGTTGGAAACGGGATGCAATATAAAACGTACACAGCAGCATACTCAGAAAATACTTTGCCATATTTCCATTCAAGTCACAGAGTGGAACATTCCCATTCATAGAGCAGGTTGGAAACACTCTTTTTGGAGTATCTGGAAGTGGACATTTGGAGCGCTTTCTGAACTATGGTGAAAAAGGAAATATCTTCCAATGAAAACAAGACAGAAGCATTCTGAGAAACTTATTTGTGATGTGTGTCCTCAACAAACGGACTTGAACCTTTCGTTTCATGCAGTACTTCTGGAACACTCTTTTTGAAGATTCTGCATGCGGATATTTGGATAGCTTTGAGGATTTCGTTGGAAACGGGCTTACATGTAAAAATTAGACAGCAGCATTCTCAGAAACTTCTTTGTGGTGTCTGCATTCAAGTCACAGAATTGAACTTCCCCTCACATAGAGCAGTTGTGCAGCACTCTATTTGTAGTATCTGGAAGTGGACATTTGGAGGGCTTTGTAGCCTATCTGGAAAAAGGAAATATCTTCCCATGAATGCGAGATAGAAGTAATCTCAGAAACATGTTTATGCTGTATCTACTCAACTAACTGTGCTGAACATTTCTATTGATAGAGCAGTTTTGAGACCCTCTTCTTTTGGAATCTGCAAGTGGATATTTGGATAGATTTGAGGATTTCGTTGGAAACGGGATTATATATAAAAAGTAGACAGCAGCATTCTCAGAAACTTCTTTGTGATGTTTGCATCCAGCTCTCAGAGTTGAACATTCCCTTTCATAGAGTAGGTTTGAAACCCTCTTTTTATAGTGTCTGGAAGCGGGCATTTGGAGCGCTTTCAGGCCTATGCTGAAAAAGGAAATATCTACCTATAGAAACTAGACAGAAGCATTCTGAGAATCAAGTTTGTGATGTGGGTACTCAACTAACAGTGTTGATCCATTCTTTTGATACAGCAGTTTTGAACCACACTTTTTGTAGAATCTGCAAGTGGATATTTGGATAGCTGTGAGGATTTCGTTGGAAACGGGAATGTCTTCATAGAAAATTTAGACAGAAGCATTCTCAGAACCTTGATTGTGATGTGTGTTCTCCACTAACAGAGTTGAACCTTTCTTTTGACAGAACTGTTCTGAAACATTCTTTTTATAGAATCTGGAAGTGGATATTTGGAAAGCTTTGAGGATTTCGTTGGAAACGGGAATATCTTCAAATAAAATCTAGCCAGAAGCATTCTAAGAAACATCTTAGGGATGTTTACATTCAAGTCACAGAGTTGAACATTCCCTTTCACAGAGCAGGTTTGAAACAATCTTCTCGTACTATCTGGCAGTGGACATTTTGAGCTCCTTGGGGCCTATGCTGAAAAAGGAAATATCTTCCGACAAAACTAGACAGAAGCATTCGCAGTAATCACGTTTGTGATGTGTGCACTCAACTGTCAGAATTGAACCTTGGTTTGGACAGAGCACATTTGAAACACTCTTTTTGTAGAATCTGCAGGTGGATATTTGGCTAGCTTTGAGGATTTCGTTGGAAACGGTAATGTCTTCAAAGAAAATCTAGACAGAAGCATTCTCAGAAACACCTTCGTGATGTTTGCAATCAAGTCACAGAGTTGAACCTTCCGTTGCATAGAGCAGGTTGGAAACACTCTTTTTGTAGTATCTGGAAGTGGACATTTGGAGGGCTTTGTAGCCTATGTGGAAAAAGGAAATATCTTCCCATGAATGCGAGATAGAAGTAATCTCAGAAACATGTTTATGCTGTATCTACTCAACTAACTGTGCTGAACATTTCTATTGATAGAGCAGTTTTGAGACACTCTTCTTTTGGAATCTGCAAGTGGATATTTGGATAGATTTGAGGATTTCGTTGGAAACGGGATTATATATAAAAAGTAGACAGCAGCATTCTCAGAAACTTCTTTGTGATGTTTGCATCCAGCTCTCAGAGTTGAACATTCCCTTTCATAGAGTAGGTTTGAAACCCTCTTTTTATAGTGTCTGGAAGCGGGCATTTGGAGCGCTTTCAGGCCTATGCTGAAAAAGGAAATATCTACCTATAGAAACTAGACAGAAGCATTCTGAGAATCACGTTTGTGATGTGGGTACTCAACTAACAGTGTTGATCCATTCTTTTGATACAGCAGTTTTGAACCACACTTTTTGTAGAATCTGCAAGTGGATATTTGGATAGCTGTGAAGATTTCGTTGGAAACGGGAATGTCTTCATAGAAAATTTAGACAGAAGCATTCTCAGAACCTTGATTGTGATGTGTGTTCTCCACTAACAGAGTTGAACCTTTCTTTTGACAGAACTGTTCTGAAACATTCTTTTTATAGAATCTGGAAGTGGATATTTGGAAAGCTTTGAGGATTTCGTTGGAAACGGGAATATCTTCAAATCAAATCTAGCCAGAAGCATTCTAAGAAACATCTTAGGGATGTTTACATTCAAGTCACAGAGTTGAACATTCCCTTTCACAGAGCAGGTTTGAAACAATCTTCTCGTACTATCTGGCAGTGGACATTTTGAGCTCCTTGGGGCCTATGCTGAAAAAGGAAATATCTTCCGACAAAAACTAGACAGAAGCATTCGCAGAATCACGTTTGTGATGTGTGCACTCAACTGTCAGAATTGAACCTTGGTTTGGACAGAGCACTTTTGAAACACTCTTTTTGTAGAATCTGCAGGTGGATATTTGGCTAGCTTTGAGGATTTCGTTGGAAACGGTAATGTCTTCAAAGAAAATCTAGACAGAAGCATTCTCAGAAACACCTTCGTGATGTTTGCAATCAAGTCACAGAGTTGAACCTTCCGTTTCATAGAGCAGGTTGGAAACACTCTTTTTGTAGTATCTTGAAGTGGACATTTGGAGGGCTTTGTAGCCTATGTGGAAAAAGGAAATATCTTCCCATGAATGCGAGATAGAAGTAATCTCAGAAACATGTTTATGCTGTATCTACTCAACTAACTGTGCTGAACATTTCTATTGATAGAGCAGTTTTGAGACACTCTTCTTTTGGAATCTGCAAGTGGATATTTGGAGAGATTTGAGGATTTCGTTGGAAAAGGGATTATATATAAAAAGTAGACAGCAGCATTCTCAGAAACTTCTTTGTGATGTTTGCATCCAGCTCTCAGAGTTGAACATTCCCTTTCATAGAGTAGGTTTGAAACCCTCTTTTTATAGTGTCTGGAAGCGGGCATTTGGAGCGCTTTCAGGCCTATGCTTAAAATAGGAAATATCTACCTACAGAAACTAGACAGAAGCATTCTGAGAATCTCGTTTGTGATGTGGGTACTCAACTAACAGTGTTGATCCATTCTTTTGATACAGCAGTTTTGAACCACACTTTTTGTAGAATCTGCAAGAGGATATTTGGATAGCTGTGAGGATTTCGTTGGAAACGGGAATGTCTTCAAAGAAAATCTAGACAGAAACATTCTCAGAAACACCTTCGTGATGTTTGCAATCAAGTCACAGAGTTGAACCTTCCGTTTCATAGAGCAGGTTGGAAACACTCTTATTGTAGTATCTGGAAGTGGACATTTGGAGCGCTTTCAGGCCTATGGTGAAAAAGGAAATATCTTCCCATAAAAGCGACATAGAAGCTATCTCAGGAACTTGTTTATGAGGCATCTAATCAACTAACAGTGTTGAACCTTTGTACTGACAGAGCAGTTTGAAACACTCTTTTTTTGGAATCTCCAAGTGGATATTTGGATCGCTTTGAGGATTTCGTTGGAAACGGGATGCAATATAAAACGTACACAGCAGCATACTCAGAAAATTCTTTGCCATATTTCCATTCAAGTCACAGAGTGGAACATTCCCATTCATAGAGCAGGTTTGAAACACTCTTTTTGGAGTATCTGGAAGTGGACATTTGGAGCGCTTTCTGAACTATGGTGAAAAAGGAAATATCTTCCAATGAAAACAAGACAGAAGCATTCTGAGAAACTTATTTGTGATGTGTGTCCTCAACAAACGGACTTGAACCTTTCGTTTCATGCAGTACTTCTGGAACACTCTTTTTGAAGATTCTGCATGCGGATATTTGGATAGCTTTGAGGATTTCGTTGGAAACGGGCTTACATGTAAAAATTAGACAGCAGCATTCTCAGAAACTTCTTTGTGGTGTCTGCATTCAAGTCACAGAATTTAACTTCCCCTCACATAGAGCAGTTGTGCAGCACTCTATTTGTAGTATCTGGAAGTGGACATTTGGAGGGCTTTGTAGCCTATCTGGAAAAAGGAAATATCTTCCCATGAATGCGAGATAGAAGTAATCTCAGAAACATGTTTATGCTGTATCTAATCAACTAACTGTGCTGAACATTTCTATTGATAGAGCAGTTTTGAGACACTCTTCTTTTGGAATCTGCAAGTGGATATTTGGATAGATTTGAGGATTTCGTTGGAAACGGGATTATATATAAAAAGTAGACAGCAGCATTCTCAGAAACTTCTTTGTGATGTTTGCATCCAGCTCTCAGAGTTGAACATTCCCTTTCATAGAGTAGGTTTGAAACCCTCTTTTTATAGTGTCTGGAAGCGGGCATTTGGAGCGCTTTCAGGCCTATGCTTAAAATAGGAAATATCTACCTACAGAAACTAGACAGAAGCATTCTGAGAATCACGTTTGTGATGTGGGTACTCAACTAACAGTGTTGATCCATTCTTTTGATACAGCAGTTTTGAACCACACTTTTTGTAGAATCTGCAAGTGGATATTTGGATAGCTGTGAGGATTTCGTTGGAAACGGGAATGTCTTCATAGAAAATTTAGACAGAAACATTCTCAGAAACACCTTCGTGATGTTTGCAATCAAGTCACAGAGTTGAACCTTCCGTTTCATAGAGCAGGTTGGAAACACTCTTTTTGTAGTATCTGGAAGTGGACATTTGGAGCGCTTTCAGGCCTATGGTGAAAAAGGAAATATCTTCCCATAAAAACGACATAGAAGCTATCTCAGGAACTTGTTTATGATGCATCCAATCAACTAACAGTGTTGAACTTTTGTACTGACAGAGCAGTGTGAAACACTCTTTTTTTTGGAATCTGCAAGTGGATATTTGGATCGCTTTGAGGATTTCGTTGGAAACGGGATGCAATATAAATCGTACACAGCAGCATACTCAGAAAATACTTTGCCATATTTCCATTCAAGTCACAGAGTGGAACATTCCCATTCATAGAGCAGGTTGGAAACACTCCTTTTGTAGTATCTGGAAGTGGACATTTGGAGCGCTTTCTGAACTATGGTGAAAAAGGAAATATCTTCCAATGAAAACAAGACAGAAGCATTCTGAGAAACTTATTTGTGATGTGTGTCCTCAACTAACGGACTTGAACCTTTCGTTTCATGCAGTACTTCTGGAACACTCTTTTTGAAGATTCTGCATGCGGATATTTGGATAGCTTTGAGGATTTCGTTGGAAACGGGCTTACATATAAAAATTAGACAGCAGCATTCTCAGAAACTTCTCTGTGGTGTCTGCATCCAAGTCACAGAATTGAACATCCCCTCACATAGAGCAGTTGTGCAGCACTCTATTTGTAGTATCTCGAAGTGGACATTTGGAGGGCTTTGTAGCCTATCTGGAAAAAGGAAATATCTTCCCATGAATGCGAGATAGAAGTAATCTCAGAAACATGTTTATGCTGTATCTACTCAACTAACTGTAGTGAACATTTCTATTGATAGAGCAGTTTTGAGACACTCTTCTTTTGGAATCTGCAAGTGGATATTTGGATAGATTTGAGGATTTCTTTGGCAACGGGATTATATATAAAAAGTAGACAGCAGCATTCTCAGAAACTTCTTTGTGATGTTTGCATCCAGCTCTCAGAGTTGAGCATTCCCTTTCGTAGAGTAGGTTTGAAACCCTCTTTTTATAGTGTCTGGAAGCGGGCATTTGGAGCGCTTTCAGGCCTATGCTTAAAATAGGAAATATCTACCTACAGAAACTAGACAGAAGCATTCTGAGAATCACGTTTGTGATGTGGGTACTCAACTAACAGTGTTGATCCATTCTTTTGATACAGCAGTTTTGAACCACACTTTTTGTAGAATCTGCAAGTGGATATTTGGATAGCTGTGAGGATTTCGTTGGAAACGGGAATGTCTTCATAGAAAATTTAGACAGAAGCATTCTCAGAACCTTGATTGTGATGTGTGTTCTCCACTAACAGAGTTGAACCTTTCTTTTGACAGAACTGTTCTGAAACATTCTTTTTATAGAATCTGGAAGTGGATATTTGGAAAGCTTTGAGGATTTCGTTGGAAACGGGAATATCTTCAAATCAAATCTAGCCAGAAGCATTCTAAGAAACATCTTAGGGATGTTTACATTCAAGTCACAGAGTTGAACATTCCCTTTCACAGAGCAGGTTTGAAACAATCTTCTCGTACTATCTGGCAGTGGACATTTTGAGCTCCTTGGGGCCTATGCTGAAAAAGGAAATATCTTCCGACAAAAACTAGACAGAAGCATTCGCAGAATCACGTTTGTGATGTGTGCACTCAACTGTCAGAATTGAACCTTGGTTTGGACAGAGCACTTTTGAAACACTCTTTTTGTAGAATCTGCAGGTGGATATTTGGCTAGCTTTGAGGATTTCGTTGGAAACGGTAATGTCTTCAAAGAAAATCTAGACAGAAGCATTCTCAGAAACACCTTCGTGATGTTTGCAATCAAGTCACAGAGTTGAACCTTCCGTTTCATAGAGCAGGTTGGAAACACTCTTTTTGTAGTATCTGGAAGTGGACATTTGGAGGGCTTTGTAGCCTATGTGGAAAAAGGAAATATCTTCCCATGAATGCGAGATAGAAGTAATCTCAGAAACATGTTTATGCTGTATCTACTCAACTAACTGTGCTGAACATTTCTATTGATAGAGCAGTTTTGAGACACTCTTCTTTTGGAATCTGCAAGTGGATATTTGGATAGATTTGAGGATTTCGTTGGAAACGGGATTATATATAAAAAGTAGACAGCAGCATTCTCAGAAACTTCTTTGTGATGTTTGCATCCAGCTCTCAGAGTTGAACATTCCCTTTCATAGAGTAGGTTTGAAACCCTCTTTTTATAGTGTCTGGAAGCGGGCATTTGGAGCGCTTTCAGACCTATGCTTAAAATAGGAAATATCTACCTACAGAAACTAGACAGAAGCATTCTGAGAATCTCGTTTGTGATGTGGGTACTCAACTAACAGTGTTGATCCATTCTTTTGATACAGCAGTTTTGAACCACACTTTTTGTAGAATCTGCAAGAGGATATTTGGATAGCTGTGAGGATTTCGTTGGAAACGGGAATGTCTTCAAAGAAAATCTAGACAGAAACATTCTCAGAAACACCTTCGTGATGTTTACAATCAAGTCACAGAGTTGAACCTTCCGTTTCATAGAGCAGGTTGGAAACACTCTTATTGTAGTATCTGGAAGTGGACATTTGGAGCGCTTTCAGGCCTATGGTGAAAAAGGAAATATCTTCCCATAAAAACAACATAGAAGCTATCTCAGGAACTTGTTTATGAGGCATCTAATCAACTAACAGTGTTGAACCTTTGTACTGACAGAGCAGTTTGAAACACTCTTTTTTTGGAATCTGCAAGTGGATATTTGGATCGCTTTGAGGATTTCGTTGGAAACGGGATGCAATATAAAACGTACACAGCAGCATACTCAGAAAATTCTTTGCCATATTTCCATTCAAGTCACAGAGTGGAACATTCCCATTCATAGAGCAGGTTGGAAACACTCTTTTTGGAGTATCTGGAAGTGGACATTTGGAGCGCTTTCTGAACTATGGTGAAAAAGGAAATATCTTCCAATAAAAACAAGACAGAAGCATTCTGAGAAACTTATTTGTGATGTGTGTCCTCAACAAACGGACTTGAACCTTTCGTTTCATGCAGTACTTCTGGAACACTCTTTTTGAAGATTCTGCATGCGGATATTTGGATAGCTTTGAGGATTTCGTTGGAAACGGGCTTACATGTAAAAATTAGACAGCAGCATTCTCAGAAACTTCTTTGTGGTGTCTGCATTCAAGTCACAGAATTGAACATCCCCTCACATAGAGCAGTTGTGCAGCACTCTATTTGTAGTATCTGGAAGTGGACATTTGGAGGGCTTTGTAGCCTATGTGGAAAAAGGAAATATCTTCCCATGAATGCGAGATAGAAGTAATCTCAGAAACATGTTTATGCTGTATCTACTCAACTAACTGTGCTGAACATTTCTATTGATAGAGCAGTTTTGAGACACTCTTCTTTTGGAATCTGCAAGTGGATATTTGGATAGATTTGAGGATTTCGTTGGAAACGGGATTATATATAAAAAGTAGACAGCAGCATTCTCAGAAACTTCTTTGTGATGTTTGCATCCAGCTCTCAGAGTTGAACATTCCCTTTCATAGAGTAGGTTTGAAACCCTCTTTTTATAGTGTCTGGAAGCGGGCATTTGGAGCGCTTTCAGGCCTATGCTGAAAAAGGAAATATCTACCTATAGAAACTAGACAGAAGCATTCTGAGAATCACGTTTGTGATGTGGGTACCTCAACTAACAGTGTTGATCCATTCTTTTGATACAGCAGTTTTGAACCACACTTTTTGTAGAATCTGCAAGTGGATATTTGGATAGCTGTGAGGATTTCGTTGGAAACGGGAATGTCTTCATAGAAAATTTAGACAGAAGCATTCTCAGAACCTTGATTGTGATGTGTGTTCTCCACTAACAGAGTTGAACCTTTCTTTTGACAGAACTGTTCTGAAACATTCTTTTTATAGAATCTGGAAGTGGATATTTGGAAAGCTTTGAGGATTTCGTTGGAAACGGGAATATCTTCAAATAAAATCTAGCCAGAAGCATTCTAAGAAACATCTTAGGGATGTTTACATTCAAGTCACAGAGTTGAACATTCCCTTTCACAGAGCAGGTTTGAAACAATCTTCTCGTACTATCTGGCAGTGGACATTTTGAGCTCCTTGGGGCCTATGCTGAAAAAGGAAATATCTTCCGACAAAAACTAGACAGAAGCATTCGCAGAATCACGTTTGTGATGTGTGCACTCAACTGTCAGAATTGAACCTTGGTTTGGACAGAGCACTTTTGAAACACTCTTTTTGTAGAATCTGCAGGTGGATATTTGGCTAGCTTTGAGGATTTCGTTGGAAACGGTAATGTCTTCAAAGAAAATCTAGACAGAAGCATTCTCAGAAACACCTTCGTGATGTTTGCAATCAAGTCACAGAGTTGAACCTTCCGTTTCATAGAGCAGGTTGGAAACACTCTTTTTGTAGTATCTGGAAGTGGACATTTGGAGGGCTTTGTAGCCTATCTGGAAAAAGGAAATATCTTCCCATGAATGCGAGATAGAAGTAATCTCAGAAACATGTTTATGCTGTATCTACTCAACTAACTGTGCTGAACATTTCTATTGATAGAGCAGTTTTGAGACACTCTTCTTTTGGAATCTGCAAGTGGATATTTGGATAGATTTGAGGATTTCGTTGGAAACGGGATTATATATCAAAAGTAGACAGCAGCATTCTCAGAAACTTCTTTGTGATGTTTGCATCCAGCTCTCAGAGTTGAACATTCCCTTTCATAGAGTAGGTTTGAAACCCTCTTTTTATAGTGTCTGGAAGCGGGCATTTGGAGCGCTTTCAGGCCTATGCTGAAAAAGGAAATATCTACCTATAGAAACTAGACAGAAGCATTCTGAGAATCACGTTTGTGATGTGGGTACTCAACTAACAGTGTTGATCCATTCTTTTGATACAGCAGTTTTGAACCACACTTTTTGTAGAATCTGGAAGTGGATATTTGGAAAGCTTTGAGGATTTCGTTGGAAACGGGAATATCTTCAAATAAAATCTAGCCAGAAGCATTCTAAGAAACATCTTAGGGATGTTTACATTCAAGTCACAGAGTTGAACATTCCCTTTCACAGAGCAGGTTTGAAACAATCTTCTCGTACTATCTGGCAGTGGACATTTTGAGCTCCTTGGGGCCTATGCTGAAAAAGGAAATATCTTCCGACAAAAACTAGACAGAAGCATTCGCAGAATCACGTTTGTGATGTGTGCATCAACTGTCAGAATTGAACCTTGGTTTGGACAGAGCACTTTTGAAACACTCTTTTTGTAGAATCTGCAGGTGGATATTTGGCTAGCTTTGAGGATTTCGTTGGAAACGGTAATGTCTTCAAAGAAAATCTAGACAGAAACATCCTCAGAAACACCTTCGTGATGTTTGCAATCAAGTCACAGAGTTGAACCTTCCGTTTCATAGAGCAGGTTGGAAACACTCATTTTGTAGTATCTGGAAGTGGACATTTGGAGCGCTTTCAGGCCTATGGTGTAAAAGGAAATATCTTCCCATAAAAGCGACATAGAAGCTATCTCAGGAACTTGTTTATGATGCCTCTAATCAACTAACAGTGTTGAACCTTTGTACTGACAGAGCAGTTTGAAACACTCTTTTTTTGGAATCTGCAAGTGGATATTTGGATCGCTTTGAGGATTTCGTTGGAAACGGGATGCAATATAAAACGTACACAGCAGCATACCCAGAAAATACTTTGCCATATTTCCATTCAAGTCACAGAGTGGAACATTCCCATTCATAGAGCAGGTTGGAAACACTCTTTTTGGAGTATCTGGAAGTGGACATTTGGAGCGCTTTCTGAACTATGGTGAAAAAGGAAATATCTTCCAATGAATACAAGACACAAGCATTCTGAGAAACTTATTTGTGATGCGTGTCCTCAACAAACGGACTCGAAGCTTTCGTTTCATGCAGTACTTCTGGAACACTCTTTTTGAAGATTCTGCATGCAGATATTTCGTTAGCTTTGAGGATATCGTTGGAAACGGGCTTACATATAAAAATTAGACAGCAGCATTCTCAGAAACTTCTTTGTGGTGTCTGCATTCAAGTCACAGAATTGAACATCCCCTCACATAGAGCAGTTGTGCAGCACTCTATTTTTAGTATCTCGAAGTGGACATTTGGAGGGCTTTGTAGCCTATCTGGATAAAGGAAATATCTTCCCATGAATGCGAGATGGAAGTAATCTCAGAAACATGTTTATGCTGTATCTACTCAACTAACTGTGCTGAACATTTCTATTGATAGAGCAGTTTTGAGACACTCTTCTTTTGGAATCTGCAAGTGGATATTTGGCTAGATTTGAGGATTTCGTTGGAAACGGGATTATATATAAAAAGTAGACAGCAGCATTCTCAGAAACTTCTTTGTGATGTTTGCATCCAGCTCTCAGAGTTGAACATTCCCTTTCATAGAGTAGGTTTGAAACCCCCTTTTTATAGTGTCTGGAAGCGGGCATTTGGAGCGCTTTCAGGTCTGTGCTGAAAAAGGAAATATCTACCTACAGAAACTAGACAGAAGCATTCTGAGAATCACGTTTGTGATGTGGGTACTCAACTAACAGTGTTGATCCATTCTTTTGATACAGCAGTTTAGAACCACCCTTTTTGTAGAATCTGCAAGTGGATATTTGGATAGCTGTGAGGATTTCGTTGGAAACGGGAATGTCTTCATAGAAAATTTAGACAGAAGCATTCTCAGAACCTGGATTGTGATGTGTGTTCTCCACTAACAGAGTTGAACCTTTCTTTTGACAGAACTGTTTTGAAACATTCTTTTTATAGAATCTGGAAGTGGATATTTGGAAAGCTTTGAGGATTTCGTTGGAAACGGGAATATCTTCAAATAAAATCTAGCCAGAAGCATTCTAAGAAACATCTTAGGGATGTGTACATTCAAGTCACAGAGTTGAACATTCCCCTTTCTCAGAGCAGGTTTGAAACAATCTTCTCGTACTATCTGGCAGTGGACATTTTGAGCTCCTTGGGGCCTATGCTGAAAAAGGAAATATCTTCCGACAAAAACTAGACAGAAGCATTCGCAGAATCACGTTTGTGATGTGTGCACTCAACTGTCAGAATTGAACCTTTGTTTGGACAGAGCACTTTTGAAACACTCTTTTTGTAGAATCTGCAGGTGGATATTTGGCTAGCTTTGAGGATTTCGTTGGAAACGGTAATGTCTTCAAAGAAAATCTAGACAGAAACATCCTCAGAAACACCTTCGTGATGTTTGCAATCAAGTCACAGAGTTGAACCTTCCGTTTCATAGAGCAGGTTGGAAACACTCATTTTGTAGTATCTGGAAGTGGACATTTGGAGCGCTTTCAGGCCTATGGTGTAAAAGGAAATATCTTCCCATAAAAGCGACATAGAAGCTATCTCAGGAACTTGTTTATGATGCCTCTAATCAACTAACAGTGTTGAACCTTTGTACTGACAGAGCAGTTTGAAACACTCTTTTTTTGGAATCTGCAAGTGGATATTTGGATCGCTTTGAGGATTTCGTTGGAAACGGGATGCAATATAAAACGTACACAGCAGCATACTCAGAAAATACTTTGCCATATTTCCATTCAAGTCACAGAGTGGAACATTCCCATTCATAGAGCAGGTTGGAAACACTCTTTTTGGAGTATCTGGAAGTGGACATTTGGAGCGCTTTCTGAACTATGGTGAAAAAGGAAATATCTTCCAATGAAAACAAGACAGAAGCATTCTGAGAAACTTATTTGTGATGTGTGTCCTCAACAAACGGACTTGAACCTTTCGTTTCATGCAGTACTTCTGGAACACTCTTTTTGAAGATTCTGCATGCGGATATTTGGATAGCTTTGAGGATTTCGTTGGAAACGGGCTTACATGTAAAAATTAGACAGCAGCATTCTCAGAAACTTTCTTTGTGGTGTCTGCATTCAAGTCACAGAATTGAACATCCCCTCACATAGAGCAGTTGTGCAGCACTCTATTTGTAGTATCTGGAAGTGGACATTTGGAGGGCTTTGTAGCCTATGTGGAAAAAGGAAATATCTTCCCATGAATGCGAGATAGAAGTAATCTCAGAAACATGTTTATGCTGTATCTACTCAACTAACTGTGCTGAACATTTCTATTGATAGAGCAGTTTTGAGACACTCTTCTTTTGGAATCTGCAAGTGGATATTTGGATAGATTTGAGGATTTCGTTGGAAACGGGATTATATATAAAAAGTAGACAGCAGCATTCTCAGAAACTTCTTTGTGATGTTTGCATCCAGCTCTCAGAGTTGAACATTCCCTTTCATAGAGTAGGTTTGAAACCCTCTTTTTATAGTGTCTGGAAGCGGGCATTTGGAGCGCTTTCAGGCCTATGCTTAAAATAGGAAATATCTACCTACAGAAACTAGACAGAAGCATTCTGAGAATCACGTTTGTGATGTGGGTACTCAACTAACAGTGTTGATCCATTCTTTTGATACAGCAGTTTTGAACCACACTTTTTGTAGAATCTGCAAGAGGATATTTGGATAGCTGTGAGGATTTCGTTGGAAACGGGAATGTCTTCAAAGAAAATCTAGACAGAAGCATTCTCAGAAACACCTTCGTGATGTTTGCAATCAAGTCACAGAGTTGAACCTTCCGTTTCATAGAGCAGGTTGGAAACACTCTTATTGTAGTATCTGGAAGTGGACATTTGGAGCGCTTTCAGGCCTATGGTGAAAAAGGAAATATCTTCCCATAAAAACGACATAGAAGCTATCTCAGGAACTTGTTTATGATGCATCTAATCAACTAACAGTGTTGAACCTTTGTACTGACAGAGCAGTTTGAAACACTCTTTTTTTGGAATCTGCAAGTGGATATTTGGATCGCTTTGAGGATTTCGTTGGAAACGGGATGCAATATAAAACGTACACAGCAGCATACTCAGAAAATACTTTGCCATATTTCCATTCAAGTCACAGAGTGGAACATTCCCATTCATAGAGCAGGTTGGAAACACTCTTTTTGGAGTATCTGGAAGTGGACATTTGGAGCGCTTTCTGAACTATGGTGAAAAAGGAAATATCTTCCAATGAAAACAACACAGAAGCATTCTGAGAAACTTATTTGTGATGTGTGTCCTCAACAAACGGACTTGAACCTTTCGTTTCATGCAGTACTTCTGGAACACTCTTTTTGAAGATTCTGCATGCGGATATTTGGATAGCTTTGAGGATTTCGTTGGAAACGGGCTTACATGTAAAAATTAGACAGCAGCATTCTCAGAAACTTCTTTGTGGTGTCTGCATTCAAGTCACAGAATTGAACTTCCCCTCACATAGAGCAGTTGTGCAGCACTCTATTTGTAGTATCTGGAAGTGGACATTTGGAGGGCTTTGTAGCCTATCTGGAAAAAGGAAATATCTTCCCATGAATGCGAGATAGAAGTAATCTCAGAAACATGTTTATGCTGTATCTACTCAACTAACTGTGCTGAACATTTCTATTGATAGAGCAGTTTTGAGACACTCTTCTTTTGGAATCTGCAAGTGGATATTTGGATAGATTTGAGGATTTCGTTGGAAACGGGATTATATATCAAAAGTAGACAGCAGCATTCTCAGAAACTTCTTTGTGATGTTTGCATCCAGCTCTCAGAGTTGAACATTCCCTTTCATAGAGTAGGTTTGAAACCCTCTTTTTATAGTGTCTGGAAGCGGGCATTTGGAGCGCTTTCAGGCCTATGCTTAAAATAGGAAATATCTACCTACAGAAACTAGACAGAAGCATTCTGAGAATCTCGTTTGTGATGTGGGTACTCAACTAACAGTGTTGATCCATTCTTTTGATACAGCAGTTTTGAACCACACTTTTTGTAGAATCTGCAAGAGGATATTTGGATAGCTGTGAGGATTTCGTTGGAAACGGGAATGTCTTCAAAGAAAATGCTAGACAGAAGCATTCTCAGAACCTTGATTGTGATGTGTGTTCTCCAGTAACAGAGTTGAACCTTTCTTTTGACAGAACTGTTCTGAAACATTCTTTTTATAGAATCTGGAAGTGGATATTTGGAAAGCTTTGAGGATTTCGTTGGAAACGGGAATATCTTCAAATAAAATCTAGCCAGAAGCATTCTAAGAAACATCTTAGGGATGTTTACATTCAAGTCACAGAGTTGAACATTCCCCTTTCTCAGAGCAGGTTTGAAACAATCTTCTCGTACTATCTGGCAGTGGACATTTTGAGCTCCTTGGGGCCTATGCTGAAAAAGGAAATATCTTCCGACAAAAACTAGACAGAAGCATTCGCAGAATCACGTTTGTGATGTGTGCACTCAACTGTCAGAATTGAACCTTGGTTTGGACAGAGCACTTTTGAAACAATCTTTTTGTAGAATCTGCAGGTGGATATTTGGCTAGCTTTGAGGATTTCGTTGGAAACGGTAATGTCTTCAAAGAAAATCTAGACAGAAACATCCTCAGAAACACCTTCGTGATGTTTGCAATCAAGTCACAGAGTTGAACCTTCCGTTTCATAGAGCAGGTTGGAAACACTCATTTTGTAGTATCTGGAAGTGGACATTTGGAGCGCTTTCAGGCCTATGGTGTAAAAGGAAATATCTTCCCATAAAAGCGACATAGAAGCTATCTCAGGAACTTGTTTATGATGCATCTAATCAACTAACAGTGTTGAACCTTTGTACTGACAGAGCAGTTTGAAACACTCTTTTTTTGGAATCTGCAAGTGGATATTTGGATCGCTTTGAGGATTTCGTTGGAAACGGGATGCAATATAAAACGTACACAGCAGCATACTCAGAAAATACTTTGCCATATTTCCATTCAAGTCACAGAGTGGAACATTCCCATTCATAGAGCAGGTTTGAAACACTCTTTTTGGAGTATCTGGAAGTGGACATTTGGAGCGCTTTCTGAACTATGGTGAAAAAGGAAATATCTTCCAATGAAAACAAGACAGAAGCATTCTGAGAAACTTATTTGTGATGTGTGTCCTCAACAAACGGACTTGAACCTTTCGTTTCATGCAGTACTTCTGGAACACTCTTTTTGAAGATTCTGCATGCGGATATTTGGATAGCTTTGAGGATTTCGTTGGAAACGGGCTTACATGTAAAAATTAGACAGCAGCATTCTCAGAAACTTCTTTGTGGTGTCTGCATTCAAGTCACAGAATTGAACATCCCCTCACATAGAGCAGTTGTGCAGCACTCTATTTGTAGTATCTGGAAGTGGACATTTGGAGGGCTTTGTAGCCTATCTGGAAAAAGGAAATATCTTCCCATGAATGCGAGATAGAAGTAATCTCAGAAACATGTTTATGCTGTATCTACTCAACTAACTGTGCTGAACATTTCTATTGATAGAGCAGTTTTGAGACACTCTTCTTTTGGAATCTGCAAGTGGATATTTGGATAGATTTGAGGATTTCGTTGGAAACGGGATTATATATAAAAAGTAGACAGCAGCATTCTCAGAAACTTCTTTGTGATGTTTGCATCCAGCTCTCAGAGTTGAACATTCCCTTTCATAGAGTAGGTTTGAAACCCTCTTTTTATAGTGTCTGGAAGCGGGCATTTGGAGCGCTTTCAGGCCTATGCTTAAAATAGGAAATATCTACCTACAGAAACTAGACAGAAGCATTCTGAGAATCACGTTTGTGATGTGGGTACTCAACTAACAGTGTTGATCCATTCTTTTGATACAGCAGTTTTGAACCACACTTTTTGTAGAATCTGCAAGAGGATATTTGGATAGCTGTGAGGATTTCGTTGGAAACGGGGATGTCTTCAAAGAAAATCTAGACAGAAGCATTCTCAGAAACACCTTCGTGATGTTTGCAATCAAGTCACAGAGTTGAACCTTCCGTTTCATAGAGCAGGTTGGAAACACTCTTATTGTAGTATCTGGAAGTGGACATTTGGAGCGCTTTCAGGCCTATGGTGAAAAAGGAAATATATTCCCATAAAAACGACATAGAAGCTATCTCAGGAACTTGTTTATGATGCATCTAATCAACTAACAGTGTTGAACCTTTGTACTGACAGAGCAGTTTGAAACACTCTTTTTTTGGAATCTGCAAGTGGATATTTGGATCGCTTTGAGGATTTCGTTGGAAACGGGATGCAATATAAAACGTACACAGCAGCATACTCAGAAAATACTTTGCCATATTTCCATTCAAGTCACAGAGTGGAACATTCCCATTCATAGAGCAGGTTGGAAACACTCTTTTTGGAGTATCTGGAAGTGGACATTTGGAGCGCTTTCTGAACTATGGTGAAAAAGGAAATATCTTCCAATGAAAACAAGACAGAAGCATTCTGAGAAACTTATTTGTGATGTGTGTCCTCAACAAACGGACTTGAACCTTTCGTTTCATGCAGTACTTCTGGAACACTCTTTTTGAAGATTCTGCATGCGGATATTTGGATAGCTTTGAGGATTTCGTTGGAAACGGGCTTACATGTAAAAATTAGACAGCAGCATTCTCAGAAACTTCTTTGTGGTGTCTGCATTCAAGTCACAGAATTGAACTTCCCCTCACATAGAGCAGTTGTGCAGCACTCTATTTGTAGTATCTGGAAGTGGACATTTGGAGGGCTTTGTAGCCTATCTGGAAAAAGGAAATATCTTCCCATGAATGCGAGATAGAAGTAATCTCAGAAACATGTTTATGCTGTATCTACTCAACTAACTGTGCTGAACATTTCTATTGATAGAGCAGTTTTGAGACACTCTTCTTTTGGAATCTGCAAGTGGATATTTGGATAGATTTGAGGATTTCGTTGGAAACGGGATTATATATAAAAAGTAGACAGCAGCATTCTCAGAAACTTCTTTGTGATGTTTGCATCCAGCTCTCAGAGTTGAACATTCCCTTTCATAGAGTAGGTTTGAAACCCTCTTTTTATAGTGTCTGGAAGCGGGCATTTGGAGCGCTTTCAGGCCTATGCTTAAAATAGGAAATATCTACCTACAGAAACTAGACAGTAGCATTCTGAGAATCACGTTTGTGATGTGGGTACTCAACTAACAGTGTTGATCCATTCTTTTGATACAGCAGTATTGAACCACACTTTTTCTAGAATCTGCAAGAGGATATTTGGATAGCTGTGAGGATTTCGTTGGAAACGGGAATGTCTTCAAAGAAAATCTAGACAGAAGCATTCTCAGAAACACCTTCGTGATGTTTGCAATCAAGTCACAGAGTTGAACCTTCCGTTTCATAGAGCAGGTTGGAAACACTCTTATTGTAGTATCTGGAAGTGGACATTTGGAGCGCTTTCAGGCCTATGGTGAAAAAGGAAATATCTTCCCATAAAAACGACATAGAAGCTATCTCAGGAACTTGTTTATGATGCATCTAATCAACTAACAGTGTTGAACCTTTGTACTGACAGAGCAGTTTGAAACACTCTTTTTTTGGAATCTGCAAGTGGATATTTGGATCGCTTTGAGGATTTCGTTGGAAACGGGATGCAATATAAAACGTACACAGCAGCATACTCAGAAAATACTTTGCCATATTTCCATTCAAGTCACAGAGTGGAACATTCCCATTCATAGAGCAGGTTGGAAACACTCTTTTTGGAGTATCTGGAAGTGGACATTTGGAGCGCTTTCTGAACTATGGTGAAAAAGGAAATATCTTCCAATGAAAACAACACAGAAGCATTCTGAGAAACTTATTTGTGATGTGTGTCCTCAACAAACGGACTTGAACCTTTCGTTTCATGCAGTACTTCTGGAACACTCTTTTTGAAGATTCTGCATGCGGATATTTGGATAGCTTTGAGGATTTCGTTGGAAACGGTCTTACATGTAAAAATTAGACAGCAGCATTCTCAGAAACTTCTTTGTGGTGTCTGCATTCAAGTCACAGAATTTAACTTCCCCTCACATAGAGCAGTTGTGCAGCACTCTATTTGTAGTATCTGGAAGTGGACATTTGGAGGGCTTTGTAGCCTATCTGGAAAAAGGAAATATCTTCCCATGAATGCGAGATAGAAGTAATCTCAGAAACATGTTTATGCTGTATCTAATCAACTAACTGTGCTGAACATTTCTATTGATAGAGCAGTTTTGAGACACTCTTCTTTTGGAATCTGCAAGTGGATATTTGGATAGATTTGAGGATTTCGTTGGAAACGGGATTATATATAAAAAGTAGACAGCAGCATTCTCAGAAACTTCTTTGTGATGTTTGCATCCAGCTCTCAGAGTTGAACATTCCCTTTCATAGAGTAGGTTTGAAACCCTCTTTTTATAGTGTCTGGAAGCGGGCATTTGGAGCGCTTTCAGGCCTATGCTTAAAATAGGAAATATCTACCTACAGAAACTAGACAGAAGCATTCTGAGAATCACGTTTGTGATGTGGGTACTCAACTAACAGTGTTGATCCATTCTTTTGATACAGCAGTTTTGAACCACACTTTTTGTAGAATCTGCAAGTGGATATTTGGATAGCTGTGAGGATTTCGTTGGAAACGGGAATGTCTTCATAGAAAATTTAGACAGAAACATTCTCAGAAACACCTTCGTGATGTTTGCAATCAAGTCACAGAGTTGAACCTTCCGTTTCATAGAGCAGGTTGGAAACACTCTTTTTGTAGTATCTGGAAGTGGACATTTGGAGCGCTTTCAGGCCTATGGTGAAAAAGGAAATATCTTCCCATAAAAACGACATAGAAGCTATCTCAGGAACTTGTTTATGATGCATCTAATCAACTAACAGTGTTGAACCTTTGTACTGACAGAGCAGTTTGAAACACTCTTTTTTTGGAATCTGCAAGTGGATATTTGGATCGCTTTGAGGATTTCGTTGGAAACGGGATGCAATATAAAACGTACACAGCAGCATACTCAGAAAATACTTTGCCATATTTCCATTCAAGTCACAGAGTGGAACATTCCCATTCATAGAGCAGGTTTGAAACACTCTTTTTGGAGTATCTGGAAGTGGACATTTGGAGCGCTTTCTGAACTATGGTGAAAAAGGAAATATCTTCCAATGAAAACAAGACAGAAGCATTCTGAGAAACTTATTTGTGATGTGTGTCCTCAACAAACGGACTTGAAACTTTCGTTTCATGCAGTACTTCTGGAACACTCTTTTTGAAGATTCTGCATGCGGATATTTGGATAGCTTTGAGGATTTCGTTGGAAACGGGCTTACATGTAAAAATTAGACAGCAGCATTCTCAGAAACTTCTTTGTGGTGTCTGCATTCAAGTCACAGAATTGAACTTCCCCTCACATAGAGCAGTTGTGCAGCACTCTATTTGTAGTATCTCGAAGTGGACATTTGGAGGGCTTTGTAGCCTATCTGGAAAAAGGAAATATCTTCCCATGAATGCGAGATAGAAGTAATCTCAGAAACATGTTTATGCTGTATCTACTCAACTAACTGTGCTGAACATTTCTATTGATAGAGCAGTTTTGAGACACTCTTCTTTTGGAATCTGCAAGTGGATATTTGGATAGATTTGAGGATTTCGTTGGAAACGGGATTATATATAAAAAGTAGACAGCAGCATTCTCAGAAACTTCTTTGTGATGTTTGCATCCAGCTCTCAGAGTTGAACATTCCCTTTCATAGAGTAGGTTTGAAACCCTCTTTTTATAGTGTCTGGAAGCGGGCATTTGGAGCGCTTTCAGGCCTATCCTTAAAATAGGAAATATCTACCTATAGAAACTAGACAGAAGCATTCTGAGAATCACGTTTGTGATGTGGGTACTCAACTAACAGTGTTGATCCATTCTTTTGATACAGCAGTTTTGAACCACACTTTTTGTAGAATCTGCAAGTGGATATTTGGATAGCTGTGAGGATTTCGTTGGAAACGGGAATGTCTTCATAGAAAATTTAGACAGAAGCATTCTCAGAACCTTGATTGTGATGTGTGTTCTCCACTAACAGAGTTGAACCTTTCTTTTGACAGAACTGTTCTGAAACATTCTTTTTATAGAATCTGGAAGTGGATATTTGGAAAGCTTTGAGGATTTCGTTGGAAACGGGAATATCTTCAAATAAAATCTAGCCAGAAGCATTCTAAGAAACATCTTAGGGATGTTTACATTCAAGTCACAGAGTTGAACATTCCCTTTCACAGCAGCAGGTTTGAAACAATCTTCTCGTACTATCTGGCAGTGGACATTTTGAGCTCCTTGGGGCCTATGCTGAAAAAGGAAATATCTTCCGACAAAAACTAGACAGAAGCATTCGCAGAATCACGTTTGTGATGTGTGCACTCAACTGTCAGAATTGAACCTTGGTTTGGACAGAGCACTTTTGAAACAATCTTTTTGTAGAATCTGCAGGTGGATATTTGGCTAGCTTTGAGGATTTCGTTGGAAACGGTAATGTCTTCAAAGAAAATCTAGACAGAAACATCCTCAGAAACACCTTCGTGATGTTTGCAATCAAGTCACAGAGTTGAACCTTCCGTTTCATAGAGCAGGTTGGAAACACTCATTTTGTAGTATCTGGAAGTGGACATTTGGAGCGCTTTCAGGCCTATGGTGTAAAAGGAAATATCTTCCCATAAAAGCGACATAGAAGCTATCTCAGGAACTTGTTTATGATGCATCTAATCAACTAACAGTGTTGAACCTTTGTACTGACAGAGCAGTTTGAAACACTCTTTTTTTGGAATCTGCAAGTGGATATTTGGATCGCTTTGAGGATTTCGTTGGAAACGGGATGCAATATAAAACGTACACAGCAGCATACTCAGAAAATACTTTGCCATATTTCCATTCAAGACACAGAGTGGAACATTCCCATTCATAGAGCAGGTTTGAAACACTTTTTTTGGAGTGTCTGGAAGTGGACATTTGGAGCGCTTTCAGAACTATGGTGAAAAAGGAAATATCTTCCAATGAAAACAAGACAGAAGCATTCTGAGAAACTTATTTGTGATGCGTGTCCTCAACTAACGGACTCGAACCTTTCGTTTCATGCAGTACTTCTGGAACACTCTTTTTGAAGATTCTGCATGCGGATATTTGGATAGCTTTGAGGATTTCGTTGGAAACGGGCTTACATATAAAAATTAGACAGCAGCATTCTCAGAAACTTCTTTGTGGTGTCTGCATTCAAGTCACAGAATTGAACATCCCCTCACATAGAGCAGTTGTGCAGCACTCTCTTTGTAGTATCTCGAAGTGGACATTTGGAGGGCTTTGTAGCCTATCTGGAAAAAGGAAATATCTTCCCATGAATGCGAGATAGAAGTAATCTCAGAAACATGTTTATGCTGTATCTACTCAACTAACTGTGCTGAACATTTCTATTGATAGAGCAGTTTTGAGACACTCTTCTTTTGGAATCTGCAAGTGGATATTTGGATAGATTTGAGGATTTCGTTGGAAACGGGATTATATATAAAAAGTAGACAGCAGCATTCTCAGAAACTTCTTTGTGATGTTTGCATCCAGCTCTCAGAGTTGAACATTCCCTTTCATAGATTAGGTTTGAAACCCCCTTTTTATAGTGTCTGGAAGCGGGCATGTGGAGCGCTTTCAGGCCTATGCTGAAAAAGGAAATATCTACCTACAGAAACTAGACAGAAGCATTCTGAGAATCACGTTTGTGATGTGGGTACTCAACTAACAGTGTTGATCCATTCTTTTGATACAGCGGTTTTGAACCACACTTTTTGTAGAATCTGCAAGTGGATATTTGGATAGCTGTGAGGATTTCGTTGGAAACGGGAATGTCCTCATAGAAAATTTAGACAGAAGCATTCTCAGAACCTTGATTGTGATGTGTGTTCTCCACTAACAGAGTTGAACCTTTCTTTTGACAGAACTGTTCTGAAACATTCTTTTTATAGAATCTGGAAGTGGATATTTGGAAAGCTTTGAGGATTTCGTTGGAAACGGGAATATCTTCAAATAAAATCTAGCCAGAAGCATTCTAAGAAACATCTTAGGGATGTTTACATTCAAGTCACAGAGTTGAACATTCCCTTTCACAGAGCAGGTTTGAAACAATCTTCTCGTACTATCTGGCAGTGGACATTTTGAGCTCCTTGGGGCCTATGCTGAAAAAGGAAATATCTTCCGACAAAAACTAGACAGAAGCATTCGCAGAATCACGTTTGTGATGTGTGCACTCAACTGTCAGAATTGAACCTTGGTTTGGACAGAGCACTTTTGAAACACTCTTTTTGTAGAATCTGCAGGTGGATATTTGGCTAGCTTTGAGGATTTCGTTGGAAACGGTAATGTCTTCAAAGAAAATCTAGACAGAAGCATTCTCAGAAACACCTTCGTGATGTTTGCAATCAAGTCACAGAGTTGAACCTTCCGTTTCATAGAGCAGGTTGGAAACACTCTTTTTGTAGTATCTGGAAGTGGACATTTGGAGCGCTTTCAGGCCTATGGTGAAAAAGGAAATATCTTCCCATAAAAACGACAGAGAAGCTATCTCAGGAACTTGTTTATGATGCATCTAATCAACTAACAGTGTTGAACCTTTGTACTGACAGAGCAGTTTGAAACACTCTTTTTTTGGAATCTGCAAGTGGATATTTGGATCGCTTTGAGGATTTCGTTGGAAACGGGATGCAATATAAAACGTACACAGCAGCATACTCAGAAAATACTTTGCCATATTTCCATTCAAGTCACAGAGTGGCACATTCCCATTCACAGAGCAGGTTGGAAACACTCTTTTTGGAGTATCTGGAAGTGGACATTTGGAGCGCTTTCTGAACTATGGTGAAAAAGGAAATATCTTCCAATGAAAACAAGACAGAAGCATTCTGAGAAACTTATTTGTGATGTGTGTCCTCAACAAACGGACTTGAACCTTTCGTTTCATGCAGTACTTCTGGAACACTCTTTTTGAAGATTCTGCATGCGGATATTTGGATAGCTTTGAGGATTTCGTTGGAAACGGGCTTACATGTAAAAATTAGACAGCAGCATTCTCAGAAACTTCTTTGTGGTGTCTGCATTCAAGTCACAGAATTGAACTTCCCCTCACATAGAGCAGTTGTGCAGCACTCTATTTGTAGTATCTGGAAGTGGACATTTGGAGGGCTTTGTAGCCTATCTGGAAAAAGGAAATATCTTCCCATGAATGCGAGATAGAAGTAATCTCAGAAACATGTTTATGCTGTATCTACTCAACTAACTGTGCTGAACATTTCTATTGATAGAGCAGTTTTGAGACCCTCTTCTTTTGGAATCTGCAAGTGGATATTTGGATAGATTTGAGGATTTCGTTGGAAACGGGATTATATATAAAAAGTAGACAGCAGCATTCTCAGAAACTTCTTTGTGATGTTTGCATCCAGCTCTCAGAGTTGAACATTCCCTTTCATAGAGTAGGTTTGAAACCCTCTTTTTATAGTGTCTGGAAGCGGGCATTTGGAGCGCTTTCAGGCCTATGCTTAAAATAGGAAATATCTACCTACAGAAACTAGACAGTAGCATTCTGAGAATCACGTTTGTGATGTGGGTACTCAACTAACAGTGTTGATCCATTCTTTTGATACAGCAGTATTGAACCACACTTTTTCTAGAATCTGCAAGAGGATATTTGGATAGCTGTGAGGATTTCGTTGGAAACGGGAATGTCTTCAAAGAAAATCTAGACAGAAGCATTCTCAGAAACACCTTCGTGATGTTTGCAATCAAGTCACAGAGTTGAACCTTCCGTTTCATAGAGCAGGTTGGAAACACTCTTATTGTAGTATCTGGAAGTGGACATTTGGAGCGCTTTCAGGCCTATGGTGAAAAAGGAAATATCTTCCCATAAAAACGACATAGAAGCTATCTCAGGAACTTGTTTATGATGCATCTAATCAACTAACAGTGTTGAACCTTTGTACTGACAGAGCAGTTTGAAACACTCTTTTTTTGGAATCTGCAAGTGGATATTTGGATCGCTTTGAGGATTTCGTTGGAAACGGGATGCAATATAAAACGTACACAGCAGCATACTCAGAAAATACGTTGCCATATTTCCATTCAAGTCACAGAGTGGAACATTCCCATTCATAGAGCAGGTTGGAAACACTCTTTTTGTAGTATGTGGAAGTGGACATTTGGAGGGCTTTCTGAACTATGGTGAAAAAGGAAATATCTTCCAATGAAAACAAAGACAGAAGCATTCTGAGAAACTTATTTGTGATGTGTGTCCTCAACAAACGGTCTTGAACCTTTCGTTTCATGCAGTACTTCTGGAACACTCTTTTTGAAGATTCTGCATGCGGATATTTGGATAGCTTTGAGGATTTCGTTGGAAACGGGCTTACATGTAAAAATTAGACAGCAGCATTCTCAGAAACTTCTTTGTGGTGTCTGCATTCAAGTCACAGAATTGAACTTCCCCTCACATAGAGCAGTTGTGCAGCACTCTATTTGTAGTATCTCGAAGTGGACATTTGGAGGGCTTTGTAGCCTATCTGGAAAAAGGAAATATCTTCCCATGAATGCGAGATAGAAGTAATCTCAGAAACATGTTTATGCTGTATCTACTCAACTAACTGTGCTGAACATTTCTATTGATAGAGCAGTTTTGAGACACTCTTCTTTTGGAATCTGCAAGTGGATATTTGGATAGATTTGAGGATTTCGTTGGAAACGGGATTATATATAAAAAGTAGACAGCAGCATTCTCAGAAACTTCTTTGTGATGTTTGCATCCAGCTCTCAGAGTTGAACATTCCCTTTCATAGAGTAGGTTTGAAACCCTCTTTTTATAGTGTCTGGAAGCGGGCATTTGGAGCGCTTTCAGGCCTATGCTGAAAAAGGAAATATCTACCTATAGAAACTAGACAGAAGTATTCTGAGAATCATGTTTGTGATGTGGGTACTCAACTAACAGTGTTGATCCATTCTTTTGATACAGCAGTTTTGAACCACACTTTTTGTAGAATCTGCAAGTGGATATTTGGATAGCTGTGAGGATTTCGTTGGAAACGGGGATGTCTTCATAGAAAATTTAGACAGAAGCATTCTCAGTACCTTGATTGTGATGTGTGTTCTCCACTAACAGAGTTGAACCTTTCTTTTGACAGAACTGTTCTGAAACATTCTTTTTATAGAATCTGGAAGTGGATATTTGGAAAGCTTTGAGGATTTCGTTGGAAACGGGAATATCTTCAAATCAAATCTAGCCAGAAGCATTCTAAGAAACATCTTAGGGATGTTTACATTCAAGTCACAGAGTTGAACATTCCCTTTCACAGAGCAGGTTTGAAACAATCTTCTCGTACTATCTGGCAGTGGACATTTTGAGCTCCTTGGGGCCTATGCTGAAAAAGGAAATATCTTCCGACAAAAACTAGACAGAAGCATTCGCAGAATCACGTTTGTGATGTGTGCACTCAACTGTCAGAATTGAACCTTGGTTTGGACAGAGCACTTTTGAAACACTCTTTTTGTAGAATCTGCAGGTGGATATTTGGCTAGCTTTGAGGATTTCGTTGGAAACGGTAATGTCTTCAAAGAAAATCTAGACAGAAGCATTCTCAGAAACACCTTCGTGATGTTTGCAATCAAGTCACAGAGTTGAACCTTCCGTTTCATAGAGCAGGTTGGAAACACTCTTTTTGTAGTATCTGGAAGTGGACATTTGGAGGGCTTTGTAGCCTATCTGGAAAAAGGAAATATGTTCCCATGAATGCGAGATAGAAGTAATCTCAGAAACATGTTTATGCTGTATCTACTCAACTAACTGTGCTGAACATTTCTATTGATAGAGCAGTTTTGAGACACTCTTCTTTTGGAATCTGCAAGTGGATATTTGGATAGATTTGAGGATTTCGTTGGAAACGGGATTATATGTAAAAAGTAGACAGCAGCATTCTCAGAAACTTCTTTGTGATGTTTGCATCCAGCTCTCAGAGTTGAACATTCCCTTTCATAGAGTAGGTTTGAAACCCTCTTTTTATAGTGTCTGGAAGCGGGCATTTGGAGCGCTTTCAGGCCTATGCTGAAAAAGGAAATATCTACCTATAGAAACTAGACAGAAGCATTCTGAGAATCACGTTTGTGATGTGGGTACTCAACTAACAGTGTTGATCCATTCTTTTGATACAGCAGTTTTGAACCACACTTTTTGTAGAATCTGCAAGTGGATATTTGGATAGCTGTGAGGATTTCGTTGGAAACGGGAATGTCTTCATAGAAAATTTAGACAGAAGCATTCTCAGAACCTTGATTGTGATGTGTGTTCTCCACTAACAGAGTTGAACCTTTCTTTTGACAGAACTGTTCTGAAACATTCTTTTTATAGAATCTGGAAGTGGATATTTGGAAAGCTTTGAGGATTTCGTTGGAAACGGGAATATCTTCAAATAAAATCTAGCCAGAAGCATTCTAAGAAACATCTTAGGGATGTTTACATTCAAGTCACAGAGTTGAACATTCCCTTTCACAGAGCAGGTTTGAAACAATCTTCTCGTACTATCTGGCAGTGGACATTTTGAGCTCCTTGGGGCCTATGCTGAAAAAGGAAATATCTTCCGACAAAAACTAGACAGAAGCATTCGCAGAATCACGTTTGTGATGTGTGCACTCAACTGTCAGAATTGAACCTTGGTTTGGACAGAGCACTTTTGAAACACTCTTTTTGTAGAATCTGCAGGTGGATATTTGGCTAGCTTTGAGGATTTCGTTGGAAACGGTAATGTCTTCAAAGAAAATCTAGACAGAAGCATTCTCAGAAACACCTTCGTGATGTTTGCAATCAAGTCACAGAGTTGAACCTTCCGTTTCATAGAGCAGGTTGGAAACACTCTTTTTGTAGTATCTGGAAGTGGACATTTGGACGGCTTTGTAGCCTATCTGGAAAAAGGAAATATCTTCCCATGAATGCGAGATAGAAGTAATCTCAGAAACATGTTTATGCTGTATCTACTCAACTAACTGTGCTGAACATTTCTATTGATAGAGCAGTTTTGAGACACTCTTCTTTTGGAATCTGCAAGTGGATATTTGGATAGATTTGAGGATTTCGTTGGAAACGGGATTATATATAAAAAGTAGACAGCAGCATTCTCAGAAACTTCTTTGTGATGTTTGCATCCAGCTCTCAGAGTTGAACATTCCCTTTCATAGAGTAGGTTTGAAACCCTCTTTTTATAGTGTCTGGAAGCGGGCATTTGGAGCGCTTTCAGGCCTATGCTGAAAAAGGAAATATCTACCTATAGAAACTAGACAGAAGCATTCTGAGAATCACGTTTGTGATGTGGGTACTCAACTAACAGTGTTGATCCATTCTTTTGATACAGCAGTTTTGAACCACACTTTTTGTAGAATCTGCAAGTGGATATTTGGATAGCTGTGAGGATTTCGTTGGAAACGGGAATGTCTTCATAGAAAATTTAGACGGAACCATTCTCAGAACCTTGATTGTGATGTGTGTTCTCCACTAACAGAGTTGAACCTTTCTTTTGACAGAACTGTTCTGAAACATTCTTTTTGTAGAATCTGGAAGTGGATATTTGGAAAGCTTTGAGGATTTCGTTGGAAACGGGAATATCTTCAAATCAAATCTAGCCAGAAGCATTCTAAGAAACATCTTAGGGATGTTTACATTCAAGTCACAGAGTTGAACATTCCCTTTCACAGAGCAGGTTTGAAACAATCTTCTCGTACTATCTGGCAGTGGACATTTTGAGCTCCTTGGGGCCTATGCTGAAAAAGGAAATATCTTCCGACAAAAACTAGACAGAAGCATTCGCAGAATCACGTTTGTGATGTGTGCACTCAACTGTCAGAATTGAACCTTGGTTTGGACAGAGCACTTTTGAAACACTCTTTTTGTAGAATCTGCAGGTGGATATTTGGCTAGCTTTGAGGATTTCGTTGGAAACGGTAATGTCTTCAAAGAAAATCTAGACAGAAGCATTCTCAGAAACACCTTCGTGATGTTTGCAATCAAGTCACAGAGTTGAACCTTCCGTTTCATAGAGCAGGTTGGAAACACTCTTTTTGTAGTATCTGGAAGTGGACATTTGGAGGGCTTTGTAGCCTATCTGGAAAAAGGAAATATCTTCCCATGAATGCGAGATAGAAGTAATCTCAGAAACATGTTTATGCTGTATCTACTCAACTAACTGTGCTGAACATTTCTATTGATAGAGCAGTTTTGAGACACTCTTCTTTTGGAATCTGCAAGTGGATATTTGGATAGATTTGAGGATTTCGTTGGAAACGGGATTATATATAAAAAGTAGACAGCAGCATTCTCAGAAACTTCTTTGTGATGTTTGCATCCAGCTCTCAGAGTTGAACATTCCCTTTCATAGAGTAGGTTTGAAACCCTCTTTTTATAGTGTCTGGAAGCGGGCATTTGGAGCGCTTTCAGGCCTATGCTTAAAATAGGAAATATCTACCTACAGAAACTAGACAGAAGCATTCTGAGAATCACGTTTGTGATGTGGGTACTCAACTAACAGTGTTGATCCATTCTTTTGATACAGCAGTTTTGAACCACACTTTTTGTAGAATCTGCAAGAGGATATTTGGATAGCTGTGAGGATTTCGTTGGAAACGGGAATGTCTTCAAAGAAAATCTAGACAGAAGCATTCTCAGAAACACCTTCGTGATGTTTGCAATCAAGTCACAGAGTTGAACCTTCCGTTTCATAGAGCAGGTTGGAAACACTCTTATTGTAGTATCTGGAAGTGGACATTTGGAGCGCTTTCAGGCCTATGGTGAAAAAGGAAATATCTTCCCATAAAAACGACATAGAAGCTATCTCAGGAACTTGTTTATGATGCATCTAATCAACTAACAGTGTTGAACCTTTGTACTGACAGAGCAGTTTGAAACACTCTTTTTTTGGAATCTGCAAGTGGATATTTGGATCGCTTTGAGGATTTCGTTGGAAACGGGATGCAATATAAAACGTACACAGCAGCATACTCAGAAAATACTTTGCCATATTTCCATTCAAGTCACAGAGTGGAACATTCCCATTCATAGAGCAGGTTTGAAACACTCTTTTTGGAGTATCTGGAAGTGGACATTTGGAGCGCTTTCTGAACTATGGTGAAAAAGGAAATATCTTCCAATGAAAACAAGACAGAAGCATTCTGAGAAACTTATTTGTGATGTGTGTCCTCAACAAACGGACTTGAACCTTTCGTTTCATGCAGTACTTCTGGAACACTCTTTTTGAAGATTCTGCATGCGGATATTTGGATAGCTTTGAGGATTTCGTTGGAAACGGGCTTACATGTAAAAATTAGACAGCAGCATTCTCAGAAACTTCTTTGTGGTGTCTGCATTCAAGTCACAGAATTGAACATCCCCTCACATAGAGCAGTTGTGCAGCACTCTATTTGTAGTATCTGGAAGTGGACATTTGGAGGGCTTTGTAGCCTATCTGGAAAAAGGAAATATCTTCCCATGAATGCGAGATAGAAGTAATCTCAGAAACATGTTTATGCTGTATCTACTCAACTAACTGTGCTGAACATTTCTATTGATAGAGCAGTTTTGAGACACTCTTCTTTTGGAATCTGCAAGTGGATATTTGGATAGATTTGAGGATTTCGTTGGAAACGGGATTATATATAAAAAGTAGACAGCAGCATTCTCAGAAACTTCTTTGTGATGTTTGCATCCAGCTCTCAGAGTTGAACATTCCCTTTCATAGAGTAGGTTTGAAACCCTCTTTTTATAGTGTCTGGAAGCGGGCATTTGGAGCGCTTTCAGGCCTATGCTTAAAATAGGAAATATCTACCTACAGAAACTAGACAGAAGCATTCTGAGAATCACGTTTGTGATGTGGGTACTCAACTAACAGTGTTGATCCATTCTTTTGATACAGCAGTTTTGAACCACACTTTTTGTAGAATCTGCAAGAGGATATTTGGATAGCTGTGAGGATTTCGTTGGAAACGGGAATGTCTTCAAAGAAAATGCTAGACAGAAGCATTCTCAGTAACCTTGATTGTGATGTGTGTTCTCCACTAACAGAGTTGAACCTTTCTTTTGACAGAACTGTTCTGAAACATTCTTTTTATAGAATCTGGAAGTGGATATTTGGAAAGCTTTGAGGATTTCGTTGGAAACGGGAATATCTTCAAATCAAATCTAGCCAGAAGCATTCTAAGAAACATCTTAGGGATGTTTACATTCAAGTCACAGAGTTGAACATTACCTTTCACAGAGCAGGTTTGAAACAATCTTCTCGTACTATCTGGCAGTGGACATTTTGAGCTCTTTGGGGCCTATGCTGAAAAAGGAAATATCTTCCGACAAAAACTAGACAGAAGCATTCGCAGAATCACGTTTGTGATGTGTGCACTCAACTGTCAGAATTGAACCTTGGTTTGGACAGAGCACTTTTGAAACACTCTTTTTGTAGAATCTGCAGGTGGATATTTGGCTAGCTTTGAGGATTTCGTTGGAAACGGTAATGTCTTCAAAGAAAATCTAGACAGAAGCATTCTCAGAAACACCTTCGTGATGTTTGCAATCAAGTCACAGAGTTGAACCTTCCGTTTCATAGAGCAGGTTGGAAACACTCTTTTTGTAGTATCTGGAAGTGGACATTTGGAGGGCTTTGTAGCCTATGTGGAAAAAGGAAATATCTTCCCATGAATGCGAGATAGAAGTAATCTCAGAAACATGTTTATGCTGTATCTACTCAACTAACTGTGCTGAACATTTCTATTGATAGAGCAGTTTTGAGACACTCTTCTTTTGGAATCTGCAAGTGGATATTTGGATAGATTTGAGGATTTCGTTGGAAACGGGATTATATATCAAAAGTAGACAGCAGCATTCTCAGAAACTTCTTTGTGATGTTTGCATCCAGCTCTCAGAGTTGAACATTCCCTTTCATAGAGTAGGTTTGAAACCCTCTTTTTATAGTGTCTGGAAGCGGGCATTTGGAGCGCTTTCAGGCCTATGCTGAAAAAGGAAATATCTACCTATAGAAACTAGACAGAAGCATTCTGAGAATCACGTTTGTGATGTGGGTACTCAACTAACAGTGTTGATCCATTCTTTTGATACAGCAGTTTTGAACCACACTTTTTGTAGAATCTGCAAGAGGATATTTGGATAGCTGTGAGGATTTCGTTGGAAACGGGAATGTCTTCATAGAAAATTTAGACAGGAAGCATTCTCAGAACCTTGATTGTGAAGTGTGTTCCCCACTAACAGAGTTGAACCTTTCTTTTGACAGAACTGTTCTGAAACATTCTTGTTATAGAATCTGGAAGTGGATATTTGGAAAGCTTTGAGGATTTCGTTGGAAACGGGAATATCTTCAAATAAAATCTAGCCAGAAGCATTCTAAGAAACATCTTAGGGATGTTTACATTCAAGTCACAGAGTTGAACATTCCCTTTCACAGAGCAGGTTTGAAACAATCTTCTCGTACTATCTGGCAGTGGACATTTTGAGCTCCTTGGGGCCTATGCTGAAAAAGGAAATATCTTCCGACAAAAACTAGACAGAAGCATTCGCAGAATCACGTTTGTGATGTGTGCACTCAACTGTCAGAATTGAACCTTGGTTTGGACAGAGCACTTTTGAAACACTCTTTTTGTAGAATCTGCAGGTGGATATTTGGCTAGCTTTGAGGATTTCGTTGGAAACGGTAATGTCTTCAAAGAAAATCTAGACAGAAGCATTCTCAGAAACACCTTCGTGATGTTTGCAATCAAGTCACAGAGTTGAACCTTCCGTTTCATAGAGCAGGTTGGAAACACTCTTTTTGTAGTATCTGGAAGTGGACATTTGGAGCGCTTTCAGGCCTATGGTGAAAAAGGAAATATCTTCCCATAAAAACGACATAGAAGCTATCTCAGGAACTTGTTTATGATGCATCTAATCAACTAACAGTGTTGAACCTTTGTACTGACAGAGCAGTTTGAAACACTCTTTTTTTGGAATCTGCAAGTGGATATTTGGATCGCTTTGAGGATTTCGTTGGAAACGGGATGCAATATAAAACGTACACAGCAGCATACTCAGAAAATACTTTGCCATATTTCCATTCAAGTCACAGAGTGGAACATTCCCATTCATAGAGCAGGTTGGAAACACTCTTTTTGGAGTATCTGGAAGTGGACATTTGGAGCGCTTTCTGAACTATGGTGAAAAAGGAAATATCTTCCAATGAAAACAAGACAGAAGCATTCTGAGAAACTTATTTGTGATGTGTGTCCTCAACAAACGGACTTGAACCTTTCGTTTCATGCAGTACTTCTGGAACACTCTTTTTGAAGATTCTGCATGCGGATATTTGGATAGCTTTGAGGATTTCGTTGGAAACGGGCTTACATGTAAAAATTAGACAGCAGCATTCTCAGAAACTTCTTTGTGGTGTCTGCATTCAAGTCACAGAATTGAACTTCTCCTCACATAGAGCAGTTGTGCAGCACTCTATTTGTAGTATCTGGAAGTGGACATTTGGAGGGCTTTGTAGCCTATCTGGAAAAAGGAAATATCTTCCCATGAATGCGAGATAGAAGTAATCTCAGAAACATGTTTATGCTGTATCTACTCAACTAACTGTGCTGAACATTTCTATTGATAGAGCAGTTTTGAGACACTCTTCTTTTGGAATCTGCAAGTGGATATTTGGATAGATTTGAGGATTTCGTTGGAAACGGGATTATATATAAAAAGTAGACAGCAGCATTCTCAGAAACTTCTTTGTGATGTTTGCATCCAGCTCTCAGAGTTGAACATTCCCTTTCATAGAGTAGGTTTGAAACCCTCTTTTTATAGTGTCTGGAAGCGGGCATTTGGAGCGCTTTCAGGCCTATGCTGAAAAAGGAAATATCTACCTATAGAAACTAGACAGAAGCATTCTGAGAATCACGTTTGTGATGTGGGTACTCAACTAACAGTGTTGATCCATTCTTTTCATACAGCAGTTTTGAACCACACTTTTTGTAGAATGTGCAAGTGGATATTTGGATAGCTGTGAGGATTTCGTTGGAAACGGGAATGTCTTCATAGAAAATTTAGACAGGAGCATTCTCAGAACCTGGATTGTGATGTGTGTTCTCCACTAACAGAGTTGAACCTTTCTTTTGACAGAACTGTTTTGAAACATTCTTTTTAGAGAATCTGGAAGTGGTTATTTGGAAAGCTTTGAGGATTTCGTTGGAAACGGGAATATCTTCAAATAAAATCTAGCCAGAAGCATTCTAAGAAACATCTTAGGGATGTTTACATTCAAGTCACAGAGTTGAACATTCCCCTTTCTCAGAGCAGGTTTGAAACAATCTTCTCGTACTATCTGGCAGTGGACATTTTGAGCTCCTTGGGGCCTATGCTGAAAAAGGAAATATTCTTCCGACAAAAACTAGACAGAAGCATTCGCAGAATCACGTTTGTGATGTGTGCACTCAACTGTCAGAATTGAACCTTGGTTTGGACAGAGCACTTTTGAAACACTCTTTTTGTAGAATCTGCAGGTGGATATTTGGCTAGCTTTGAGGATTTCGTTGGAAACGGTAATGTCTTCAAAGAAAATCTAGACAGAAACATCCTCAGAAACACCTTCGTGATGTTTGCAATCAAGTCACAGAGTTGAACCTTCCGTTTCATAGAGCAGGTTGGAAACACTCATTTTGTAGTATCTGGAATTGGACATTTGGAGCGATTTCAGGCCTATGGTGTAAAAGGAAATATCTTCCCATAAAAGCGACATAGAAGCTATCTCAGGAACTTGTTTATGATGCATCTAATCAACTAACAGTGTTGAAACTTTGTACTGACAGAGCAGTTTGAAACACTCTTTTTTTGGAATCTGCAAGTGGATATTTGGATCGCTTTGAGGATTTCGTTGGAAACGGGATGCAATATAAAACGTACACAGCAGCATACTCAGAAAATACTTTGCCATATTTCCATTCAAGTCACAGAGTGGAACATTCCCATTCATAGAGCAGGTTTGAAACACTTTTTTTGGAGTGTCTGGAAGTGGACATTTGGAGCGCTTTCAGACCTATGGTGAAAAAGGAAATATCTTCCAATGAAAACAAGACAGAAGCATTCTGAGAAACTTATTTGTGATGCGTGTCCTCAACTAACGGACTCGAACCTTTCGTTTCATGCAGTACTTCTGGAACACTCTTTTTGAAGATTCTGCATGCGGATATTTGGTTAGCTTTGAGGATTTCGTTGGAAACGGGCTTACATATAAAAATTAGACAGCAGCATTCTCAGAAACTTCTTTGTGGTGTCTGCATTCAAGTCACAGAATTGAACATCCCCTCACATAGAGCAGTTGTGCAGCACTCTATTTGTAGTATCTCGAAGTGGACATTTGGAGGGCTTTGTAGCCCATCTGGATAAAGGAAATATCTTCCCATGAATGCGAGATAGAAGTAATCTCAGAAACATGTTTATGCTGTATCTACTCAACTAACTGTGCTGAACATTTCTATTGATAGAGCAGTTTTGAGACACTCTTCTTTTGGAATCTGCAAGTGGATATTTGGATAGATTTGAGGATTTCGTTGGAAACGGGATTATATATCAAAAGTAGACAGCAGCATTCTCAGAAACTTCTTTGTGATGTTTGCATCCAGCTCTCAGAGTTGAACATTCCCTTTCATAGAGTAGGTTTGAAACCCTCTTTTTATAGTGTCTGGAAGCGGGCATTTGGAGCGCTTTCAGGCCTATGCTGAAAAAGGAAATATCTACCTACAGAAACTAGACAGAAGCATTCTGAGAATCACGTTTGTGATGTGGGTACTCAACTAACAGTGTTGATCCATTCTTTTGATACAGCAGTTTTGAACCACACTTTTTGTAGAATCTGCAAGTGGATATTTGGATAGCTGTGAGGATTTCGTTGGAAACGGGAATGTGCTTCATAGAAAATTTAGACAGAAGCATTCTCAGAACCTTGATTGTGATGTGTGTTCTCCACTAACAGAGTTGAACCTTTCTTTTGACAGAACTGTTCTGAAACATTCTTTTTATAGAATCTGGAAGTGGATATTTGGAAAGCTTTGAGGATTTCGTTGGAAACGGGAATATCTTCTAATCAAATCTAGCCAGAAGCATTCTAAGAAACATCTTAGGGATGTTTACATTCAAGTCACAGAGTTGAACATTCCCTTTCACAGAGCAGGTTTGAAACAATCTTCTCGTACTATCTGGCAGTGGACATTTTGAGCTCCTTGGGGCCTATGCTGAAAAAGGAAATATCTTCCGACAAAAACTAGACAGAAGCATTCGCAGAATCACGTTTGTGATGTGTGCACTCAACTGTCAGAATTGAACCTTGGTTTGGACAGAGCACTTTTGAAACACTCTTTTTGTAGAATCTGCAGGTGGATATTTGGCTAGCTTTGAGGATTTCGTTGGAAACGGTAATGTCTTCAAAGAAAATCTAGACAGAAGCATTCTCAGAAACACCTTCGTGATGTTTGCAATCAAGTCACAGAGTTGAACCTTCCGTTTCATAGAGCAGGTTGGAAACACACTTTTTGTAGTATCTGGAAGTGGACATTTGGAGGGCTTTGTAGCCTATCTGGAAAAAGGAAATATCTTCCCATGAATGCGAGATAGATGTAATCTCAGAAACATGTTTATGCTGTATCTACTCAACTAACTGTGCTGAACATTTCTATTGATAGAGCAGTTTTGAGACACTCTTCTTTTGGAATCTGCAAGTGGATATTTGGATAGATTTGGGGATTTCGTTGGAAACGGGATTATATATAAAAAGTAGACAGCAGCATTCTCAGAAACTTCTTTGTGATGTTTGCATCCAGCTCTCAGAGTTGAACATTCCCTTTCATAGAGTAGGTTTGAAACCCTCTTTTTATAGTGTCTAGAAGCGGGCATTTGGAGCGCTTACAGGCCTATGCTTAAAATAGGAAATATCCACCTACAGAAACTAGACAGAAGCATTCTGAGAATCACGTTTGTGATGTGGGTACTCAACTAACAGTGTTGATCCATTCTTTTGATACAGCAGTTTTGAACCACACTTTTTGTAGAATCTGCAAGTGGATATTTGGATAGCTGTGAGGATTTCGTTGGAAACGGGAATGTCTTCATAGAAAATTTAGACAGAAGCATTCTCAGAACCTTGATTGTGATGTGTGTTCTCCACTAACAGAGTTGAACCTTTCTTTTGACAGAACTGTTCTGAAACATTCTTTTTATAGAATCTGGAAGTGGATATTTGGAAAGCTTTGAGGATTTCGTTGGAAACGGGAATATCTTCAAATAAAATCTAGCCAGAAGCATTCTAAGAAACATCTTAGGGATGTTTACATTCAAGTCACAGAGTTGAACATTCCCTTTCACAGAGCAGGTTTGAAACAATCTTCTCGTACTATCTGGCAGTGGACATTTTGAGCTCCTTGGGGCCTATGCTGAAAAAGGAAATATCTTCCGACAAAAACTAGACAGAAAGCATTCGCAGAATCACGTTTGTGATGTGTGCACTCAACTGTCAGAATTGAACCTTGGTTTGGAGAGAGCACTTTTGAAACACTCTTTTTGTAGAATCTGCAGGTGGATATTTGGCTAGCTTTGAGGATTTCGTTGGAAACGGTAATGTCTTCAAAGAAAATCTAGACAGAAGCATTCTCAGAAACACCTTCGTGATGTTTGCAATCAAGTCACAGAGTTGAACCTTCCGTTTCATAGAGCAGGTTGGAAACACTCTTTTTGTAGTATCTGGAAGTGGACATTTGGAGGGCTTTGTAGCCTATCTGGAAAAAGGAAATATCTTCCCATGAATGCGAGATAGAAGTAATCTCAGAAACATGTTTATGCTGTATCTACTCAACTAACTGTGCTGAACATTTCTATTGATAGAGCAGTTTTGAGACACTCTTCTTTTGGAATCTGCAAGTGGATATTTGGATAGATTTGAGGATTTCGTTGGAAACGGGATTATATATAAAAAGTAGACAGCAGCATTCTCAGAAACTTCTTTGTGATGTTTGCATCCAGCTCTCAGAGTTGAACATTCCCTTTCATAAAGTAGGTTTGAAACCCTCTTTTTATAGTGTCTGGAAGCGGGCATTTGGAGCGCTTTCAGGCCTATGCTTAAAATAGGAAATATCTACCTACAGAAACTAGACAGAAGCATTCTGAGAATCACGTTTGTGATGTGGGTACTCAACTAACAGTGTTGATCCATTCTTTTGATACAGCAGTTTTGAACCACACTTTTTGTAGAATCTGCAAGAGGATATTTGGATAGCTGTGAGGATTTCGTTGGAAACGGGAATGTCTTCAAAGAAAATCTAGACAGAAGCATTCTCAGAAACACCTTCGTGATGTTTGCAATCAAGTCACAGAGTTGAACCTTCCGTTTCATAGAGCAGGTTGGAAACACTCTTATTGTAGTATCTGGAAGTGGACATTTGGAGCGCTTTCAGGCCTATGGTGAAAAAGGAAATATCTTCCCATAAAAACGACATAGAAGCTATCTCAGGAACTTGTTTATGATGCATCTAATCAACTAACAGTGTTGAACCTTTCTACTGACAGAGCAGTTTGAAACACTCTTTTTTTGGAATCTGCAAGTGGATATTTGGATCGCTTTGAGGATTTCGTTGGAAACGGGATGCAATATAAAACGTACACAGCAGCATACTCAGAAAATACTTTGCCATATTTCCATTCAAGTCACAGAGTGGAACATTCCCATTCATAGAGCAGGTTGGAAACACTCTTTTTGGAGTATCTGGAAGTGGACATTTGGAGCGCTTTCTGAACTATGGTGAAAAAGGAAATATCTTCCAATGAAAACAAGACAGAAGCATTCTGAGAAACTTATTTGTGATGTGTGTCCTCAACAAACGGACTTGAACCTTTCGTTTCATGCAGTACTTCTGGAACACTCTTTTTGAAGATTCTGCATTCGGATATTTGGATAGCTTTGAGGATTTCGTTGGAAACGGTCTTACATGTAAAAATTAGACAGCAGCATTCTCAGAAACTTCTTTGTGGTGTCTGCATTCAAGTCACAGAATTGAACTTCCCCTCACATAGAGCAGTTGTGCAGCACTCTATTTGTAGTATCTGGAAGTGGACATTTGGAGGGCTTTGTAGCCTATCTGGAAAAAGGAAATATCTTCCCATGAATGCGAGATAGAAGTAATCTCAGAAACATGTTTATGCTGTATCTACTCAACTAACTGTGCTGAACATTTCTATTGATAGAGCAGTTTTGAGACACTCTTCTTTTGGAATCTGCAAGTGGATATTTGGATAGATTTGAGGATTTCGTTGGAAACGGGATTATATATAAAAAGTAGACAGCAGCATTCTCAGAAACTTCTTTGTGATGTTTGCATCCAGCTCTCAGAGTTGAACATTCCCTTTCATAGAGTAGGTTTGAAACCCTCTTTTTATAGTGTCTGGAAGCGGGCATTTGGAGCGCTTTCAGGCCTATGCTTAAAATAGGAAATATCTACCTACAGAAACTAGACAGAAGCATTCTGAGCATCACGTTTGTGATGTGGGTACTCAACTAACAGTGTTGATCCATTCTTTTGATACAGCAGTTTTGAACCACACTTTTTGCAGAATCTGCAAGAGGATATTTGGATAGCTGTGAGGATTTCGTTGGAAACGGGAATGTCTTCAAAGAAAATCTAGACAGAAGCATTCTCAGAAACACCTTCGTGATGTTTGCAATCAAGTCACAGAGTTGAACCTTCCGTTTCATAGAGCAGGTTGGAAACACTCTTATTGTAGTATCTGGAAGTGGACATTTGGAGCGCTTTCAGGCCTATGGTGAAAAAGGAAATATCTTCCCATAAAAACGACATAGAAGCTATCTCAGGAACTTTTTTATGATGCATCTAATCAACTAACAGTGTTGAACCTTTGTACTGACAGAGCAGTTTGAAACACTCTTTTTTTGGAATCTGCAAGTGGATATTTGGATCGCTTTGAGGATTTCGTTGGAAACGGGATGCAATATAAAACGTACACAGCAGCATACTCAGAAAATACTTTGCCATATTTCCATTCAAGTCACAGAGTGGAACATTCCCATTCATACAGCAGGTTGGAAACACTCTTTTTGGAGTATCTGGAAGTGGACATTTGGAGCGCTTTCTGAACTATGGTGAAAAAGGAAATATCTTCCAATGAAAACAACACAGAAGCATTCTGAGAAACTTATTTGTGATGTGTGTCCTCAACAAACGGACTTGAACCTTTCGTTTCATGCAGTACTTCTGGAACACTCTTTTTGAAGATTCTGCATGCGGATATTTGGATAGCTTTGAGGATTTCGTTGGAAACGGGCTTACATGTAAAAATTAGACAGCAGCATTCTCAGAAACTTCTTTGTGGTGTCTGCATTCAAGTCACAGAATTGAACTTCCCCTCACATAGAGCAGTTGTGCAGCACTCTATTTGTAGTATCTGGAAGTGGACATTTGGAGGGCTTTGTAGCCTATCTGGAAAAAGGAAATATCTTCCCATGAATGCGAGATAGAAGTAATCTCAGAAACATGTTTATGCTGTATCTACTCAACTAACTGTGCTGAACATTTCTATTTATAGAGCAGTTTTGAGACACTCTTCTTTTGGAATCTGCAAGTGGATATTTGGATAGATTTGAGGATTTCGTTGGAAACGGGATTATATATCAAAAGTAGACAGCAGCATTCTCAGAAACTTCTTTGTGATGTTTGCATCCAGCTCTCAGAGTTGAACATTCCCTTTCATAGAGTAGGTTTGAAACCCTCTTTTTATAGTGTCTGGAAGCGGGCATTTGTAGCGCTTTCAGGCCTATGCTTAAAATAGGAAATATCTACCTACAGAAACTAGACAGGAAGCATTCTGAGAATCACGTTTGTGATGTGGGTACTCAACTAACAGTGTTGATCCATTCTTTTGATACAGCAGTTTTGAACCACACTTTTTGTAGAATCTGCAAGTGGATATTTGGATAGCTGTGAGGATTTCGTTGGAAACGGGAATGTCTTCATAGAAAATTTAGACAGAAGCATTCTCAGAACCTTGATTGTGATGTGTGTTCTCCACTAACAGAGTTGAACCTTTCTTTTGACAGAACTGTTCTGAAACATTCTTTTTATAGAATCTGGAAGTGGATATTTGGAAAGCTTTGAGGATTTCGTTGGAAACGGGAATATCTTCAAATCAAATCTAGCCAGAAGCATTCTAAGAAACATCTTAGGGATGTTTACATTCAAGTCACAGAGTTGAACATTCCCTTTCACAGAGCAGGTTTGAAACAATCTTCTCGTACTATCTGGCAGTGGACATTTTGAGCTCCTTGGGGCCTATGCTGAAAAAGGAAATATCTTCCGACAAAAACTAGACAGAAGCATTCGCAGAATCACGTTTGTGATGTGTGCACTCAACTGTCAGAATTGAACCTTGGTTTGGACAGAGCACTTTTGAAACACTCTTTTTGTAGAATCTGCAGGTGGATATTTGGCTAGCTTTGAGGATTTCGTTGGAAACGGTAATGTCTTCAAAGAAAATCTAGACAGAAGCATTCTCAGAAACACCTTCGTGATGTTTGCAATCAAGTCACAGAGTTGAACCTTCCGTTTCATAGAGCAGGTTGGAAACACTCTTTTTGTAGTATCTGGAAGTGGACATTTGGAGGGCTTTGTAGCCTATCTGGAAAAAGGAAATATCTTCCCATGAATGCGAGATAGAAGTAATCTCAGAAACATGTTTATGCTGTATCTACTCAACTAACTGTGCTGAACATTTCTATTGATAGAGCAGTTTTGAGACACTCTTCTTTTGGAATCTGCAAGTGGATATTTGGATAGATTTGAGGATTTCGTTGGAAACGGGATTATATATAAAAAGTAGACAGCAGCATTCTCAGAAACTTCTTTGTGATGTTTGCATCCAGCTCTCAGAGTTGAACATTCCCTTTCATAGAGTAGGTTTGAAACCCTCTTTTTATAGTGTCTGGAAGCGGGCATTTGGAGCGCTTTCAGGCCTATGCTGAAAAAGGAAATATCTACCTATAGAAACTAGACAGAAGCATTCTGAGAATCACGTTTGTGATGTGGGTACTCAACTAACAGTGTTGATCCATTCTTTTGATACAGCAGTTTTGAACCACACTTTTTGTAGAATCTGCAAGTGGATATTTGGATAGCTGTGAGGATTTCGTTGGAAACGGGAATGTCTTCATAGAAAATTTAGACAGAAGCATTCTCAGAACCTTGATTGTGATGTGTGTTCTCCACTAACAAAGTTGAACCTTTCTTTTGACAGAACTGTTCTGAAACATTCTTTTTATAGAATCTGGAAGTGGATATTTGGAAAGCTTTGAGGATTTCGTTGGAAACGGGAATATCTTCAAATCAAATCTAGCCAGAAGCATTCTAAGAAACATCTTAGGGATGTTTACATTCAAGTCACAGAGTTGAACATTCCCTTTCACAGAGCAGGTTTGAAACAATCTTCTCGTACTATCTGGCAGTGGACATTTTGAGCTCCTTGGGGCCTATGCTGAAAAAGGAAATATCTTCCGACAAAAACTAGACAGAAGCATTCGCAGAATCACGTTTGTGATGTGTGCACTCAACTGTCAGAATTGAACCTTGGTTTGGACAGAGCACTTTTGAAACACTCTTTTTGTAGAATCTGCAGGTGGATATTTGGCTAGCTTTGAGGATTTCGTTGGAAACGGTAATGTCTTCAAAGAAAATCTAGACAGAAGCATTCTCAGAAACACCTTCGTGATGTTTGCAATCAAGTCACAGAGTTGAACCTTCCGTTTCATAGAGCAGGTTGGAAACACTCTTTTTGTAGTATCTGGAAGTGGACATTTGGAGGGCTTTGTAGCCTATCTGGAAAAAGGAAATATCTTCCCATGAATGCGAGATAGAAGTAATCTCAGAAACATGTTTATGCTGTATCTACTCAACTAACTGTGCTGAACATTTCTATTGATAGAGCAGTTTTGAGACACTCTTCTTTTGGAATCTGCAAGTGGATATTTGGATAGATTTGAGGATTTCGTTGGAAACGGGATTATATATAAAAAGTAGACAGCAGCATTCTCAGAAACTTCTTTGTGATGTTTGCATCCAGCTCTCAGAGTTGAACATTCCCTTTCATAGAGTAGGTTTGAAACCCTCTTTTTATAGTGTCTGGAAGCGGGCATTTGGAGCGCTTTCAGGCCTATGCTGAAAAAGGAAATATCTACCTATAGAAACTAGACAGAAGCATTCTGAGAATCACGTTTGTGATGTGGGTACTCAACTAACAGTGTTGATCCATTCTTTTGATACAGCAGTTTTGAACCACACTTTTTGTAGAATCTGCAAGTGGATATTTGGATAGCTGTGAGGATTTCGTTGGAAACGGGAATGTCTTCATAGAAAATTTAGACAGAAGCATTCTCAGAACCTTGATTGTGATGTGTGTTCTCCACTAACAGAGTTGAACCTTTCTTTTGACAGAACTGTTCTGAAACATTCTTTTTATAGAATCTGGAAGTGGATATTTGGAAAGCTTTGAGGATTTCGTTGGAAACGGGAATATCTTCAAATCAAATCTAGCCAGAAGCATTCTAAGAAACATCTTAGGGATGTTTACATTCAAGTCACAGAGTTGAACATTCCCTTTCACAGAGCAGGTTTGAAACAATCTTCTCGTACTATCTGGCAGTGGACATTTTGAGCTCCTTGGGGCCTATGCTGAAAATTGAAATATCTTCCAACAAAAACTAGACAGAAGCATTCGCAGAATCACGTTTGTGATGTGTGCACTCAACTGTCAGAATTGAACCTTGGTTTGGACAGAGCACTTTTGAAACACTCTTTTTGTAGAATCTGCAGGTGGATATTTGGCTAGCTTTGAGGATTTCGTTGGAAACGGTAATGTCTTCAAAGAAAATCTAGACAGAAGCATTCTCAGAAACACCTTCGTGATGTTTGCAATCAAGTCACAGAGTTGAACCTTCCGTTTCATAGAGCAGGTTGGAAACACTCTTTTTGTAGTATCTGGAAGTGGACATTTGGAGCGCTTTCAGGCCTATGGTGAAAAAGGAAATATCTTCCCATAAAAACGACATAGAAGCTATCTCAGGAACTTGTTTATGATGCATCTAATCAACTAACAGTGTTGAACCTTTGTACTGACAGAGCACTTTGAAACACTCTTTTTTTGGAATCTGCAAGTGGATATTTGGATCGCTTTGAGGATTTCGTTGGAAACGGGATGCAATATAAAACGTACACAGCAGCATACTCAGAAAATACTTTGCCATATTTCCATTCAAGTCACAGAGTGGAACATTCCCATTCATAGAGCAGGTTTGAAACACTCTTTTTGGAGTATCTGGAAGTGGACATTTGGAGCGCTTTCTGAACTATGGTGAAAAAGGAAATATCTTCCAATGAAAACAAGACAGAAGCATTCTGAGAAACTTATTTGTGATGTGTGTCCTCAACAAACGGACTTGAACCTTTCGTTTCATGCAGTACTTCTGGAACACTCTTTTTGAAGATTCTGCATGCGGATATTTGGATAGCTTTGAGGATTTCGTTGGAAACGGGCTTACATGTAAAAATTAGACAGCAGCATTCTCAGAAACTTCTTTGTGGTGTCTGCATTCAAGTCACAGAATTGAACTTCCCCTCACATAGAGCAGTTGTGCAGCACTCTATTTGTAGTATCTGGAAGTGGACATTTGGAGGGCTTTGTAGCCTATCTGGAAAAAGGAAATATCTTCCCATGAATGCGAGATAGAAGTAATCTCAGAAACATGTTTATGCTGTATCTTCTCAACTAACTGTGCTGAACATTTCTATTGATAGAGCAGTTTTGAGACACTCTTCTTTTGGAATCTGCAAGTGGATATTTGGATAGATTTGAGGATTTCGTTGGAAACGGGATTATATATCAAAAGTAGACAGCAGCATTCTCAGAAACTTCTTTGTGATGTTTGCATCCAGCTCTCAGAGTTGAACATTCCCTTTCATAGAGTAGGTTTGAAACCCTCTTTTTATAGTGTCTGGAAGCGGGCATTTGGAGCGCTTTCAGGCCTATGCTGAAAAAGGAAATATCTACCTATAGAAACTAGACAGAAGCATTCTGAGAATCACGTTTGTGATGTGGGTACTCAACTAACAGTGTTGATCCATTCTTTTGATACAGCAGTTTTGAACCACACTTTTTGTAGAATCTGCAAGTGGATATTTGGATAGCTGTGAGGATTTCGTTGGAAACGGGAATGTCTTCATAGAAAATTTAGACAGAAGCATTCTCAGAACCTTGATTGTGATGTGTGTTCTCCACTAACAGAGTTGAACCTTTCTTTTGACAGAACTGTTCTGAAACATTCTTTTTATAGAATCTGGAAGTGGATATTTGGAAAGCTTTGAGGATTTCGTTGGAAACGGGAATATCTTCAAATAAAATCTAGCCAGAAGTATTCTAAGAAACATCTTAGGGATGTTTACATTCAAGTCACAGAGTTGAACATTCCCTTTCACAGAGCAGGTTTGAAACAATCTTCTCGTACTATCTGGCAGTGGACATTTTGAGCTCTTTGGGGCCTATGCTGAAAAAGGAAATATCTTCCGACAAAAACTAGTCAGAAGCATTCGCAGAATCACGTTTGTGATGTGTGCACTCAACTGTCAGAATTGAACCTTGGTTTGGAGAGAGCACTTTTGAAACACACTTTTTGTAGAATCTGCAGGTGGATATTTGGCTAGCTTTGAGGATTTCGTTGGAAACGGTAATGTCTTCAAAGAAAATCTAGACAGAAGCATTCTCAGAAACACCTTCGTGATGTTTGCAATCAAGTCACAGAGTTGAACCTTCCGTTTCATAGAGCAGGTTGGAAACACTCTTTTTGTAGTATCTGGAAGTGGACATTTGGAGGGCTTTGTAGCCTATCTGGAAAAAGGAAATATCTTCCCATGAATGCGAGATAGAAGTAATCTCAGAAACATGTTTATGCTGTATCTACTCAACTAACTGTGCTGAACATTTCTATTGATAGAGCAGTTTTGAGACACTCTTCTTTTGGAATCTGCAAGTGGATATTTGGATAGATTTGAGGATTTCGTTGGAAACGGGATTATATATAAAAAGTAGACAGCAGCATTCTCAGAAACTTCTTTGTGATGTTTGCATCCAGCTCTCAGAGTTGAACATTCCCTTTCATAGAGTAGGTTTGAAACCCTCTTTTTATAGTGTCTGGAAGCGGGCATTTGGAGCGCTTTCAGGCCTATGCTGAAAAAGGAAATATCTACCTATAGAAACTAGACAGAAGCATTCTGAGAATCACGTTTGTGATGTGGGTACTCAACTAACAGTGTTGATCCATTCTTTTGATACAGCAGTTTTGAACCACACTTTTTGTAGAATCTGCAAGTGGATATTTGGATAGCTGTGAGGATTTCGTTGGAAACGGGAATGTCTTCATAGAAAATTTAGACAGAAGCATTCTCAGAACCTTGATTGTGATGTGTGTTCTCCACTAACAGAGTTGAACCTTTCTTTTGACAGAACTGTTCTGAAACATTCTTTTTATAGAATCTGGAAGTGGATATTTGGAAAGCTTTGAGGATTTCGTTGGAAACGGGAATATCTTCAAATAAAATCTAGCCAGAAGCATTCTAAGAAACATCTCAGGGATGTTTACATTCAAGTCACAGAGTTGAACATTCCCTTTCACAGAGCAGGTTTGAAACAATCTTCTCGTACTATCTGGCAGTGGACATTTTGAGCTCTTTGGGGCCTATGCTGAAAAAGGAAATATCTTCCGACAAAAACTAGACAGAAGCATTCGCAGAATCACGTTTGTGATGTGTGCACTCAACTGTCAGAATTGAACCTTGGTTTGGACAGAGCACTTTTGAAACACTCTTTTTGTAGAATCTGCAGGTGGATATTTGGCTAGCTTTGAGGATTTCGTTGGAAACGGTAATGTCTTCAAAGAAAATCTAGACAGAAGCATTCTCAGAAACACCTTCGTGATGTTTGCAATCAAGTCACAGAGTTGAACCTTCCGTTTCATAGAGCAGGTTGGAAACACTCTTTTTGTAGTATCTGGAAGTGGACATTTGGAGCGCTTTCAGGCCTATGGTGAAAAAGGAAATATCTTCCCATAAAAACGACATAGAAGCTATCTCAGGAACTTGTTTATGATGCATCTAATCAACTAACAGTGTTGAACCTTTGTACTGACAGAGCAGTTTGAAACACTCTTTTTTTGGAATCTGCAAGTGGATATTTGGATCGCTTTGAGGATTTCGTTGGAAACGGGATGCAATATAAAACGTACACAGCAGCATACTCAGAAAATACTTTGCCATATTTCCATTCAAGTCACAGAGTGGAACATTCCCATTCATAGAGCAGGTTGGAAACACTCTTTTTGGAGTATCTGGAAGTGGACATTTGGAGCGCTTTCTGAACTATGGTGAAAAAGGAAATATCTTCCAATGAAAACAAGACAGAAGCATTCTGAGAAACTTATTTGTGATGTGTGTCCTCAACAAACGGACTTGAACCTTTCGTTTCATGCAGTACTTCTGGAACACTCTTTTTGAAGATTCTGCATGCGGATATTTGGATAGCTTTGAGGATTTCGTTGGAAACGGGCTTACATGTAAAAATTAGACAGCAGCATTCTCAGAAACTTCTTTGTGGTGTCTGCATTCAAGTCACAGAATTGAACTTCCCCTCACATAGAGCAGTTGTGCAGCACTCTATTTGTAGTATCTCGAAGTGGACATTTGGAGGGCTTTGTAGCCTATCTGGAAAAAGGAAATATCTTCCCATGAATGCGAGATAGAAGTAATCTCAGAAACATGTTTATGCTGTATCTACTCAACTAACTGTGCTGAACATTTCTATTGATAGAGCAGTTTTGAGACACTCTTCTTTTGGAATCTGCAAGTGGATATTTGGATAGATTTGAGGATTTCGTTGGAAACGGGATTATATATCAAAAGTAGACAGCAGCATTCTCAGAAACTTCTTTGTGATGTTTGCATCCAGCTCTCAGAGTTGAACATTCCCTTTCATAGAGTAGGTTTGAAACCCTCTTTTTATAGTGTCTGGAAGCGGGCATTTGGAGCGCTTTCAGGCCTATCCTTAAAATAGGAAATATCTACCTATAGAAACTAGACAGAAGCATTCTGAGAATCACGTTTGTGATGTGGGTACTCAACTAACAGTGTTGATCCATTCTTTTGATACAGCAGTTTTGAACCACACTTTTTGTAGAATCTGCAAGTGGATATTTGGATAGCTGTGAGGATTTCGTTGGAAACGGGAATGTCTTCATAGAAAATTTAGACAGAAGCATTCTCAGAACCTTTATTGTGATGTGTGTTCTCCACTAACAGAGCTGAACCTTTCTTTTGACAGAACTGTTCTGAAACATTCTTTTTATAGAATCTGGAAGTGGATATTTGGAAAGCTTTGAGGATTTCGTTGGAAACGGGAATATCTTCAAATAAAATCTAGCCAGAAGCATTCTAAGAAACAGCTTAGGGATGTTTACATTCAAGTCACAGAGTTGAACATTCCCTTTCACAGAGCAGGTTTGAAACAATCTTCTCGTACTATCTGGCAGTGGACATTTTGAGCTCTTTGGGGCCTATGCTGAAAAAGGAAATATCTTCCGACAAAAACTAGACAGAAGCATTCGCAGAATCACGTTTGTGATGTGTGCACTCAACTGTCAGAATTGAACCTTGGTTTGGAGAGAGCACTTTTGAAACACTCTTTTTGTAGAATCTGCAGGTGGATATTTGGCTAGCTTTGAGGATTTCGTTGGAAACGGTAATGTCTTCAAAGAAAATCTAGACAGAAGCATTCTCAGAAACACCTTCGTGATGTTTGCAATCAAGTCACAGAGTTGAACCTTCCGTTTCATAGAGCAGGTTGGAAACACACTTTTTGTAGTATCTGGAAGTGGACATTTGGAGGGCTTTGTAGCCTATCTGGAAAAAGGAAATATCTTCCCATGAATGCGAGATAGATGTAATCTCAGAAACATGTTTATGCTGTATCTACTCAACTAACTGTGCTGAACATTTCTATTGATAGAGCAGTTTTGAGACACTCTTCTTTTGGAATCTGCAAGTGGATATTTGGATAGATTTGAGGATTTCGTTGGAAACGGGATTATATATAAAAAGTAGACAGCAGCATTCTCAGAAACTTCTTTGTGATGTTTGCATCCAGCTCCCAGAGTTGAACATTCCCTTTCATAGAGTAGGTTTGAAACCCTCTTTTTATAGTGTCTGGAAGCGGGCATTTGGAGCGCTTTCAGGCCTATGCTTAAAATAGGAAATATCTACCTACAGAAACTAGACAGAAGCATTCTGAGAATCACGTTTGTGATGTGGGTACTCAACTAACAGTGTTGATCCATTCTTTTGATACAGCAGTTTTGAACCACACTTTTTGTAGAATCTGCAAGAGGATATTTGGATAGCTGTGAGGATTTCGTTGGAAACGGGAATGTCTTCAAAGAAAATCTAGACAGAAGCATTCTCAGAAACACCTTCGTGATGTTTGCAATCAAGTCACAGAGTTGAACCTTCCGTTTCATAGAGCAGGTTGGAAACACTCTTATTGTAGTATCTGGAAGTGGACATTTGGAGCGCTTTCAGGCCTATGGTGAAAAAGGAAATATCTTCCCATAAAAACGACATAGAAGCTATCTCAGGAACTTGTTTATGATGCATCTAATCAACTAACAGTGTTGAACCTTTGTACTGACAGAGCAGTTTGAAACACTCTTTTTTTGGAATCTGCAAGTGGATATTTGGATCGCTTTGAGGATTTCGTTGGAAACGGGATGCAATATAAAACGTACACAGCAGCATACTCAGAAAATACTTTGCCATATTTCCATTCAAGTCACAGAGTGGAACATTCCCATTCATAGAGCAGGTTGGAAACACTCTTTTTGGAGTATCTGGAAGTGGACATTTGGAGCGCTTTCTGAACTATGGTGAAAAAGGAAATATCTTCCAATGAAAACAAGACAGAAGCATTCTGAGAAACTTATTTGTGATGTGTGTCCTCAACAAACGGACTTGAACCTTTCGTTTCATGCAGTACTTCTGGAACACTCTTTTTGAAGATTCTGCATGCGGATATTTGGATAGCTTTGAGGATTTCGTTGGAAACGGGCTTACATGTAAAAATTAGACAGCAGCATTCTCAGAAACTTCTTTGTGGTGTCTGCATTCAAGTCACAGAATTGAACTTCCCCTCACATAGAGCAGTTGTGCAGCACTCTATTTGTAGTATCTGGAAGTGGACATTTGGAGGGCTTTGTAGCCTATCTGGAAAAAGGAAATATCTTCCCATGAATGCGAGATAGAAGTAATCTCAGAAACATGTTTATGCTGTATCTACTCAACTAACTGTGCTGAACATTTCTATTGATAGAGCAGTTTTGAGACACTCTTCTTTTGGAATCTGCAAGTGGATATTTGGATAGATTTGAGGATTTCGTTGGAAACGGGATTATATATCAAAAGTAGACAGCAGCATTCTCAGAAACTTCTTTGTGATGTTTGCATCCAGCTCTCAGAGTTGAACATTCCCTTTCATAGAGTAGGTTTGAAACCCTCTTTTTATAGTGTCTGCAAGCGGGCATTTGGAGCGCTTTCAGGCCTATGCTTAAAATAGGAAATATCTACCTACAGAAACTAGACAGAAGCATTCTGAGAATCACGTTTGTGATGTGGGTACTCAACTAACAGTGTTGATCCATTCTTTTGATACAGCAGTTTTGAACCACACTTTTTGTAGAATCTGCAAGAGGATATTTGGATAGCTGTGAGGATTTCGTTGGAAACGGGAATGTCTTCAAAGAAAATCTAGACAGAAGCATTCTCAGAAACACCTTCGTGATGTTTGCAATCAAGTCACAGAGTTGAACCTTCCGTTTCATAGAGCAGGTTGGAAACACTCTTATTGTAGTATCTGGAAGTGGACATTTGGAGCGCTTTCAGGCCTATGGTGAAAAAGGAAATATCTTCCCATAAAAACGACATAGAAGCTATCTCAGGAACTTGTTTATGATGCATCTAATCAACTAACAGTGTTGAACCTTTGTACTGACAGAGCAGTTTGAAACACTCTTTTTTTGGAATCTGCAAGTGGATATTTGGATCGCTTTGAGGATTTCGTTGGAAACGGGATGCAATATAAAACGTACACAGCAGCATACTCAGAAAATACTTTGCCATATTTCCATTCAAGTCAGAGAGTGGAACATTCCCATTCATAGAGCAGGTTTGAAACACTCTTTTTGGAGTATCTGGAAGTGGACATTTGGAGCGCTTTCTGAACTATGGTGAAAAAGGAAATATCTTCCAATGAAAACAAGACAGAAGCATTCTGAGAAACTTATTTGTGATGTGTGTCCTCAACAAACGGACTTGAACCTTTCGTTTCATGCAGTACTTCTGGAACACTCTTTTTGAAGATTCTGCATGCGGATATTTGGATAGCTTTGAGGATTTCGTTGGAAACGGGCTTACATGTAAAAATTAGACAGCAGCATTCTCAGAAACTTCTTTGTGGTGTCTGCATTCAAGTCACAGAATTGAACTTCCCCTCACATAGAGCAGTTGTGCAGCACTCTATTTGTAGTATCTGGAAGTGGACATTTGGAGGGCTTTGTAGCCTATCTGGAAAAAGGAAATATCTTCCCATGAATGCGAGATAGAAGTAATCTCAGAAACATGTTTATGCTGTATCTACTCAACTAACTGTGCTGAACATTTCTATTGATAGAGCAGTTTTGAGACCCTCTTCTTTTGGAATCTGCAAGTGGATATTTGGATAGATTTGAGGATTTCGTTGGAAACGGGATTATATATCAAAAGTAGACAGCAGCATTCTCAGAAACTTCTTTGTGATGTTTGCATCCAGCTCTCAGAGTTGAACATTCCCTTTCATAGAGTAGGTTTGAAACCCTCTTTTTATAGTGTCTGGAAGCGGGCATTTGGAGCGCTTTCAGGCCTATGCTGAAAAAGGAAATATCTACCTATAGAAACTAGACAGAAGCATTCTGAGAATCACGTTTGTGATGTGGGTACTCAACTAACAGTGTTGATCCATTCTTTTGATACAGCAGTTTTGAACCACACTTTTTGTAGAATCTGCAAGTGGATATTTGGATAGCTGTGAGGATTTCGTTGGAAACGGGAATGTCTTCATAGAAAATTTAGACAGAAGCATTCTCAGAACCTTGATTGTGATGTGTGTTCTCCACTAACAGAGTTGAACCTTTCTTTTGACAGAACTGTTCTGAAACATTCTTTTTATAGAATCTGGAAGTGGATATTTGGAAAGCTTTGAGGATTTCGTTGGAAACGGGAATATCTTCAAATAAAATCTAGCCAGAAGCATTCTAAGAAACATCTTAGGGATGTTTACATTCAAGTCACAGAGTTGAACATTCCCTTTCACAGAGCAGGTTTGAAACAATCTTCTCGTACTATCTGGCAGTGGACATTTTGAGCTCCTTGGGGCCTATGCTGAAAAAGGAAATATCTTCCGACAAAAACTAGACAGAAGCATTCGCAGAATCACGTTTGTGATGTGTGCACTCAACTGTCAGAATTGAACCTTGGTTTGGACAGAGCACTTTTGAAACACTCTTTTTGTAGAATCTGCAGGTGGATATTTGGCTAGCTTTGAGGATTTCGTTGGAAACGGTAATGTCTTCAAAGAAAATCTAGACAGAAGCATTCTCAGAAACACCTTCGTGATGTTTGCAATCAAGTCACAGAGTTGAACCTTCCGTTTCATAGAGCAGGATGGAAACACTCTTTCTGTAGTATCTGGAAGTGGACATTTGGAGGGCTTTGTAGCCTATCTGGAAAAAGGAAATATCTTCCCATGAATGCGAGATAGAAGTAATCTCAGAAACATGTTTATGCTGTATCTACTCAACTAACTGTGCTGAACATTTCTATTGATAGAGCAGTTTTGAGACACTCTTCTTTTGGAATCTGCAAGTGGATATTTGGATAGATTTGAGGATTTCGTTGGAAACGGGATTATATATAAAAAGTAGACAGCAGCATTCTCAGAAACTTCTTTGTGATGTTTGCATCCAGCTCTCAGAGTTGAACATTCCCTTTCATAGAGTAGGTTTGAAACCCTCTTTTTATAGTGTCTGGAAGCGGGCATTTGGAGCGCTTTCAGGCCTATGCTTAAAATAGGAAATATCTACCTACAGAAACTAGACAGAAGCATTCTGAGAATCACGTTTGTGATGTGGGTACTCAACTAACAGTGTTGATCCATTCTTTTGATACAGCAGTTTTGAACCACACTTTTTGTAGAATCTGCAAGAGGATATTTGGATAGCTGCGAGGATTTCGTTGGAAACGGGAATGTCTTCAAAGAAAATCTAGACAGAAGCATTCTCAGAAACACCTTCGTGATGTTTGCAATCAAGTCACAGAGTTGAACCTTCCGTTTCATAGAGCAGGTTGGAAACACTCTTATTGTAGTATCTGGAAGTGGACATTTGGAGCGCTTTCAGGCCTATGGTGAAAAAGGAAATATCTTCCCATAAAAACGACATAGAAGCTATCTCAGGAACTTGTTTATGATGCATCTAATCAACTAACAGTGTTGAACCTTTCTACTGACAGAGCAGTTTGAAACACTCTTTTTTTGGAATCTACAAGTGGATATTTGGATCGCTTTGAGGATTTCGTTGGAAACGGGATGCAATATAAAACGTACACAGCAGCATACTCAGAAAATACTTTGCCATATTTCCATTCAAGTCACAGAGTGGAACATTCCCATTCATAGAGCAGGTTGGAAACACTCTTTTTGGAGTATCTGGAAGTGGACATTTGGAGCGCTTTCTGAACTATGGTGAAAAAGGAAATATCTTCCAATGAAAACAAGACAGAAGCATTCTGAGAAACTTATTTGTGATGTGTGTCCTCAACAAACGGACTTGAACCTTTCGTTTCATGCAGTACTTCTGGAACACTCTTTTTGAAGATTCTGCATGCGGATATTTGCATAGCTTTGAGGATTTCGTTGGAAACGGGCTTACATATAAAAATTAGACAGCAGAATTCTCAGAAACTTCTTTGTGGTGTCTGCATTCAAGTCACAGAATTGAACTTCCCCTCACATAGAGCAGTTGTGCAGCTCTCTATTTGTAGTATCTGGAAGTGGACATTTGGAGGGCTTTGTAGCCTATCTGGAAAAAGGAAATATCTTCCCATGAATGCGAGATAGAAGTAATCTCAGAAACATGTTTATGCTGTATCTACTCAACTAACTGTGCTGAACATTTCTATTGATAGAGCAGTTTTGAGACACTCTTCTTTTGGAATCTGCAAGTGGATATTTGGATAGATTTGAGGATTTCGTTGGAAACGGGATTATATATAAAAAGTAGACAGCAGCATTCTCAGAAACTTCTTTGTGATGTTTGCATCCAGCTCTCAGAGTTGAACATTCCCTTTCATAGAGTAGGTTTGAAACCCTCTTTTTATAGTGTCTGGAAGCGGGCATTTGGAGCGCTTTCAGGCCTATGCTGAAAAAGGAAATATCTACCTATAGAAACTAGACAGAAGCATTCTGAGAATCACGTTTGTGATGTGGGTACTCAACTAACAGTGTTGATCCATTCTTTTGATACAGCAGTTTTGAACCACACTTTTTGTAGAATCTGCAAGTGGATATTTGGATAGCTGTGAGGATTTCGTTGGAAACGGGAATGTCTTCATAGAAAATTTAGACAGAAGCATTCTCAGAACCTTGATTGTGATGTGTGTTCTCCACTAACAGAGTTGAACCTTTCTTTTGACAGAACTGTTCTGAAACATTCTTTTTATAGAATCTGGAAGTGGATATTTGGAAAGCTTTGAGGATTTCGTTGGAAACGGGAATATCTTCAAATCAAATCTAGCCAGAAGCATTCTAAGAAACATCTTAGGGATGTTTACATTCAAGTCACAGAGTTGAACATTCCCTTTCACAGAGCAGGTTTGAAACAATCTTCTCGTACTATCTGGCAGTGGACATTTTGAGCTCCTTGGGGCCTATGCTGAAAAAGGAAATATCTTCCGACAAAAACTAGACAGAAGCATTCGCAGAATCACGTTTGTGATGTGTGCACTCAACTGTCAGAATTGAACCTTGGTTTGGAGAGAGCACTTTTGAAACACTCTTTTTGTAGAATCTGCAGGTGGATATTTGGCTAGCTTTGAGGATTTCGTTGGAAACGGTAATGTCTTCAAAGAAAATCTAGACAGAAGCATTCTCAGAAACACCTTCGTGATGTTTGCAATCAAGTCACAGAGTTGAACCTTCCGTTTCATAGAGCAGGTTGGAAACACTCTTTTTGTAGTATCTGGAAGTGGACATTTGGAGGGCTTTGTAGCCTATCTGGAAAAAGGAAATATCTTCCCATGAATGCGAGATAGAAGTAATCTCAGAAACATGTTTATGCTGTATCTACTCAACTAACTGTGCTGAACATTTCTATTGATAGAGCAGTTTTGAGACACTCTTCTTTTGGAATCTGCAAGTGGATATTTGGATAGATTTGAGGATTTCGTTGGAAACGGGATTATATATAAAAAGTAGACAGCAGCATTCTCAGAAACTTCTTTGTGATGTTTGCATCCAGCTCTCAGAGTTGAACATTCCCTTTCATAGAGTAGGTTTGAAACCCTCTTTTTATAGTGTCTGGAAGCGGGCATTTGGAGCGCTTTCAGGCCTATGCTTAAAATAGGAAATATCTACCTACAGAAACTAGACAGAAGCCTTCTGAGAATCACGTTTGTGATGTGGGTACTCAACTAACAGTGTTGATCCATTCTTTTGATACAGCAGTTTTGAACCACACTTTTTGTAGAATCTGCAAGAGGATATTTGGATAGCTGTGAGGATTTCGTTGGAAACGGGAATGTCTTCAAAGAAAATCTAGACAGAAGCATTCTCAGAAACACCTTCGTGATGTTTGCAATCAAGTCACAGAGTTGAACCTTCCGTTTCATAGAGCAGGTTGGAAACACTCTTTTTGTAGTATCTGGAAGTGGACATTTGGAGCGCTTTCAGGCCTATGGTGAAAAAGGAAATATCTTCCCATAAAAACGACATAGAATCTATATCAGGAACTTGTTTATGATGCATCTAATCAACTAACAGTGTTGAACCTTTGTACTGACAGAGCAGTTTGAAACACTCTTTTTTTGGAATCTGCAAGTGGATATTTGGATCGCTTTGAGGATTTCGTTGGAAACGGGATGCAATATAAAACGTACACAGCAGCATACTCAGAAAATACTTTGCCATATTTCCATTCAAGTCACAGAGTGGAACATTCCCATTCATAGAGCAGGTTGGAAACACTCTTTTTGGAGTATCTGGAAGTGGACATTTGGAGCGCTTTCTGAACTATGGTGAAAAAGGAAATATCTTCCAATGAAAACAAGACAGAAGCATTCTGAGAAACTTATTTGTGATGTGTGTCCTCAACAAACGGACTTGAACCTTTCGTTTCATGCAGTACTTCTGGAACACTCTTTTTGAAGATTCTGCATTCGGATATTTGGATAGCTTTGAGGATTTCGTTGGAAACGGGCTTACATGTAAAAATTAGACAGCAGCATTCTCAGAAACTTCTTTGTGGTGTCTGCATTCAAGTCACAGAATTGAACTTCCCCTCACATAGAGCAGTTGTGCAGCACTCTATTTGTAGTATCTGGAAGTGGACATTTGGAGGGCTTTGTAGCCTATCTGGAAAAAGGAAATATCTTCCCATGAATGCGAGATAGAAGTAATCTCAGAAACATGTTTATGCTGTATCTACTCAACTAACTGTGCTGAACATTTCTATTGATAGAGCAGTTTTGAGACCCTCTTCTTTTGGAATCTGCAAGTGGATATTTGGATAGATTTGAGGATTTCGTTGGAAACGGGATTATATATAAAAAGTAGACAGCAGCATTCTCAGAAACTTCTTTGTGATGTTTGCATCCAGCTCTCAGAGTTGAACATTCCCTTTCATAGAGTAGGTTTGAAACCCTCTTTTTATAGTGTCTGGAAGCGGGCATTTGGAGCGCTTTCAGGCCTATGCTGAAAAAGGAGACATCTACCTATAGAAACTAGACAGAAGCATTCTGAGAATCACGTTTGTGATGTGGGTACTCAACTAACAGTGTTGATCCATTCTTTTGATACAGCAGTTTTGAACCACACTTTTTGTAGAATCTGCAAGTGGATATTTGGATAGCTGTGAGGATTTCGTTGGAAACGGGAATGTCTTCATAGAAAATTTAGACAGAAGCATTCTCAGAACCTTGATTGTGATGTGTGTTCTCCACTAACAGAGTTGAACCTTTCTTTTGACAGAACTGTTCTGAAACATTCTTTTTATAGAATCTGGAAGTGGATATTTGGAAAGCTTTGAGGATTTCGTTGGAAACGGGAATATCTTCAAATAAAATCTAGCCAGAAGCATTCTAAGAAACATCTTAGGGATGTTTACATTCAAGTCACAGAGTTGAACATTCCCTTTCACAGAGCAGGTTTGAAACAATCTTCTCGTACTATCTGGCAGTGGACATTTTGAGCTCCTTGGGGCCTATGCTGAAAAAGGAAATATCTTCCGACAAAAACTAGACAGAAGCATTCGCAGAATCACGTTTGTGATGTGTGCACTCAACTGTCAGAATTGAACCTTGGTTTGGACAGAGCACTTTTGAAACACTCTTTTTGTAGAATCTGCAGGTGGATATTTGGCTAGCTTTGAGGATTTCGTTGGAAACGGGAATGTCTTCAAAGAAAATCTAGACAGAAGCATTCTCAGAAACACCTTCGTGATGTTTGCAATCAAGTCACAGAGTTGAACCTTCCGTTTCATAGAGCAGGTTGGAAACACTCTTTTTGTAGTATCTGGAAGTGGACATTTGGAGCGCTTTCAGGCCTATGGTGAAAAAGGAAATATCTTCCCATAAAAACGACATAGAAGCTATCTCAGGAACTTGTTTATGATGCATCTAATCAACTAACAGTGTTGAACCTTTGTACTGACAGAGCAGTTTGAAACACTCTTTTTTTGGAATCTGCAAGTGGATATTTGGATCGCTTTGAGGATTTCGTTGGAAACGGGATGCAATATAAAACGTACACAGCAGCATACTCAGAAAATACTTTGCCATATTTCCATTCAAGTCACAGAGTGGAACATTCCCATTCATAGAGCAGGTTGGAAACACTCTTTTTGGAGTATCTGGAAGTGGACATTTGGAGCGCTTTCTGAACTATGGTGAAAAAGGAAATATCTTCCAATGAAAACAAGACAGAAGCATTCTGAGAAACTTATTTGTGATGTGTGTCCTCAACAAACGGACTTGAACCTTTCGTTTCATGCAGTACTTCTGGAACACTCTTTTTGAAGATTCTGCATGCGGATATTTGGATAGCTTTGAGGATTTCGTTGGAAACGGGCTTACATGTAAAAATTAGACAGCAGCATTCTCAGAAACTTCTTTGTGGTGTCTGCATTCAAGTCACAGAATTGAACTTCCCCTCACATAGAGCAGTTGTGCAGCACTCTATTTGTAGTATCTGGAAGTGGACATTTGGAGGGCTTTGTAGCCTATCTGGAAAAAGGAAATATCTTCCCATGAATGCGAGATAGAAGTAATCTCAGAAACATGTTTATGCTGTATCTACTCAACTAACTGTGCTGAACATTTCTATTGATAGAGCAGTTTTGAGACACTCTTCTTTTGGAATCTGCAAGTGGATATTTGGATAGATTTGAGGATTTCGTTGGAAATGGGATTATATATAAAAAGTAGACAGCAGCATTCTCAGAAACTTCTTTGTGATGTTTGCATCCAGCTCTCAGAGTTGAGCATTCCCTTTCATAGAGTAGGTTTGAAACCCTCTTTTTATAGTGTCTGGAAGCGGGCATTTGGAGCGCTTTCAGGCCTATGCTTAAAATAGGAAATATCTACCTACAGAAACTAGACAGAAGCATTCTGAGAATCACGTTTGTGATGTGGGTACTCAACTAACAGTGTTGATCCATTCTTTTGATACAGCAGTTTTGAACCACACTTTTTGTAGAATCTGCAAGAGGATATTTGGATAGCTGTGAGGATTTCGTTGGAAACGGGAATGTCTTCAAAGAAAATCTAGACAGAAGCATTCTCAGAAACACCTTCGTGATGTTTGCAATCAAGTCACAGAGTTGAACCTTCCGTTTCATAGAGTAGGTTGGAAACACTCTTATTGTAGTATCTGGAAGTGGACATTTGGAGCGCTTTCAGGCCTATGGTGAAAAAGGAAATATCTTCCCATAAAAACGACATAGAAGCTATCTCAGGAACTTGTTTATGATGCATCTAATCAACTAACAGTGTTGAACCTTTGTACTGACAGAGCAGTTTGAAACACTCTTTTTTTGGAATCTGCAAGTGGATATTTGGATCGCTTTGAGGATTTCGTTGGAAACGGGATGCAATATAAAACGTACACAGCAGCATACTCAGAAAATACTTTGCCATATTTCCATTCAAGTCACAGAGTGGAACATTCCCATTCATAGAGCAGGTTTGAAACACTCTTTTTGGAGTATCTGGAAGTGGACATTTGGAGCGCTTTCTGAACTATGGTGAAAAAGGAAATATCTTCCAATGAAAACAAGACAGAAGCATTCTGAGAAACTTATTTGTGATGTGTGTCCTCAACAAACGGACTTGAACCTTTCGTTTCATGCAGTACTTCTGGAACACTCTTTTTGAAGATTCTGCATGCAGATATTTGGATAGCTTTGAGGATTTCGTTGGAAACGGGCTTACATGTAAAAATTAGACAGCAGCATTCTCAGAAACTTCTTTGTGGTGTCTGCATTCAAGTCACAGAATTGAACATCCCCTCACATAGAGCAGTTGTGCAGCACTCTATTTGTAGTATCTGGAAGTGGACATTTGGAGGGCTTTGTAGCCTATCTGGAAAAAGGAAATATCTTCCCATGAATGCGAGATAGAAGTAATCTCAGAAACATGTTTATGCTGTATCTACTCAACTAACTGTGCTGAACATTTCTATTGATAGAGCAGTTTTGAGACACTCTTCTTTTGGAATCTGCAAGTGGATATTTGGATAGATTTGAGGATTTCGTTGGAAACGGGATTATATATCAAAAGTAGACAGCAGCATTCTCAGCAAACTTCTTTGTGATGTTTGCATCCAGCTCTCAGAGTTGAACATTCCCTTTCATAGAGTAGGTTTGAAACCCTCTTTTTATAGTGTCTGGAAGCGGGCATTTGGAGCGCTTTCAGGCCTATGCTGAAAAAGGAGATATCTACCTATAGAAACTAGACAGAAGCATTCTGAGAATCACGTTTGTGATGTGGGTACTCAACTAACAGTGTTGATCCATTCTTTTGATACAGCAGTTTTGAACCACACTTTTTGTAGAATCTGCAAGTGGATATTTGGATAGCTGTGAGGATTTCGTTGGAAACGGGAATGTCTTCATAGAAAATTTAGACAGAAGCATTCTCAGAACCTTGATTGTGATGTGTGTTCTCCACTAACAGAGTTGAACCTTTCTTTTGACAGAACTGTTCTGAAACATTCTTTTTATAGAATCTGGAAGTGGATATTTGGAAAGCTTTGAGGATTTCGTTGGAAACGGGAATATCTTCAAATCAAATCTAGCCAGAAGCATTCTAAGAAACATCTTAGGGATGTTTACATTCAAGTCACAGAGTTGAACATTCCCTTTCACAGAGCAGGTTTGAAACAATCTTCTCGTACTATCTGGCAGTGGACATTTTGAGCTCCTTGGGGCCTATGCTGAAAAAGGAAATATCTTCCGACAAAAACTAGACAGAAGCATTCGCAGAATCACGTTTGTGATGTGTGCACTCAACTGTCAGAATTGAACCTTGGTTTGGACAGAGCACTTTTGAAACACTCTTTTTGTAGAATCTGCAGGTGGATATTTGGCTAGCTTTGAGGATTTCGTTGGAAACGGTAATGTCTTCAAAGAAAATCTAGACAGAAGCATTCTCAGAAACACCTTCGTGATGTTTGCAATCAAGTCACAGAGTTGAACCTTCCGTTTCATAGAGCAGGTTGGAAACACTCTTTTTGTAGTATCTGGAAGTGGACATTTGGAGGGCTTTGTAGCCTATGTGGAAAAAGGAAATATCTTCCCATGAATGCGAGATAGAAGTAATCTCAGAAACATGTTTATGCTGTATCTACTCAACTAACTGTGCTGAACATTTCTATTGATAGAGCAGTTTTGAGACACTCTTCTTTTGGAATCTGCAAGTGGATATTTGGATAGATTTGAGGATTTCGTTGGAAACGGGATTATATATAAAAAGTAGACAGCAGCATTCTCAGAAACTTCTTTGTGATGTTTGCATCCAGCTCTCAGAGTTGAACATTCCCTTTCATAGAGTAGGTTTGAAACCCTCTTTTTATAGTGTCTGGAAGCGGGCATTTGGAGCGCTTTCAGGCCTATGCTGAAAAAGGAAATATCTACCTATAGAAACTAGACAGAAGCATTCTGAGAATCACGTTTGTGATGTGGGTACTCAACTAACAGTGTTGATCCATTCTTTTGATACAGCAGTTTTGAACCACACTTTTTGTAGAACCTGCAAGTGGATATTTGGATAGCTGTGAGGATTTCGTTGGAAACGGGAATGGTCTTCATAGAAAATTTAGACAGAAGCATTCTCAGAACCTTGATTGTGATGTGTGTTCTCCACTAACAGAGTTGAACCTTTCTTTTGACAGAACTGTTATGAAACATTCTTTTTATAGAATCTGGAAGTGGATATTTGGAAAGCTTTGAGGATTTCGTTGGAAACGGGAATATCTTCAAATCAAATCTAGCCAGAAGCATTCTAAGAAACATCTTAGGGATGTTTACATTCAAGTCACAGAGTTGAACATTCCCTTTCACAGAGCAGGTTTGAAACAATCTTCTCGTACTATCTGGCAGTGGACATTTTGAGCTCCTTGGGGCCTATGCTGAAAAAGGAAATATCTTCCGACAAAAACTAGACAGAAGCATTCGCAGAATCACGTTTGTGATGTGTGCACTCAACTGTCAGAATTGAACCTTGGTTGGGACAGAGCACTTTTGAAACACTCTTTTTGTAGAATCTGCAGGTGGATATTTGGCTAGCTTTGAGGATTTCGTTGGAAACGGTAATGTCTTCAAAGAAAATCTAGACAGAAGCATTCTCAGAAACACCTTCATGATGTTTGCAATCAAGTCACAGAGTTGAACCTTCCGTTTCATAGAGCAGGTTGGAAACACTCTTTTTGTAGTATCTGGAAGTGGACATTTGGAGGGCTTTGTAGCCTATCTGGAAAAAGGAAATATATTCCCATGAATGCGAGATAGAAGTAATCTCAGAAACATGTTTATGCTGTATCTACTCAACTAACTGTGCTGAACATTTCTATTGATAGAGCAGTTTTGAGACACTCTTCTTTTGGAATCTGCAAGTGGATATTTGGATAGATTTGAGGATTTCGTTGGAAACGGGATTATATATAAAAAGTAGACAGCAGCATTCTCAGAAACTTCTTTGTGATGTTTGCATCCAGCTCTCAGAGTTGAACATTCCCTTTCATAGAGTAGGTTTGAAACCCTCTTTTTATAGTGTCTGGAAGCGGGCATTTGGAGCGCTTTCAGGCCTATGCTTAAAATAGGAAATATCTACCTACAGAAACTAGACAGAAGCATTCTGAGAATCACGTTTGTGATGTGGGTACTCAACTAACAGTGTTGATCCATTCTTTTGATACAGCAGTTTTGAACCACACTTTTTGTAGAATCTGCAAGAGGATATTTGGATAGCTGTGAGGATTTCGTTGGAAACGGGAATGTCTTCAAAGAAAATCTAGACAGAAGCATTCTCAGAAACACCTTCGTGATGTTTGCAATCAAGTCACAGAGTTGAACCTTCCGTTTCATAGAGCAGGTTGGAAACACTCTTATTGTAGTATCTGGAAGTGGACATTTGGAGCGCTTTCAGGCCTATGGTGAAAAAGGAAATATCTTCCCATAAAAACGACATAGAAGCTATCTCAGGAACTTGTTTATGATGCATCTAATCAACTAACAGTGTTGAACCTTTGTACTGACAGAGCAGTTTGAAACACTCTTTTTTTGGAATCTGCAAGTGGATATTTGGATCGCTTTGAGGATTTCGTTGGAAACGGGATGCAATATAAAACGTACACAGCAGCATACTCAGAAAATACTTTGCCATATTTCCATTCAAGTCACAGAGTGGAACATTCCCATTCATAGAGCAGGTTTGAAACACTCTTTTTGGAGTATCTGGAAGTGGACATTTGGAGCGCTTTCTGAACTATGGTGAAAAAGGAAATATCTTCCAATGAAAACAACACAGAAGCATTCTGAGAAACTTATTTGTGATGTGTGTCCTCAACAAACGGTCTTGAACCTTTCGTTTCATGCAGTACTTCTGGAACACTCTTTTTGAAGATTCTGCATGCGGATATTTGGATAGCTTTGAGGATTTCGTTGGAAACGGGCTTACATGTAAAAATTAGACAGCAGCATTCTCAGAAACTTCTTTGTGGTGTCTGCATTCAAGTCACAGAATTGAACTTCCCCTCACATAGAGCAGTTGTGCAGCACTCTATTTGTAGTATCTCAAAGTGGACATTTTGGAGGGCTTTGTAGCCTATCTGGAAAAAGGAAATATCTTCCCATGAATGCGAGATAGAAGTAATCTCAGAAACATGTTTATGCTGTATCTACTCAACTAACTGTGCTGAACATTTCTATTGATAGAGCAGTTTTCAGACACTCTTCTTTTGGAATCTGCAAGTGGATATTTGGATAGATTTGAGGATTTCGTTGGAAACGGGATTATATATAAAAAGTAGACAGCAGCATTCTCCGACACTTCTTTGTGATGTTTGCATCCAGCTCTCAGAGTTGAGCATTCCCTTTTATAGAGTAGGTTTGAAACCCTCTTTTTATAGTGTCTGGAAGCGGGCATTTGGAGCGCTTTCAGGCCTATGCTTAAAATAGGAAATATCTACCTACAGAAACTAGACAGAAGCATTCTGAGAATCACGTTTGTGATGTGGGTACTCAACTAACAGTGTTGATCCATTCTTTTGATACAGCAGTTTTGAACCACACTTTTTGTAGAATCTGCAAGAGGATATTTGGATAGCTGTGAGGATTTCGTTGGAAAGGGGAATGTCTTCAAAGAAAATCTAGACAGAAGCATTCTCAGAAACACCTTCGTGATGTTTGCAATCAAGTCACAGAGTTGAACCTTCCGTTTCATAGAGCAGGTTGGAAACACTCTTATTGTAGTATCTGGAAGTGGACATTTGGAGCGCTTTCAGGCCTATGGTGAAAAAGGAAATATCTTCCCATAAAAACGACATAGAAGCTATCTCAGGAACTTGTTTATGATGCATCTAATCAACTAACAGTGTTGAACCTTTGTACTGACAGAGCAGTTTGAAACACTCTTTTTTTGGAATCTGCAAGTGGATATTTGGATCGCTTTGAGGATTTCGTTGGAAACGGGATGCAATATAAAACGTACACAGCAGCATACTCAGAAAATACTTTGCCATATTTCCATTCAAGTCACAGAGTGGAACATTCCCATTCATAGAGCAGGTTGGAAACACTCTTTTTGGAGTATCTGGAAGTGAACATTTGGAGCGCTTTCTGAACTATGGTGAAAAAGGAAATATCTTCCAATGAAAACAAGACAGAAGCATTCTGAGAAACTTATTTGTGATGTGTGTCCTCAACAAACGGACTTGAACCTTTCGTTTCATGCAGTACTTCTGGAACACTCTTTTTGAAGATTCTGCATGCGGATATTTGGATAGCTTTGAGGATTTCGTTGGAAACGGGCTTACATGTAAAAATTAGACAGCAGCATTCTCAGAAACTTCTTTGTGGTGTCTGCATTCAAGTCACAGAATTGAACTTCCCCTCACATAGAGCAGCTGTGCAGCACTCTATTTGTAGTATCTGGAAGTGGACATTTGGAGGGCTTTGTAGCCTATCTGGAAAAAGGAAATATCTTCCCATGAATGCGAGATAGAAGTAATCTCAGAAACATGTTTATGCTGTATCTACTCAACTAACTGTGCTGAACATTTCTATTGATAGAGCAGTTTTGAGACACTCTTCTTTTGGAATCTGCAAGTGGATATTTGGATAGATTTGAGGATTTCGTTGGAAACGGGATTATATATAAAAAGTAGACAGCAGCATTCTCAGAAACTTCTTTGTGATGTTTGCATCCAGCTCTCAGAGTTGAACATTCCCTTTCATAGAGTAGGTTTGAAACCCTCTTTTTATAGTGTCTGGAAGCGGGCATTTGGAGCGCTTTCAGGCCTATGCTTAAAATAGGAAATATCTACCTACAGAAACTAGACAGAAGCATCTGAGAATCACGTTTGTGATGTGGGTACTCAACTAACAGTGTTGATCCATTCTTTTGATACAGCAGTTTTGAACCACACTTTTTGTAGAATCTGCAAGAGGATATTTGGATAGCTGTGAGGATTTCGTTGGAAACGGGAATGTCTTCAAAGAAAATCTAGACAGAAGCATTCTCAGAACCTTGATTGTGATGTGTGTTCTCCACTAACAGAGTTGAACCTTTCTTTTGACAGAACTGTTCTGAAACATTCTTTTTATAGAATCTGGAAGTGGATATTTGGAAAGCTTTGAGGATTTCGTTGGAAACGGGAATATCTTCAAATCAAATCTAGCCAGAAGCATTCTAAGAAACATCTTAGGGATGTTTACATTCAAGTCACAGAGTTGAACATTCCCTTTCACAGAGCAGGTTTGAAACAATCTTCTCGTACTATCTGGCAGTGGACATTTTGAGCTCCTTGGGGCCTATGCTGAAAAAGGAAATATCTTCCGACAAAAACTAGACAGAAGCATTCGCAGAATCACGTTTGTGATGTGTGCACTCAACTGTCAGAATTGAACCTTGGTTTGGACAGAGCACTTTTGAAACACTCTTTTTGTAGAATCTGCAGGTGGATATTTGGCTAGCTTTGAGGATTTCGTTGGAAACGGTAATGTCTTCAAAGAAAATCTAGACAGAAGCATTCTCAGAAACACCTTCGTGATGTTTGCAATCAAGTCACAGAGTTGAACCTTCCGTTTCATAGAGCAGGTTGGAAACACTCTTTTTGTAGTATCTGGAAGTGGACATTTGGAGGGCTTTGTAGCCTATCTGGAAAAAGGAAATATCTTCCCATGAATGCGAGATAGAAGTAATCTCAGAAACATGTTTATGCTGTATCTACTCAACTAACTGTGCTGAACATTTCTATTGATAGAGCAGTTTTGAGACACTCTTCTTTTGGAATCTGCAAGTGGATATTTGGATAGATTTGAGGATTTCGTTGGAAACGCGATTATATATAAAAAGTAGACAGCAGCATTCTCAGAAACTTCTTTGTGATGTTTGCATCCAGCTCTCAGTAGTTGAGCATTCCCTTTCATAGAGTAGGTTTGAAACCCTCTTTTTATAGTGTCTGGAAGCGGGCATTTGGAGCGCTTTCAGGCCTATGCTTAAAATAGGAAATATCTACCTACAGAAACTAGACAGAAGCATTCTGAGAATCACGTTTGTGATGTGGGTACTCAACTAACAGTGTTGATCCATTCTTTTGATACAGCAGTTTTGAACCACACTTTTTGTAGAATCTGCAAGTGGATATTTGGATAGCTGTGAGGATTTCGTTGGAAACGGGAATGTCTTCATAGAAAATTTAGACAGAAGCATTCTCAGAACCTTGATTGTGATGTGTGTTCTCCACTAACAGAGTTGAACCTTTCTTTTGACAGAACTGTTATGAAACATTCTTTTTATAGAATCTGGAAGTGGATATTTGGAAAGCTTTGAGGATTTCGTTGGAAACGGGAATATCTTCAAATAAAATCTAGCCAGAAGCATTCTAAGAAACATCTTAGGGATGTTTACATTCAAGTCACAGAGTTGAACATTCCCTTTCACAGAGCAGGTTTGAAACAATCTTCTCGTACTATCTGGCAGTGGACATTTTGAGCTCCTTGGGGCCTATGCTGAAAAAGGAAATATCTTCCGACAAAAACTAGACAGAAGCATTCGCAGAATCACGTTTGTGATGTGTGCACTCAACTGTCAGAATTGAACCTTGGTTTGGACAGAGCACTTTTGAAACACTCTTTTTGTAGAATCTGCAGGTGGATATTTGGCTAGCTTTGAGGATTTCGTTGGAAACGGTAATGTCTTCAAAGAAAATCTAGACAGAAGCATTCTCAGAAACACCTTCGTGATGTTTGCAATCAAGTCACAGAGTTGAACCTTCCGTTTCATAGAGCAGGTTGGAAACACTCTTTTTGTAGTATCTGGAAGTGGACATTTGGAGGGCTTTGTAGCCTATCTGGAAAAAGGAAATATCTTCCCATGAATGCGAGATAGAAGTAATCTCAGAAACATGTTTATGCTGTATCTACTCAACTAACTGTGCTGAACATTTCTATTGATAGAGCAGTTTTGAGACACTCTTCTTTTGGAATCTGCAAGTGGATATTTGGATAGATTTGAGGATTTCGTTGGAAACGGGATTATATATCAAAAGTAGACAGCAGCATTCTCAGAAACTTCTTTGTGATGTTTGCATCCAGCTCTCAGAGTTGAACATTCCCTTTCATAGAGTAGGTTTGAAACCCTCTTTTTATAGTGTCTGGAAGCGGGCATTTGGAGCGCTTTCAGGCCTATGCTGAAAAAGGAAATATCTACCTATAGAAACTAGACAGAAGCATTCTGAGAATCACGTTTGTGATGTGGGTACTCAACTAACAGTGTTGATCCATTCTTTTGATACAGCAGTTTTGAACCACACTTTTTGTAGAATCTGCAAGTGGATATTTGGATAGCTGTGAGGATTTCGTTGGAAACGGGAATGTCTTCATAGAAAATTTAGACAGAAGCATTCTCAGAACCTTGATTGTGATGTGTGTTCTCCACTAACAGAGTTGAACCTTTCTTTTGACAGAACTGTTCTGAAACATTCTTGTTATAGAATCTGGAAGTGGATATTTGGAAAGCTTTGAGGATTTCGTTGGAAACGGGAATATCTTCAAATAAAATCTAGCCAGAAGCATTCCAAGAAACATCTTAGGGATGTTTACATTCAAGTCACAGAGTTGAACATTCCCTTTCACAGAGCAGGTTTGAAACAATCTTCTCGTACTATCTGGCAGTGGACATTTTGAGCTCCTTGGGGCCTATGCTGAAAAAGGAAATATCTTCCGACAAAAACTAGACAGAAGCATTCGCAGAATCACGTTTGTGATGTGTGCACTCAACTGTCAGAATTGAACCTTGGTTTGGACAGAGCACTTTTGAAACACTCTTTTTGTAGAATCTGCAGGTGGATATTTAGCTAGCTTTGAGGATTTCGTTGGAAACGGTAATGTCTTCAAAGAAAATCTAGACAGAAGCATTCTCAGAAACACCTTCGTGATGTTTGCAATCAAGTCACAGAGTTGAACCTTCCATTTCATAGAGCAGGTTGGAAACACTCTTTTTGTAGTATCTGGAAGTGGACATTTGGAGGGCTTTGTAGCCTATCTGGAAAAAGGAAATATCTTCCCATGAATGCGAGATAGAAGTAATCTCAGAAACATGTTTATGCTGTATCTACTCAACTAACTGTGCTGAACATTTCTATTGATAGAGCAGTTTTGAGACACTCTTCTTTTGGAATCTGCAAGTGGATATTTGGATAGATTTGAGGATTTCGTTGGAAACGGGATTATATATAAAAAGTAGACAGCAGCATTCTCAGAAACTTCTTTGTGATGTTTGCATCCAGCTCTCAGAGTTGAACATTCCCTTTCATAGAGTAGGTTTGAAACCCTCTTTTTATAGTGTCTGGAAGCGGGCATTTGGAGCGCTTTCAGGCCTATGCTGAAAAAGGAAATATCTACCTATAGAAACTAGACAGAAGCATTCTGAGAATCACGTTTGTGATGTGGGTACTCAACTAACAGTGTTGATCCATTCTTTTGATACAGCAGTTTTGAACCACACTTTTTGTAGAATCTGCAAGTGGATATTTGGATAGCTGTGAGGATTTCGTTGGAAACGGGAATGTCTTCATAGAAAATTTAGACAGAAGCATTCTCAGAACCTTGATTGTGATGTGTGTTCTCCACTAACAGAGTTGAACCTTTCTTTTGACAGAACTGTTCTGAAACATTCTTTATATAGAATCTGGAAGTGGATATTTGGAAAGCTTTGAGGATTTCGTTGGAAACGGGAATATCTTCAAATAAAATCTAGCCAGAAGCATTCTAAGAAACATCTTAGGGATGTTTACATTCAAGTCACAGAGTTGAACATTCCCTTTCACAGAGCAGGTTTTAAACAATCTTCTCGTACTATCTGGAAGTGGACATTTTGAGCTCCTTGGGGCCTATGCTGAAAAAGGAAATATCTTCCGACAAAAACTAGACAGAAGCATTCGCAGAATCACGTTTGTGATGTGTGCACTCAACTGTCAGAATTGAACCTTGGTTTGGACAGAGCAATTTTGAAACACTCTTTTTGTAGAATCTGCAGGTGGATATTTGGCTAGCTTTGAGGATTTCGTTGGAAACGGTAATGTCTTCAAAGAAAATCTAGACAGAAGCATTCTCAGAAACACCTTCGTGATGTTTGCAATCAAGTCACAGAGTTGAACCTTCCGTTTCATAGAGCAGGTTGGAAACACTCTTTTTGTAGTATCTGGAAGTGGACATTTGGAGCGCTTTCAGGCCTATGGTGAAAAAGGAAATATCTTCCCATAAAAACGACATAGAAGCTATCTCAGGAACTTGTTTATGATGCATCTAATCAACTAACAGTGTTGAACCTTTGTACTGACAGAGCAGTTTGAAACACTCTTTTTTTGGAATCTGCAAGTGGATATTTGGATCGCTTTGAGGATTTCGTTGGAAACGGGATGCAATATAAAACGTACACAGCAGCATACTCAGAAAATACTTTGCCATATTTCCATTCAAGTCACAGAGTGGAACATTCCCATTCATAGAGCAGGTTTGAAACACTCTTTTTGGAGTATCTGGAAGTGGACATTTGGAGCGCTTTCTGAACTATGGTGAAAAAGGAAATATCTTCCAATGAAAACAAGACAGAAGCATTCTGAGAAACTTATTTGCGATGTGTGTCTTCAACTAATGGACTTGAACCTTTCGTTTCATGCAGTACTTCTGGAACACTCTTTTTAAAGATTCTGCATGCGGATATTTGGATAGCTTTGAGGATTTCGTTGGAAACGAGCTTACATGTAAATATTAGACAGCAGCATTCTCAGAAACTTCTTTGTGGTGTCTGCATTCAAGTCACAGAATTGAACATCAACTCACATAGAGCAGTTGTGCAGCACTCTATTTGTAGTATCTCGAAGTGGACATTTGGAGGGCTTTGTAGCCTATCTGGAAAAAGGAAATATCTTCCCATGAATGCGAGATAGAAGTAATCTCAGAAACATGTTTATGCTGTATCTACTCAACTAACTGTGCTGAACATTTCTATTGATAGAGCAGTTTTGAGACACTCTTCTTTTGGAATCTGCAAGTGGATATTTGGATAGATTTGAGGATTTCGTTGGAAACGGGATTATATATAAAAAGTAGACAGCAGCATTCTCAGAAACTTCTTTGTGATGTTTGCATCCAGCTCTCAGAGTTGAACATTCCCTTTCATAGAGTAGGTTTGAAACCCTCTTTTTATAGTGTCTGGAAGCGGGCATTTGGAGCGCTTTCAGGCCTATGCTGAAAAAGGAAATATCTACCTATAGAAACTAGACAGAAGCATTCTGAGAATCACGTTTGTGATGTGGGTACTCAACTAACAGTGTTGATCCATTCTTTTGATACAGCAGTTTTGAACCACACTTTTTGTAGAATCTGCAAGTGGATATTTGGATAGCTGTGAGGATTTCGTTGGAAACGGGAATGTCTTCATAGAAAATTTAGACAGAAGCATTCTCAGAACCTTGATTGTGATGTGTGTTCTCCACTAACAGAGTTGAACCTTTCTTTTGACAGAACTGTTCTGAAACATTCTTTTTATAGAATCTGGAAGTGGATATTTGGAAAGCTTTGAGGATTTCGTTGGAAACGGGAATATCTTCAAATCAAATCTAGCCAGAAGCATTCTAAGAAACATCTTAGGGATGTTTACATTCAAGTCACAGAGTTGAACATTCCCTTTCACAGAGCAGGTTTGAAACAATCTTCTCGTACTATCTGGCAGTGGACATTTTGAGCTCCTTGGGGCCTATGCTGAAAAAGGAAATATCTTCCGACAAAAACTAGACAGAAGCATTCGCAGAATCACGTTTGTGATGTGTGCACTCAACTGTCAGAATTGAACCTTGGTTTGGAGAGAGCACTTTTGAAACACTCTTTTTGTAGAATCTGCAGGTGGATATTTGGCTAGCTTTGAGGATTTCGTTGGAAACGGTAATGTCTTCAAAGAAAATCTAGACAGAAGCATTCTCAGAAACACCTTCGTGATGTTTGCAATCAAGTCACAGAGTTGAACCTTCCGTTTCATAGAGCAGGTTGGAAACACTCTTTTTGTAGTATCTGGAAGTGGACATTTGGAGCGCTTTGTAGCCTATCTGGAAAAAGGAAATATCTTCCCATGAATGCGAGATAGAAGTAATCTCAGAAACATGTTTATGCTGTATCTACTCAACTAACTGTGCTGAACATTTCTATTGATAGAGCAGTTTTGAGACACTCTTCTTTTGGAATCTGCAAGTGGATATTTGGATAGATTTGAGGATTTCGTTGGAAACGGGATTATATATAAAAAGTAGACAGCAGCATTCTCAGAAACTTCTTTGTGATGTTTGCATCCAGCTCTCAGAGTTGAACATTCCCTTTCATAGAGTAGGTTTGAAACCCTCTTTTTATAGTGTCTGGAAGCGGGCATTTGGAGCGCTTTCAGGCCTATGCTTAAAATAGGAAATATCTACCTACAGAAACTAGACAGAAGCATTCTGAGAATCACGTTTGTGATGTGGGTACTCAACTAACAGTGTTGATCCATTCTTTTGATACAGCAGTTTTGAACCACACTTTTTGTAGAATCTGCAAGAGGATATTTGGATAGCTGTGAGGATTTCGTTGGAAACGGGAATGTCTTCAAAGAAAATCTAGACAGAAGCATTCTCAGAAACACCTTCGTGATGTTTGCAATCAAGTCACAGAGTTGAACCTTCCGTTTCATAGAGCAGGTTGGAAACACTCTTATTGTAGTATCTGGAAGTGGACATTTGGAGCGCTTTCAGGCCTATGGTGAAAAAGGAAATATCTTCCCATAAAAACGACATAGAAGCTATCTCAGGAACTTGTTTATGATGCATCTAATCAACTAACAGTGTTGAACCTTTGTACTGACAGAGCAGTTTGAAACACTCTTTTTTTGGAATCTGCAAGTGGATATTTGGATCGCTTTGAGGATTTCGTTGGAAACGGGATGCAATATAAAACGTACACAGCAGCATACTCAGAAAATACTTTGCCATATTTCCATTCAAGTCACAGAGTGGAACATTCCCATTCATAGAGCAGGTTGGAAACACTCTTTTTGGAGTATCTGGAAGTGGACATTTGGAGCGCTTTCTGAACTATGGTGAAAAAGGAAATATCTTCCAATGAAAACAAGACAGAAGCATTCTGAGAAACTTATTTGTGATGTGTGTCCTCAACAAACGGACTTGAACCTTTCGTTTCATGCAGTACTTCTGGAACACTCTTTTTGAAGATTCTGCATGCGGATATTTGGATAGCTTTGAGGATTTCGTTGGAAACGGGCTTACATGTAAAAATTAGACAGCAGCATTCTCAGAAACTTCTTTGTGGTGTCTGCATTCAAGTCACAGAATTGAACTTCCCCTCACATAGAGCAGTTGTGCAGCACTCTATTTGTAGTATCTGGAAGTGGACATTTGGAGGGCTTTGTAGCCTATCTGGAAAAGGAAATATCTTCCCATGAATGCGAGATAGAAGTAATCTCAGAAACATGTTTATGCTGTATCTACTCAACTAACTGTGCTGAACATTTCTATTGATAGAGCAGTTTTGAGACCCTCTTCTTTTGGAATCTGCAAGTGGATATTTGGATAGATTTGAGGATTTCGTTGGAAACGGGATTATATATAAAAAGTAGACAGCAGCATTCTCAGAAACTTCTTTGTGATGTTTGCATCCAGCTCTCAGAGTTGAACATTCCCTTTCATAGAGTAGGTTTGAAACCCTCTTTTTATAGTGTCTGGAAGCGGGCATTTGGAGCGCTTTCAGGCCTATGCTGAAAAAGGAAATATCTACATATAGAAACTAGACAGAAGCATTCTGAGAATCAAGTTTGTGATGTGGGTACTCAACTAACAGTGTTGATCCATTCTTTTGATACAGCAGTTTTGAACCACACTTTTTGTAGAATCTGCAAGTGGATATTTGGATAGCTGTGAGGATTTCGTTGGAAACGGGAATGTCTTCATAGAAAATTTAGACAGAAGCATTCTCAGAACCTTGATTGTGATGTGTGTTCTCCACTAACAGAGTTGAACCTTTCTTTTGACAGAACTGTTCTGAAACATTCTTTTTATAGAATCTGGAAGTGGATATTTGGAAAGCTTTGAGGATTTCGTTGGAAACGGGAATATCTTCAAATAAAATCTAGCCAGAAGCATTCTAAGAAACATCTTAGGGATGTTTACATTCAAGTCACAGCGTTGAACATTCCCTTTCACAGAGCAGGTTTGAAACAATCTTCTCGTACTATCTGGCAGTGGACATTTTGAGCTCTTTGGGGCCTATGCTGAAAAAGGAAATATCTTCCGACAAAAACTAGTCAGAAGCATTCGCAGAATCCCGTTTGTGATGTGTGCACTCAACTGTCAGAATTGAACCTTGGTTTGGAGAGAGCACTTTTGAAACACACTTTTTGTAGAATCTGCAGGTGGATATTTGGCTAGCTTTGAGGATTTCGTTGGAAACGGTAATGTCTTCAAAGAAAATCTAGACAGAAGCATTCTCAGAAACACCTTCGTGATGTTTGCAATCAAGTCACAGAGTTGAACCTTCCGTTTCATAGAGCAGGTTGGAAACACACTTTTTGTAGTATCTGGAAGTGGACATTTGGAGGGCTTTGTAGCCTATCTGGAAAAAGGAAATATCTTCCCATGAATGCGAGATAGAAGTAATCTCAGAAACATGTTTATGCTGTATCTACTCAACTAACTGTGCTGAACATTTCTATTGATAGAGCAGTTTTGAGACACTCTTCTTTTGGAATCTGCAAGTGGATATTTGGATAGATTTGAGGATTTCGTTGGAAACGGGATTATATATAAAAAGTAGACAGCAGCATTCTCAGAAACTTCTTTGTGATGTTTGCATCCAGCTCTCAGAGTTGAACATTCCCTTTCATAGAGTAGGTTTGAAACCCTCTTTTTATAGTGTCTAGAAGCGGGCATTTGGAGCGCTTACAGGCCTATGCTTAAAATAGGAAATATCCACCTACAGAAACTAGACAGAAGCATTCTGAGAATCACGTTTGTGATGTGGGTACTCAACTAACAGTGTTGATCCATTCTTTTGATACAGCAGTTTTGAACCACACTTTTTGTAGAATCTGCAAGTGGATATTTGGATAGCTGTGAGGATTTCGTTGGAAACGGGAATGTCTTCTTAGAAAACTTAGACAGAAGCATTCTCAGAACCTTGATTGTGATGTGTGTTCTCCACTAACAGAGTTGAACCTTTCTTTTGACAGAACTGTTCTGAAACATTCTTTTTATAGAATCTGAAAGTGGATATTTGGAAAGCTTTGAGGATTTCGTTGGAAACGGGAATATCTTCAAATCAAATCTAGCCAGAAGCATTCTAAGAAACATCTTAGGGATGTTTACATTCAAGTCACAGAGTTGAACATTCCCTTTCACAGAGCAGGTTTGAAACAATCTTCTCGTACTATCTGGCAGTGGACATTTTGAGCTCCTTGGGGCCTATGCTGAAAATTGAAATATCTTCCAACAAAAACTAGACAGAAGCATTCGCAGAATCACGTTTGTGATGTGTGCACTCAACTGTCAGAATTGAACCTTGGTTTGGACAGAGCACTTTTGAAACACTCTTTTTGTAGAATCTGCAGGTGGATATTTGGCTAGCTTTGAGGATTTCGTTGGAAACGGTAATGTCTTCAAAGAAAATCTAGACAGAAGCATTCTCAGAAACAGCGTCGTGATGTTTGCAATCAAGTCACAGAGTTGAACCTTCCGTTTCATAGAGCAGGTTGGAAACACTCTTTTTGTAGTATCTGGAAGTGGACATTTGGAGGGCTTTGTAGCCTATCTGGAAAAAGGAAATATCTTCCCATGAATGCGAGATAGAAGTAATCTCAGAAACATGTTTATGCTGTATCTACTCAACTAACTGTGCTGAACATTTCTATTGATAGAGCAGTTTTGAGACACTCTTCTTTTGGAATCTGCAAGTGGATATTTGGATAGATTTGAGGATTTTGTTGGAAATGGGATTATATATAAAAAGTAGACAGCCGCATTCTCAGAAACTTCTTTGTGATGTTTGCATCCAGCTCTCAGAGTTGAACATTCCCTTTCATAGAGTAGGTTTGAAACCCTCTTTTTATAGTGTCTGGAAGCGGGCATTTGGAGCGCTTTCAGGCCTATGCTGAAAAAGGAAATATCTACCTATAGAAACTAGACAGAAGCATTCTGAGAATCACGTTTGTGATGTGGGTACTCAACTAACAGTGTTGATCCATTCTTTTGATACAGCAGTTTTCAACCACACTTTTTGTAGAATCTGCAAGTGGATATTTGGATAGCTGTGAGGATTTCCTTGGAAACGGGAATGCCTCCATAGAAAATTTAGACAGAAGCATTCTCAGAACCTTGATTGTGATGTGTTTTTTCCACTAACAGAGTTGAACCTTTCTTTTGACAGAACTGTTCTGAAACATTCTTTTTATAGAATCTGGAAGTGGATATTTGGAAAGCTTTGAGGATTTCATTGGAAACGGGAATATCTTCAAATCAAATCTAGCCAGAAGCATTCTAAGAAACATCTTAGGGATGTTTACATTCAAGTCACAGAGTTGAACATTCCCTTTCACAGAGCAGGTTTGAAACAATCTTCTCGTACTATCTGGCAGTGGACATTTTGAGCTCCTTTGGGCCTATGCTGAAAAAGGAAATATCTTCCGACAAAAACTAGACAGAAGCATTCGCAGAATCACGTTTGTGATGTGTGCACTCAACTGTCAGAATTGAACCTTTGTTTGGACAGAGCACTTTTGAAACACTCTTTTTGTAGAATCTGCAGGTGGATATTTGGCTAGCTTTGAGGATTTCGTTGGAAACGGTAATGTCTTCAAAGAAAATCTAGACAGAAACATTCTCAGAAACACCTTCGTGATGTTTGCAATCAAGTCACAGAGTTGAACCTTCCGTTTCATAGAGCAGGTTGGAAACACTCTTTTTGTAGTATCTGGAAGTGGACATTTGGAGCGCTTTCAGGCCTATGGTGAAAAAGGAAATATCTTCCCATAAAAACGACATAGAAGCTATCTCAGGAACTTGTTTATGATGCATCCAATCAACTAACAGTGTTGAACCTTTGTACTGACAGAGCAGTGTGAAACACTCTTTTTTTTGGAATCTGCAAGTGGATATTTGGATCGCTTTGAGGATTTCGTTGGAAACGGGATGCAATATAAAACGTACACAGCAGCATACTCAGAAAATACTTTGCCATATTTCCATTCAAGTCACAGAGTGGAACATTCCCATTCATAGAGCAGCTTGGAAACACTCTTTTTGTAGTATCTGGAAGTGGACATTTGGAGCGCTTTCTGAACTATGGTGAAAAAGGAAATATCTTCCAATGAAAACAAGACAGAAGCATTCTGAGAAACTTATTTGTGATGTGTGTCCTCAACTAACGGACTTGAACCTTTCGTTTCATGCAGTACTTCTGGAACACTCTTTTTGAAGATTCTGCATGCGGATATTTGGATAGCTTTGAGGATTTCGTTGGAAACGGGCTTACATATAAAAATCAGACAGCAGCATTCTCAGAAACTTCTTTGTGGTGTCTGCATTCAAGTCACAGAATTGAACATCCCCTCACATAGAGCAGCTGTGCAGCACTCTATTTGTAGTATCTCGAAGTGGACATTTGGAGGGCTTTGTAGCCTATCTGGAAAAAGGAAATATCTTCCCATGAATGCGAGATAGAAGTAATCTCAGAAACATGATTATGCTGTATCTACTCAACTAACTGTGCTGAACATTTCTATTGATAGAGCAGTTTTGAGACACTCTCCTGTTGGAATCTGCAAGTGGATATTTCGATAGATTTGAGGATTTCCTTGGAAACGGGATTATATATCAAAAGTAGACAGCAGCATTCTCAGAAACTTCTTTGTGAGGTTTGCATCCAGCTCTCAGAGTTGAACATTCCCTTTCGTGGAGTGGGTTTGAAACCCTCTTTTTATAGTGTCTGGAAGCGGGCATTTGGAGCGCTTTCAGGCCTATGCTGAAAAAGGAAATATCTACCTATAGAAACTAGACAGAAGCATTCTGAGAATCACGTTTGTGATGTGGGTACTCAACTAACAGTGTTGATCCATTCTTTTGATACAGCAGTTTTGAACCACACTTTTTGTAGAATCTGCAAGAGGATATTTGGATAGCTGTGAGGATTTCGTTGGAAACGGGAATGTCTTCAAAGAAAATCTAGACAGAAGCATTCTCAGAAACACCTTCGTGATGTTTGCAATCAAGTCACAGAGTTGAACCTTCCGTTTCATAGAGCAGGTTGGAAACACTCTTATTGTAGTATCTGGAAGTGGACATTTGGAGCGCTTTCAGGCCTATGGTGAAAAAGGAAATATCTTCCCATAAAAACGACATAGAAGCTATCTCAGGAACTTGTTTATGATGCATCTAATCAACTAACAGTGTTGAACCTTTGTACTGACAGAGCAGTTTGAAACACTCTTTTTTTGGAATCTGCAAGTGGATATTTGGATCGCTTTGAGGATTTCGTTGGAAACGGGATGCAATATAAAACGTACACAGCAGCATACTCAGAAAATACTTTGCCATATTTCCATTCAAGTCACAGAGTGGAACATTCCCATTCATAGAGCAGGTTTGAAACACTCTTTTTGGAGTATCTGGAAGTGGACATTTGGAGCGCTTTCTGAACTATGGTGAAAAAGGAAATATCTTCCAATGAAAACAAGACAGAAGCATTCTGAGAAACTTATTTGTGATGTGTGTCCTCAACAAACGGACTTGAACCTTTCGTTTCATGCAGTACTTCTGGAACACTCTTTTTGAAGATTCTGCATGCGGATATTTGGATAGCTTTGAGGATTTCGTTGGAAACGGGCTTACATGTAAAAATTAGACAGCAGCATTCTCAGAAACTTCTTTGTGGTGTCTGCATTCAAGTCACAGAATTGAACTTCCCCTCACATAGAGCAGTTGTGCAGCACTCTATTTGTAGTATCTCGAAGTGGACATTTGGAGGGCTTTGTAGCCTATCTGGAAAAAGGAAATATCTTCCCATGAATGCGAGATAGAAGTAATCTCAGAAACATGTTTATGCTGTATCTACTCAACTAACTGTGCTGAACATTTCTATTGATAGAGCAGTTTTGAGACACTCTTCTTTTGGAATCTGCAAGTGGATATTTGGATAGATTTGAGGATTTCGTTGGAAACGGGATTATATATAAAAAGTAGACAGCAGCATTCTCAGAAACTTCTTTGTGATGTTTGCATCCAGCTCTCAGAGTTGAACATTCCCTTTCATAGAGTAGGTTTGAAACCCTCTTTTTATAGTGTCTGGAAGCGGGCATTTGGAGCGCTTTCAGGCCTATGCTTAAAATAGGAAATATCTACCTACAGAAACTAGACAGAAGCATTCTGAGAATCACGTTTGTGATGTGGGTACTCAACTAACAGTGTTGATCCATTCTTTTGATACAGCAGTTTTGAACCACACTTTTTGTAGAATCTGCAAGAGGATATTTGGATAGCTGTGAGGATTTCGTTGGAAACGGGAATGTCTTCAAAGAAAATCTAGACAGAAGCATTCTCAGAAACACCTTCGTGATGTTTGCAATCAAGTCACAGAGTTGAACCTTCCGTTTCATAGAGCAGGTTGGAAACACTCTTATTGTAGTATCTGGAAGTGGACATTTGGAGCGCTTTCAGGCCTATGGTGAAAAAGGAAATATCTTCCCATAAAAACGACATAGAAGCTATCTCAGGAACTTTTTTATGATGCATCTAATCAACTAACAGTGTTGAACCTTTGTACTGACAGAGCAGTTTGAAACACTCTTTTTTTGGAATCTGCAAGTGGATATTTGGATCGCTTTGAGGATTTCGTTGGAAACGGGATGCAATATAAAACGTACACAGCAGCATACTCAGAAAATACTTTGCCATATTTCCATTCAAGTCACAGAGTGGAACATTCCCATTCATAGAGCAGGTTGGAAACACTCTTTTTGGAGTATCTGGAAGTGGACATTTGGAGCGCTTTCTGAACTATGGTGAAAAAGGAAATATCTTCCAATGAAAACAACACAGAAGCATTCTGAGAAACTTATTTGTGATGTGTGTCCTCAACAAACGGACTTGAACCTTTCGTTTCATGCAGTACTTCTGGAACACTCTTTTTGAAGATTCTGCATGCGGATATTTGGATAGCTTTGAGGATTTCGTTGGAAACGGGCTTACATGTAAAAATTAGACAGCAGCATTCTCAGAAACTTCTTTGTGGTGTCTGCATTCAAGTCACAGAATTGAACTTCCCCTCACATAGAGCAGTTGTGCAGCACTCTATTTGTAGTATCTCGAAGTGGACATTTGGAGGGCTTTGTAGCCTATCTGGAAAAAGGAAATATCTTCCCATGAATGCGAGATAGAAGTAATCTCAGAAACATGTTTATGCTGTATCTACTCAACTAACTGTGCTGAACATTTCTATTGATAGAGCAGTTTTGAGACACTCTTCTTTTGGAATCTGCAAGTGGATATTTGGATAGATTTGAGGATTTCGTTGGAAACGGGATTATATATCAAAAGTAGACAGCAGCATTCTCAGAAACTTCTTTGTGATGTTTGCATCCAGCTCTCAGAGTTGAACATTCCCTTTCATAGAGTAGGTTTGAAACCCTCTTTTTATAGTGTCTGGAAGCGGGCATTTGGAGCGCTTTCAGGCCTATGCTGAAAAAGGAAATATCTACCTATAGAAACTAGACAGAAGCATTCTGAGAATCACGTTGGTGATGTGGGTACTCAACTAACAGTGTTGATCCATTCTTTTGATACAGCAGTTTTGAACCACACTTTTTGTAGAATCTGCAAGTGGATACTTGGATAGCTGTGAGGATTTCGTTGGAAACGGGAATGTCTTCATAGAAAATTTAGACAGGAAAGCATTCTCAGAACCTTGATTGTGATGTGTGTTCTCCACTAACAGAGTTGAACCTTTCTTTTGACAGAACTGTTCTGAAACATTCTTTTTATAGAATCTGGAAGTGGATATTTGGAAAGCTTTGAGGATTTCGTTGGAAACGGGAATATCTTCAAATCAAATCTAGCCAGAAGCATTCTAAGAAACATCTTAGGGATGTTTACATTCAAGTCACAGAGTTGAACATTCCCCTTTCTCAGAGCAGGTTTGAAACAATCTTCTCGTACTATCTGGCAGTGGACATTTTGAGCTCCTTGGGGCCTATGCTGAAAAAGGAAATATCTTCCGACAAAAACTAGACAGAAGCATTTGCAGAATCACGTTTGTGATGTGTGCACTCAACTGTCAGAATTGAACCTTGGTTTGGACAGAGCACTTTTGAAACACTCTTTTTGTAGAATCTGCAGGTGGATATTTGGCTAGCTTTGAGGATTTCGTTGGAAACGGTAATGTCTTCAAAGAAAATCTAGACAGAAACATCCTCAGAAACACCTTCGTGATGTTTGCAATCAAGTCACAGAGTTGAACCTTCCGTTTCATAGAGCAGGTTGGAAACACTCATTTTGTAGTATCTGGAAGTGGACATTTGGAGCGCTTTCAGGCCTATGGTGTAAAAGGAAATATCTTCCCATAAAAGCGACATAGAAGCTATCTCAGGAACTTGTTTATGATGCATCTAATCAACTAACAGTGTTGAACCTTTGTACTGACAGAGCAGTTTGAAACACTCTTTTTTTGGAATCTGCAAGTGGATATTTGGATCGCTTTGAGGATTTCGTTGGAAACGGGATGCAATATAAAACGTACACAGCAGCATACTCAGAAAATACTTTGCCATATTTCCATTCAAGTCACAGAGTGGAACATTCCCATTCATAGAGCAGGTTTGAAACACTCTTTTTGGAGTATCTGGAAGTGGACATTTGGAGCGCTTTCTGAACTATGGTGAAAAAGGAAATATCTTCCAATGAAAACAAGACAGAAGCATTCTGAGAAACTTATTTGTGATGCGTGTCCTCAACTAAAGGACTCGAACCTTTCGTTTCATGCAGTACTTCTGGAACACTCTTTTTGAAGATTCTGCATGCGGATATTTGGTTAGCTGTGAGGATTTCGTTGGAAACGAGCTTACATATAAAAATTAGACAGCAGCATTCTCAGAAACTTCTTTGTGGTGTCTGCATTCAAGTCACAGAATTGAACTTCCCCTCACATAGAGCAGTTGTGCAGCACTCTATTTGTAGTATCTGGAAGTGGACATTTGGAGGGCTTTGTAGCCTATCTGGAAAAAGGAAATATCTTCCCATGAATGCGAGATAGAAGTAATCTCAGAAACATGTTTATGCTGTATCTACTCAACTAACTGTGCTGAACATTTCTATTGATAGAGCAGTTTTGAGACACTCTTCTTTTGGAATCCGCAAGTGGATATTTGGATAGATTTGAGGATTTCGTTGGAAACGGGATTATATATAAAAAGTAGACAGCAGCATTCTCAGAAACTTCTTTGTGATGTTTGCATCCAGCTCTCAGAGTTGAACATTCCCTTTCATAGAGTAGGTTTGAAACCCTCTTTTTATAGTGTCTGGAAGCGGGCATTTTGAGCGCTTTCAGGCCTATGCTTAAAATAGGAAATATCTACCTACAGAAACTAGACAGAAGCATTCTGAGAATCACGTTTGTGATGTGGGTACTCAACTAACAGTGTTGATCCATTCTTTTGATACAGCAGTTTTGAACCACACTTTTTGTAGAATCTGCAAGAGGATATTTGGATAGCTGTGAGGATTTCGTTGGAAACGGGAATGTCTTCAAAGAAAATCTAGACAGAAGCATTCTCAGAAACACCTTCGTGATGTTTGCAATCAAGTCACAGAGTTGAACCTTCCGTTTCATAGAGCAGGTTGGAAACACTCTTATTGTAGTATCTGGAAGGGGACATTTGGAGCGCTTTCAGGCCTATGGTGAAAAAGGAAATATCTTCCCATAAAAACGACATAGAAGCTGTCTCAGGAACTTGTTTATGATGCATCTAATCAACTAACAGTGTTGAACCTTTGTACTGACAGAGCAGTTTGAAACACTCTTTTTTTGGAATCTGCAAGTGGATATTTGGATCGCTTTGAGGATTTCGTTGGAAACGGGATGCAATATAAAACGTACACAGCAGCATACTCAGAAAATACTTTGCCATATTTCCATTCAAGTCACAGAGTGGAACATTCCCATTCATAGAGCAGGTTTGAAACACTCTTTTTGGAGTATCTGGAAGTGGACATTTGGAGCGCTTTCTGAACTATGGTGAAAAAGGAAATATCTTCCAATGAAAACAAGACAGAAGCATTCTGAGAAACTTATTTGTGATGTGTGTCCTCAACAAACGGACTTGAACCTTTCGTTTCATGCAGTACTTCTGGAACACTCTTTTTGAAGATTCTGCATGCGGATATTTGGATAGCTTTGAGGATTTCGTTGGAAACGGGCTTACATGTAAAAATTAGACAGCAGCATTCTCAGAAACTTCTTTGTGGTGTCTGCATTCAAGTCACAGAATTGAACTTCCCCTCACATAGAGCAGTTGTGCAGCACTCTATTTGTAGTATCTGGAAGTGGACATTTGGAGGGCTTTGTAGCCTATCTGGAAAAAGGAAATATCTTCCCATGAATGCGAGATAGAAGTAATCTCAGAAACATGTTTATGCTGTATCTACTCAACTAACTGTGCTGAACATTTCTATTGATAGAGCAGTTTTGAGACACTCTTCTTTTGGAATCTGCAAGTGGATATTTGGATAGATTTGAGGATTTCGTTGGAAACGGGATTATATATAAAAAGTAGACAGCAGCATTCTCAGAAACTTCTTTGTGATGTTTGCATCCAGCTCTCAGAGTTGAACATTCCCTTTCATAGAGTAGGTTTGAAACCCTCTTTTTATAGTGTCTGGAAGCGGGCATTTGGAGCGCTTTCAGGCCTATGCTGAAAAAGGAAATATCTACCTATAGAAACTAGAGAGAAGCATTCTGAGAATCTCGTTTGTGATGTGGGTACTCAACTAACAGTGTTGATCCATTCGTTTGATACAGCAGTTTTGAACCACACTTTTTGTAGAATCTGCAAGAGGATATTTGGATAGCTGTGAGGATTTCGTTGGAAACGGGAATGTCTTCAAAGAAAATCTAGACAGAAACATTCTCAGAAACACCTTCGTGATGTTTGCAATCAAGTCACAGAGTTGAACCTTCCGTTTCATAGAGCAGGTTGGAAACACTCTTATTGTAGTATCTGGAAGTGGACATTTGGAGCGCTTTCAGGCCTATGGTGAAAAAGGAAATATCTTCCCATAAAAACAACATAGAAGCTATCTCAGGAACTTGTTTATGAGGCATCTAATCAACTAACAGTGTTGAACCTTTGTACTGACAGAGCAGTTTGAAACACTCTTTTTTTGGAATCTGCAAGTGGATATTTGGATCGCTTTGAGGATTTCGTTGGAAACGGGATGCAATATAAAACGTACACAGCAGCATACTCAGAAAATTCTTTGCCATATTTCCATTCAAGTCACAGAGTGGAACATTCCCATTCATAGAGCAGGTTGGAAACACTCTTTTTGGAGTATCTGGAAGTGGACATTTGGAGCGCTTTCTGAACTATGGTGAAAAAGGAAATATCTTCCAATGAAAACAAGACAGAAGCATTCTGAGAAACTTATTTGTGATGTGTGTCCTCAACAAACGGACTTGAACCTTTCGTTTCATGCAGTACTTCTGGAACACTCTTTTTGAAGATTCTGCATGCGGATATTTGGATAGCTTTGAGGATTTCGTTGGAAACGGGCTTACATGTAAAAATTAGACAGCAGCATTCTCAGAAACTTCTTTGTGGTGTCTGCATTCAAGTCACAGAATTGAACATCCCCTCACATAGAGCAGTTGTGCAGCACTCTATTTGTAGTATCTGGAAGTGGACATTTGGAGGGCTTTGTAGCCTATGTGGAAAAAGGAAATATCTTCCCATGAATGCGAGATAGAAGTAATCTCAGAAACATGTTTATGCTGTATCTACTCAACTAACTGTGCTGAACATTTCTATTGATAGAGCAGTTTTGAGACACTCTTCTTTTGGAATCTGCAAGTGGATATTTGGATAGATTTGAGGATTTCGTTGGAAACGGGATTATATATAAAAAGTAGACAGCAGCATTCTCAGAAACTTCTTTGTGATGTTTGCATCCAGCTCTCAGAGTTGAACATTCCCTTTCATAGAGTAGGTTTGAAACCCTCTTTTTATAGTGTCTGGAAGCGGGCATTTGGAGCGCTTTCAGGCCTATGCTGAAAAAGGAAATATCTACCTATAGAAACTAGACAGAAGCATTCTGAGAATCACGTTTGTGATGTGGGTACTCAACTAACAGTGTTGATCCATTCTTTTGATACAGCAGTTTTGAACCACACTTTTTGTAGAATCTGCAAGTGGATATTTGGATAGCTGTGAGGATTTCGTTGGAAACGGGAATGTCTTCATAGAAAATTTAGACAGAAGCATTCTCAGAACCTTGATTGTGATGTGTGTTCTCCACTAACAGAGTTGAACCTTTCTTTTGACAGAACTGTTCTGAAACATTCTTTTTATAGAATCTGGAAGTGGATATTTGGAAAGCTTTGAGGATTTCGTTGGAAACGGGAATATCTTCAAATAAAATCTAGCCAGAAGCATTCTAAGAAACATCTTAGGGATGTTTACATTCAAGTCACAGAGTTGAACATTCCCTTTCACAGAGCAGGTTTGAAACAATCTTCTCGTACTATCTGGCAGTGGACATTTTGAGCTCTTTGGGGCCTATGCTGAAAAAGGAAATATCTTCCGACAAAAACTAGTCAGAAGCATTCGCAGAATCCCGTTTGTGATGTGTGCACTCAACTGTCAGAATTGAACCTTGGTTTGGAGAGAGCACTTTTGAAACACACTTTTTGTAGAATCTGCAGGTGGATATTTGGCTAGCTTTGAGGATTTCGTTGGAAACGGTAATGTCTTCAAAGAAAATCTAGACAGAAGCATTCTCAGAAACACCTTCGTGATGTTTGCAATCAAGTCACAGAGTTGAACCTTCCGTTTCATAGAGCAGGTTGGAAACACACTTTTTGTAGTATCTGGAAGTGGACATTTGGAGGGCTTTGTAGCCTATCTGGAAAAAGGAAATATCTTCCCATGAATGCGAGATAGATGTAATCTCAGAAACATGTTTATGCTGTATCTACTCAACTAACTGTGCTGAACATTTCTATTGATAGAGCAGTTTTGAGACACTCTTCTTTTGGAATCTGCAAGTGGATATTTGGATAGATTTGAGGATTTCGTTGGAAACGGGATTATATATAAAAAGTAGACAGCAGCATTCTCAGAAACTTCTTTGTGATGTTTGCATCCAGCTCTCAGAGTTGAACATTCCCTTTCATAGAGTAGGTTTGAAACCCTCTTTTTATAGTGTCTGGAAGCGGGCATTTGGAGCGCTTTCAGGCCTATGCTGAAAAAGGAAATATCTACCTATAGAAACTAGACAGAAGCATTCTGAGAATCACGTTTGTGATGTGGGTACTCAACTAACAGTGTTGATCCATTCTTTTGATACAGCAGTTTTGAACCACACTTTTTGTAGAATCTGCAAGTGGATATTTGGATAGCTGTGAGGATTTCGTTGGAAACGGGAATGTCTTCATAGAAAATTTAGACAGAAGCATTCTCAGAACCTTGATTGTGATGTGTGTTCTCCACTAACAGAGTTGAACCTTTCTTTTGACAGAACTGTTCTGAAACATTCTTTTTGTAGAATCTGGAAGTGGATATTTGGAAAGCTTTGAGGATTTCGTTGGAAACGGGAATATCTTCAAATAAAATCTAGCCAGAAGCATTCTAAGAAACATCTTAGGGATGTTTACATTCAAGTCACAGAGTTGAACATTCCCTTTCACAGAGCAGGTTTGAAACAATCTTCTCGTACTATCTGGCAGTGGACATTTTGAGCTCCTTGGGGCCTATGCTGAAAAAGGAAATATCTTCCGACAAAAACTAGACAGAAGCATTCGCAGAATCACGTTTGTGATGTGTGCACTCAACTGTCAGAATTGAACCTTGGTTTGGACAGAGCACTTTTGAAACACTCTTTTTGTAGAATCTGCAGGTGGATATTTGGCTAGCTTTGAGGATTTCGTTGGAAACGGTAATGTCTTCAAAGAAAATCTAGACAGAAGCATTCTCAGAAACACCTTCGTGATGTTTGCAATCAAGTCACAGAGTTGAACCTTCCGTTTCATAGAGCAGGTTGGAAACACTCTTTTTGTAGTATCTGGAAGTGGACATTTGGAGGGCTTTGTAGCCTATCTGGAAAAAGGAAATATCTTCCCATGAATGCGAGATAGAAGTAATCTCAGAAACATGTTTATGCTGTATCTACTCAACTAACTGTGCTGAACATTTCTATTGATAGAGCAGTTTTGAGACACTCTTCTTTTGGAATCTGCAAGTGGATATTTGGATAGATTTGAGGATTTCGTTGGAAACGGGATTATATATCAAAAGTAGACAGCAGCATTCTCAGAAACTTCTTTGTGATGTTTGCATCCAGCTCTCAGAGTTGAACATTCCCTTTCATAGAGTAGGTTTGAAACCCTCTTTTTATAGTGTCTGGAAGCGGGCATTTGGAGCGCTTTCAGGCCTATGCTGAAAAAGGAAATATCTACCTACAGAAACTAGACAGAAGCATTCTGAGAATCACGTTTGTGATGTGGGTACTCAACTAACAGTGTTGATCCATTCTTTTGATACAGCAGTTTTGAACCACACTTTTTGTAGAATCTGCAAGTGGATATTTGGATAGCTGTGAGGATTTCGTTGGAAACGGGAATGTCTTCATAGAAAATTTAGACAGAAGCATTCTCAGAACCTTGATTGTGATGTGTGTTCTCCACTAACAGAGTTGAACCTTTCTTTTGACAGAACTGTTCTGAAACATTCTTTTTATAGAATCTGGAAGTGGATATTTGGAAAGCTTTGAGGATTTCGTTGGAAACGGGAATATCTTCAAATCAAATCTAGCCAGAAGCATTCTAAGAAACATCTTAGGGATGTTTACATTCAAGTCACAGAGTTGAACATTCCCTTTCACAGAGCAGGTTTGAAACAATCTTCTCGTACTATCTGGCAGTGGACATTTTGAGCTCCTTGGGGCCTATGCTGAAAAAGGAAATATCTTCCGACAAAAACTAGACAGAAGCATTCGCAGAATCACGTTTGTGATGTGTGCACTCAACTGTCAGAATTGAACCTTGGTTTGGACAGAGCACTTTTGAAACACTCTTTTTGTAGAATCTGCAGGTGGATATTTGGCTAGCTTTGAGGATTTCGTTGGAAACGGTAATGTCTTCAAAGAAAATCTAGACAGAAACATTCTCAGAAACACCTTCGTGATGTTTGCAATCAAGTCACAGAGTTGAACCTTCCGTTTCATAGAGCAGGTTGGAAACACTCTTTTTGTAGTATCTGGAAGTGGACATTTGGAGCGCTTTCAGGCCTATGGTGAAAAAGGAAATATCTTCCCATAAAAACGACATAGAAGCTATCTCAGGAACTTGTTTATGATGCATCCAATCAACTAACAGTGTTGAACCTTTGTACTGACAGAGCAGTTTGAAACACTCTTTTTTTGGAATCTGCAAGTGGATATTTGTATCGCTTTGAGAATTTCGTTGGAAACGGGATTACATATAAAAAGTAGACAGCAGCATTCTCAGAAACTTCCTTACGATGTTTGCATTCAAGTCACAGACTGGAACATTCCCGTTCATAGAGCAGGTTGGAAACACTCTTTTTGTAGCATCTGGAAGTGGACATTTGGAGCGCCTTCTTGCCTGTGGTGAAAAAGGAAATATCTTCCCATAAAAACAAGATAGAGAAGCATTCTGAGAAACTTATTTGTGATGTGTGTCCTCAACTAACGGACTTGAACCTTTCGTTTCATGCAGTACTTCTGGAACACTCTTTTTGAAGATTCTGCATGCGGATATTTGGATAGCTTTGAGGATTTCGTTGGAAACGGGCTTACATATAAAAATTAGACAGCAGCATTCTCAGAAACTTCCTTACGATGTTTGCATTCAAGTCACAGACTGGAACATTCCCGTTCATAGAGCAGGTTGGAAACACTCTTTTTGTAGCATCTGGAAGTGGACATTTGGAGCGCCTTCTTGCCTGTGGTGAAAAAGGAAATATCTTCCCATAAAAACAAGATAGAAGCTATCTCAGGAACTTGTTTATGATGCATCTAATCAACTAACAGTGTTGAACCTTTGTACTGACAGAGCAGTTTGAAACACTCTTTTTTTGGAATCTGCAAGTGGATATTTGGATCGCTTTGAGGATTTCGTTGGAAACGGGATGCAATATAAAACGTACACAGCAGCATACTCAGAAAATACTTTGCCATATTTCCATTCAAGTCACAGAGTGGAACATTCCCATTCATAGAGCAGGTTGGAAACACTCTTTTTGGAGTATCTGGAAGTGGACATTTGGAGCGCTTTCTGAACTATGGTGAAAAAGGAAATATCTTCCAATGAAAACAAGACAGAAGCATTCTGAGAAACTTATTTGTGATGTGTGTCCTCAACAAACGGACTTGAACCTTTCGTTTCATGCAGTACTTCTGGAACACTCTTTTTGAAGATTCTGCATGCGGATATTTGGATAGCTTTGAGGATTTCGTTGGAAACGGGCTTACATGTAAAAATTAGACAGCAGCATTCTCAGAAACTTCTTTGTGGTGTCTGCATTCAAGTCACAGAATTGAACTTCCCCTCACATAGAGCAGTTGTGCAGCACTCTATTTGTAGTATCTGGAAGTGGACATTTGGAGGGCTTTGTAGCCTATCTGGAAAAAGGAAATATCTTCCCATGAATGCGAGATAGAAGTAATCTCAGAAACATGTTTATGCTGTATCTACTCAACTAACTGTGCTGAACATTTCTATTGATAGAGCAGTTTTGAGACCCTCTTCTTTTGGAATCTGCAAGTGGATATTTGGATAGATTTGAGGATTTCGTTGGAAACGGGATTATATATAAAAAGTAGACAGCAGCATTCTCAGAAACTTCTTTGTGATGTTTGCATCCAGCTCTCAGAGTTGAACATTCCCTTTCATAGAGTAGGTTTGAAACCCTCTTTTTATAGTGTCTGGAAGCGGGCATTTGGAGCGCTTTCAGGCCTATGCTGAAAAAGGAGATATCTACCTATAGAAACTAGACAGAAGCATTCTGAGAATCACGTTTGTGATGTGGGTACTCAACTAACAGTGTTGATCCATTCTTTTGATACAGCAGTTTTGAACCACACTTTTTGTAGAATCTGCAAGTGGATATTTGGATAGCTGTGAGGATTTCATTGGAAACGGGAATGTCTTCATAGAAAATTTAGACAGAAGCATTCTCAGAACCTTGAATAGTGATGTGTGTTCTCCACTAACAGAGTTGAACCTTTCTTTTGACAGAACTGTTCTGAAACATTCTTTTTATAGAATCTGGAAGTGGATATTTGGAAAGCTTTGAGGATTTCGTTGGAAACGGGAATATCTTCAAATAAAATCTAGCCAGAAGCATTCTAAGAAACATCTTAGGGATGTTTACATTCAAGTCACAGAGTTGAACATTCCCTTTCACAGAGCAGGTTTGAAACAATCTTCTCGTACTATCTGGCAGTGGACATTTTGAGCTCCTTGGGGCCTATGCTGAAAAAGGAAATATCTTCCGACAAAAACTAGACAGAAGCATTCGCAGAATCACGTTTGTGATGTGTGCACTCAACTGTCAGAATTGAACCTTGGTTTGGACAGAGCACTTTTGAAACACTCTTTTTGTAGAATCTGCAGGTGGATATTTGGCTAGCTTTGAGGATTTCGTTGGAAACGGTAATGTCTTCAAAGAAAATCTAGACAGAAGCATTCTCAGAAACACCTTCGTGATGTTTGCAATCAAGTCACAGAGTTGAACCTTCCGTTTCATAGAGCAGGTTGGAAACACTCTTTTTGTAGTATCTGGAAGTGGACATTTGGAGGGCTTTGTAGCCTATCTGGAAAAAGGAAATATCTTCCCATGAATGCGAGATAGAAGTAATCTCAGAAACATGTTTATGCTGTATCTACTCAACTAACTGTGCTGAACATTTCTATTGATAGAGCAGTTTTGAGACACTCTTCTTTTGGAATCTGCAAGTGGATATTTGGATAGATTTGAGGATTTCGTTGGAAACGGGATTATATATAAAAAGTAGACAGCAGCATTCTCAGAAACTTCTTTGTGATGTTTGCATCCAGCTCTCAGAGTTGAACATTCCCTTTCATAGAGTAGGTTTGAAACCCTCTTTTTATAGTGTCTGGAAGCGGGCATTTGGAGCGCTTTCAGGCCTATGCTTAAAATAGGAAATATCTACCTACAGAAACTAGACAGAAGCATTCTGAGAATCACGTTTGTGATGTGGGTACTCAACTAACAGTGTTGATCCATTCTTTTGATAAAGCAGTTTTGAACCACACTTTTTGTAGAATCTGCAAGAGGATATTTGGATAGCTGTGAGGATTTCGTTGGAAACGGGAATGTCTTCAAAGAAAATCTAGACAGAAGCATTCTCAGAAACACCTTCGTGATGTTTGCAATCAAGTCACAGAGTTGAACCTTCCGTTTCATAGAGCAGGTTGGAAACACTCTTATTGTAGTATCTGGAAGTGGACATTTGGAGCGCTTTCAGGCCTATGGTGAAAAAGGAAATATCTTCCCATAAAAACGACATAGAAGCTATCTCAGGAAATTGTTTATGATGCATCTAATCAACTAACAGTGTTGAACCTTTGTACTGACAGAGCAGTTTGAAACACTCTTTTTTTGGAATCTGCAAGTGGATATTTGGATCACTTTGAGGATTTCGTTGGAAACGGGATGCAATATAAAACGTACACAGCAGCATACTCAGAAAATACTTTGCCATGTTTCCATTCAAGTCACAGAGTGGAACATTCCCATTCATAGAGCAGGTTGGAAACACTCTTTTTGGAGTATCTGGAAGTGGACATTTGGAGCGCTTTCTGAACTATGGTGAAAAAGGAAATATCTTCCAATGAAAACAAGACAGAAGCATTCTGAGAAACTTATTTGTGATGTGTGTCCTCAACAAACGGACTTGAACCTTTCGTTTCATGCAGTACTTCTGGAACACTCTTTTTGAAGATTCTGCATGCGGATATTTGGATAGCTTTGAGGATTTCGTTGGAAACGGGCTTACATGTAAAAATTAGACAGCAGCATTCTCAGAAACTTCTTTGTGGTGTCTGCATTCAAGTCACAGAATTGAACTTCCCCTCACATAGAGCAGTTGTGCAGCACTCTATTTGTAGTATCTGGAAGTGGACATTTGGAGGGCTTTGTAGCCTATCTGGAAAAAGGAAATATCTTCCCATGAATGCGAGATAGAAGTAATCTCAGAAACATGTTTATGCTGTATCTACTCAACTAACTGTGCTGAACATTTCTATTGATAGAGCAGTTTTGAGACACTCTTCTTTTGGAATCTGCAAGTGGATATTTGGATAGATTTGAGGATTTCGTTGGAAACGGGATTATATATAAAAAGTAGACAGCAGCATTCTCAGAAACTTCTTTGTGATGTTTGCATCCAGCTCTCAGAGTTGAACATTCCCTTTCATAGAGTAGGTTTGAAACCCTCTTTTTATAGTGTCTGGAAGCGGGCATTTGGAGCGCTTTCAGGCCTATGCTGAAAAAGGAAATATCTACCTATAGAAACTAGACAGAAGCATTCTGAGAATCACGTTTGTGATGTGGGTACTCAACTAACAGTGTTGATCCATTCTTTTGATACAGCAGTTTTGAACCACCCTTTTTGTAGAATCTGCAATTGGATATTTGGATAGCTGTGAGGATTTCGTTGGAAACGGGAATGTCTTCAGAGAAAATTTAGACAGAAGCATTCTCAGAACCTTGATTGTGATGTGTGTTCTCCACTAACAGAGTTGAACCTTTCTTTTGACAGAACTGTTCTGAAACATTCTTTTTATAGAATCTGGAAGTGGATATTTGGAAAGCTTTGAGGATTTCGTTGGAAACGGGAATATCTTCAAATAAAATCTAGCCAGAAGCATTCTAAGAAACATCTTAGGGATGTTTACATTCAAGTCACAGAGTTGAACATTCCCCTTTCTCAGAGCAGGTTTGAAACAATCTTCTCGTACTATCTGGCAGTGGACATTTTGAGCTCCTTGGGGCCTATGCTGAAAAAGGAAATATCTTCCGACAAAAACTAGACAGAAGCATTCGCAGAATCACGTTTGTGATGTGTGCACTCAACTGTCAGAATTGAACCTTGGTTTGGACAGAGCACTTTTGAAACACTCTTTTTGTAGAATCTGCAGGTGGATATTTGGCTAGCTTTGAGGATTTCGTTGGAAACGGTAATGTCTTCAAAGAAAATCTAGACAGAAACATCCTCAGAAACACCTTCGTGATGTTTGCAATCAAGTCACAGAGTTGAACCTTCCGTTTCATAGAGCAGGTTGGAAACACTCATTTTGTAGTATCTGGAATTGGACATTTGGAGCGATTTCAGGCCTATGGTGTAAAAGGAAATATCTTCCCATAAAAGCGACATTGAAGCTATCTCAGGAACTTGTTTATGATGCATCTAATCAACTAACAGTGTTGAAACTTTGTACTGACAGAGCAGTTTGAAACACTCTTTTTTTGGAATCTGCAAGTGGATATTTGGATCGCTTTGAGGATTTCGTTGGAAACGGGATGCAATATAAAACGTACACAGCAGCATACTCAGAAAATACTTTGCCATATTTCCATTCAAGTCACAGAGTGGAACATTCCCATTCATAGAGCAGGTTTGAAACACTTTTTTTGGAGTGTCTGGAAGTGGACATTTGGAGCGCTTTCTGAACTATGGTGAAAAAGGAAATATCTTCCAATGAAAACAAGACAGAAGCATTCTGAGAAACTTATTTGTGATGCGTGTCCTCAACTAACGGACTCGAACCTTTCGTTTCATGCAGTACTTCTGGAACACTCTTTTTGAAGATTCTGCATGCGGATATTTGGATAGCTTTGAGGATTTCGTTGGAAACGGGCTTACATATAAAAATTAGACAGCAGCATTCTCAGAAACTTCTTTGTGGTGTCTGCATTCAAGTCACAGAATTGAACATCCCCTCACATAGAGCAGTTGTGCAGCACTCTATTTGTAGTATCTCGAAGTGGACATTTGGAGGGCTTTGTAGCCTATCTGGAAAAAGGAAATATCTTCCCATGAATGCGAGATAGAAGTAATCTCAGAAACATGTTTATGCTGTATCTACTCAACTAACTGTGCTGAACATTTCTATTGATAGAGCAGTTTTGAGACACTCTTCTTTTGGAATCTGCAAGTGGATATTTGGATAGATTTGAGGATTTCGTTGGAAACGGGATTATATATAAAAAGTAGACAGCAGCATTCTCAGAAACTTCTTTGTGATGTTTGCATCCAGCTCTCAGAGTTGAACATTCCCTTTCATAGAGTAGGTTTGAAACCCTCTTTTTATAGTGTCTGGAAGCGGGCATTTGGAGCGCTTTCAGGCCTATGCTGAAAAAGGAAATATCTACCTATAGAAACTAGACAGAAGCATTCTGAGAATCACGTTTGTGATGTGGGTACTCAACTAACAGTGTTGATCCATTCTTTTGATACAGCAGTTTTGAACCACACTTTTTGTAGAATCTGCAAGTGGATATTTGGATAGCTGTGAGGATTTCGTTGGAAACGGGAATGTCTTCATAGAAAATTTAGACAGAAGCATTCTCAGAACCTTGATTGTGATGTGTGTTCTCCACTAACAGAGTTGAACCTTTCTTTTGACAGAACTGTTCTGAAACATTCTTTTTATAGAATCTGGAAGTGGATATTTGGAAAGCTTTGAGGATTTCGTTGGAAACGGGAATATCTTCAAATAAAATCTAGCCAGAAGCATTCTAAGAAACATCTTAGGGATGTTTACATTCAAGTCACAGAGTTGAACATTCCCTTTCACAGAGCAGGTTTGAAACAATCTTCTCGTACTATCTGGCAGTGGACATTTTGAGCTCCTTGGGGCCTATGCTGAAAAAGGAAATATCTTCCGACAAAAACTAGACAGAAGCATTCACAGAATCACGTTTGTGATGTGTGCACTCAACTGTCAGAATTGAACCTTGGTTTGGACAGAGCACTTTTGAAACACTCTTTTTGTAGAATCTGCAGGTGGATATTTGGCTAGCTTTGAGGATTTCGTTGGAAACGGTAATGTCTTCAAAGAAAATCTAGACAGAAGCATTCTCAGAAACACCTTCGTGATGTTTGCAATCAAGTCACAGAGTTGAACCTTCCGTTTCATAGAGCAGGTTGGAAACACTCTTTTTGTAGTATCTGGAAGTGGACATTTGGAGGGCTTTGTAGCCTATCTGGAAAAAGGAAATATCTTCCCATGAATGCGAGATAGAAGTAATCTCAGAAACATGTTTATGCTGTATCTACTCAACTAACTGTGCTGAACATTTCTATTGATAGAGCAGTTTTGAGACACTCTTCTTTTGGAATCTGCAAGTGGATATTTGGATAGATTTGAGGATTTCGTTGGAAACGGGATTATATATAAAAAGTAGACAGCAGCATTCTCAGAAACTTCTTTGTGATGTTTGCATCCAGCTCTCAGAGTTGAACATTCCCTTTCATAGAGTAGGTTTGAAACCCTCTTTTTATAGTGTCTGGAAGCGGGCATTTGGAGCGCTTTCAGGCCTATGCTGAAAAAGGAAATATCTACCTATAGAAACTAGACAGAAGCATTCTGAGAATCACGTTTGTGATGTGGGTACTCAACTAACAGTGTTGATCCATTCTTTTGATACAGCAGTTTTGAACCACACTTTTTGTAGAATCTGCAAGTGGATATTTGGATAGCTGTGAGGATTTCGTTGGAAACGGGAATGTCTTCATAGAAAATTTAGACAGAAGCATTCTCAGAACCTTGATTGTGATGTGTGTTCTCCACTAACAGAGTTGAACCTTTCTTTTGACAGAACTGTTCTGAAACATTCTTTTTATAGAATCTGGAAGTGGATATTTGGAAAGCTTTGAGGATTTCGTTGGAAACGGGAATATCTTCAAATAAAATCTAGCCAGAAGCATTCTAAGAAACATCTTAGGGATGTTTACATTCAAGTCACAGAGTTGAACATTCCCTTTCACAGAGCAGGTTTGAAACAATCTTCTCGTACTATCTGGCAGTGGACATTTTGAGCTCCTTGGGGCCTATGCTGAAAAAGGAAATATCTTCCGACAAAAACTAGACAGAAGCATTCGCAGAATCACGTTTGTGATGTGTGCACTCAACTCTCAGAATTGAACCTTGGTTTGGACAGAGCACTTTTGAAACACTCTTTTTGTAGAATCTGCAGGTGGATATTTGGCTAGCTTTGAGGATTTCGTTGGAAACGGTAATGTCTTCAAAGAAAATCTAGACAGAAGCATTCTCAGAAACACCTTCGTGATGTTTGCAATCAAGTCACAGAGTTGAACCTTCCGTTTCATAGAGCAGGTTGGAAACACTCTTTTTGTAGTATCTGGAAGTGGACATTTGGAGGGCTTTGTAGCCTATCTGGAAAAAGGAAATATGTTCCCATGAATGCGAGATAGAAGTAATCTCAGAAACATGTTTATGCTGTATCTACTCAACTAACTGTGCTGAACATTTCTATTGATAGAGCAGTTTTGAGACACTCTTCTTTTGGAATCTGCAAGTGGATATTTGGATAGATTTGAGGATTTCGTTGGAAACGGGATTATATGTAAAAAGTAGACAGCAGCATTCTCAGAAACTTCTTTGTGATGTTTGCATCCAGCTCTCAGAGTTGAACATTCCCTTTCATAGAGTAGGTTTGAAACCCTCTTTTTATAGTGTCTGGAAGCGGGCATTTGGAGCGCTTTCAGGCCTATGCTGAAAAAGGAAATATCTACCTATAGAAACTAGACAGAAGCATTCTGAGAATCACGTTTGTGATGTGGGTACTCAACTAACAGTGTTGATCCATTCTTTTGATACAGCAGTTTTGAACCACACTTTTTGTAGAATCTGCAAGTGGATATTTGGATAGCTGTGAGGATTTCGTTGGAAACGGGAATGTCTTCATAGAAAATTTAGACAGAAGCATTCTCAGAACCTTGATTGTGATGTGTGTTCTCCACTAACAGAGTTGAACCTTTCTTTTGACAGAACTGTTCTGAAACATTCTTTTTATAGAATCTGGAAGTGGATATTTGGAAAGCTTTGAGGATTTCGTTGGAAACGGGAATATCTTCAAATAAAATCTAGCCAGAAGCATTCTAAGAAACATCTTAGGGATGTTTACATTCAAGTCACAGGGTTGAACATTCCCTTTCACAGAGCAGGTTTGAAACAATCTTCTCGTACTATCTGGAAGTGGACATTTTGAGCTCCTTGGGGCCTATGCTGAAAAAGGAAATATCTTCCGACAAAAACTAGACAGAAACATTCGCAGAATCACGTTTGTGATGTGTGCACTCAACTGTCAGAATTGAACCTTTGTTTGGACAGAGCACTTTTGAAACACTCTTTTTGTAGAATCTGCAGGTGGATATTTGACTAGCTTTGAGGATTTCGTTGGAAACGGTAATGTCTTCTAAGAAAATCTAGACAGAAACATTCTCAGAAACACCTTCGTGATGTTTGCAATCAAGTCACAGAGTTGAACCTTCCGTTTCATAGAGCAGGTTGGAAACACTCTTTTTGTAGTATCTGGAAGTGGACATTTGGAGCGCTTTCAGGCCTATGGTGAAAAAGGAAATATCTTCCCATAAAAACGACATAGAAGCTATCTCAGGAACTTGTTTATGATGCATCCAATCAACTAACAGTGTTGAACCTTTGTACTGACAGAGCAGTGTGAAACACTCTTTTTTTTGGAATCTGCAAGTGGATATTTGGATCGCTTTGAGGATTTCGTTGGAAACGGGATGCAATATAAAACGTACACAGCAGCATACTCAGAAAATTCTTTGCCATATTTCCATTCAAGTCACAGAGTGGAACATTCCCATTCATAGAGCAGGTTGGAAACACTCTTTTTGGAGTATCTGGAAGTGGACATTTGGAGCGCTTTCTGAACTATGGTGAAAAAGGAAATATCTTCCAATGAAAACAAGACAGAAGCATTCTGAGAAACTTATTTGTGATGTGTGTCCTCAACTAACGGACTTGAACCTTTCGTTTCATGCAGTATTTCTGGAACACACTTTTTTAAGATTCTGCATGCGGATATTTGGATAGCTTTGAAGATTTCGTTGGAAACGGGCTTACATATAAAAATTAGACAGCAGCATTCTCAGAAACTTCTTTGTGGTGTCTGCATTCAAGTCACAGAATTGAACATCCCCTCACATAGAGCAGCTGTGCAGCACTCTATTTGTAGTATCTCGAAGTGGACATTTGGAGGGCTTTGTAGCCTATCTGGAAAAAGGAAATATCTTCCCATGAATGCGAGATAGAAGTAATCTCAGAAACATGTTTATGCTGTATCTACTCAACTAACTGTGCTGAACATTTCTATTGATAGAGCAGTTTTGAGACACTCTTCTTTTGGAATCTGCAAGTGGATATTTGGATAGATTTGAGGATTTCCTTGGAAACGGGATTATATATCAAAAGTAGACAGCAGCATTCTCAGAAACTTCTTTGTGATGTTTGCATCCAGCTCTCAGAGTTGAACATTCCCTTTCGTAGAGTAGGTTTGAAACCCTCTTTTTATAGTGTCTGGAAGCGGGCATTTGGAGCGCTTTCAGGCCTATGCTGAAAAAGGAAATATCTACCTATAGAAAGTAGACAGAAGCATTCTGAGAATCACGTTTGTGATGTGGGTACTCAACTAACAGTGTTGATCCATTCTTTTGATACAGCAGTTTTGAACCACACTTTTTGTAGAATCTGCAAGTGGATATTTGGATAGCTGTGAGGATTTCCTTGGAAACGGGAATGTCTTCATAGAAAATTTAGACAGAAGCATTCTCAGAACCTTGATTGTGATGTGTGTTCTCCACTAACAGGGTTGAACCTTTCTTTTGACAGAACTGTTTTGAAACATTCTTTTTATAGAATCTGGAAGTGGATATTTGGAAAGCTTTGAGGATTTCGTTGGAAACGGGAATATCTTCAAATCAAATCTAGCCAGAAGCATTCTAAGAAACATCTTAGGGATGTTTACATTCAAGTCACAGGGTTGAACATTCCCTTTCACAGAGCAGGTTTGAAACAATCTTCTCGTACTATCTGGAAGTGGACATTTTGAGCTCCTTGGGGCCTATGCTGAAAAAGGAAATATCTTCCGACAAAAACTAGACAGAAGCATTCGCAGAATCACGTTTGTGATGTGTGCACTCAACTGTCAGCATTGAACCTTGGTTTGGACAGAGCACTTTTGAAACACACTTTTTGAAGGATCTGCAGGTGGATATTTGGCTAGCTTTGAGGATTTCGTTGGAAACGGTAATGTCTTCAAAGAAAATCTAGACAGAAACATTCTCAGAAACACCTTCGTGATGTTTGCAATCAAGTCACAGAGTTGAACCTTCCGTTTCATAGAGCAGGTTGGAAACACTCTTTTTGTAGTATCTGGAAGTGGACATTTGGAGTGCTTTCAGGCCTCTGGTGAAAAAGGAAATATCTTCCCATAAAAACGACATAGAAGCTATCTCAGGTAACTTGTTTATGATGCATCTAATCAACTAACAGTGTTGAACCTTTGTACTGACAGAGCAGTTTGAAACACTCTTTTTTTGGAATCTGCAAGTGGATATTTGGATCGCTTTGTGGATTTCGTTGGAAACGGGATGCAATATAAAACGTGCACAGCAGCATATTCAGAAAATACTTTGCCATATTTCCATTCAAGTCACTCAGTGGAACATTCCCATTCATAGAGCAGGTTTGAAACAGTCTTTTTGGAGTATCTGGAAGTGGACATTTGGAGCGCTTTCTGAACTATGGTGAAAAAGGAAATATCTTCCAATGAAAACAAGACAGAAGCATTCTGAGAAACTTATTTGTGATGTGTGTCCTCAACTAACGGACTTGAACCTTTCGTTTCATGCAGTACTTCTGGAACACTCTTTTTGAAGATTCTGCATGTGGATATTTGGATAGCTTTGAGGATTTCGTTGGAAACGGGCTTACATGTAAAAATTAGACAGCAGCATTCTCAGAAACTTCTTTGTGGTGTCTGCGTTCAAGTCACAGAATTGAACATCCCCTCACATAGAGCAGCTGTGCAGCACTCTATTTGTAGTATCTCGAAATGTACATTTGGAGGGCTTTGTAGCCTATCTGGAAAAAGGAAATATCTTCCCATGAATGCGAGATAGAAGTAATCTCAGAAACATGTTTATGCTGTATCTACTCAACTAACTGTGCTGAACATTTCTATTGATAGAGCAGTTTTGAGACACTCTTCTTTTGGAATCTGCAAGTGGATATTTGGATAGATTTGAGGATTTCGTTGGAAACGGGATTATATATAAAAAGTAGACAGCAGCATTCTCAGAAACTTCTTTGTGATGTTTGCATCCAGCTCTCAGAGTTGAACATTCCCTTTCATAGAGTAGGTTTGAAACCCTCTTTTTATAGTGTCTGGAAGCGGGCATTTGGAGCGCTTTCAGGCCTATGCTGAAAAAGGAAATATCTACATATAGAAACTAGACAGAAGCATTCTGAGAATCACGTTTGTGATGTGGGTACTCAACTAACAGTGTTGATCCATTCTTTTGATACAGCAGTTTTGAACCACACTTTTTGTAGAATCTGCAAGTGGATATTTGGATAGCTGTGAGGATTTCGTTGGAAACGGGAATGTCTTCATAGAAAATTTAGAGAGAAGCATTCTCAGAACCTTGATTGTGATGTGTGTTCTCCACTAACAGAGTTGAACCTTTCTTTTGACAGAACTGTTCTGAAACATTCTTTTTATAGAATCTGGAAGTGGATATTTGGAAAGCTTTGAGGATTTCGTTGGAAACGGGAATATCTTCAAATAAAATCTAGCCAGAAGCATTCTAAGAAACATCTTAGGGATGTTTACATTCAAGTCACAGAGTTGAACATTCCCTTTCACAGAGCAGGTTTGAAACAATCTTCTCGTACTATCTGGCAGTGGACATTTTGAGCTGCCTTGGGGCCTATGCTGAAAAAGGAAATATCTTCTGACAAAAACTAGACAGAAGCATTCGCAGAATCACGTTTGTGATGTGTGCACTCAACTGACAGAATTGAACCTTTGTTTGGACAGAGCACTTTTGAAACACTCTTTTTGTAGAATCTGTAGGTGGATATTTGACTAGCTTTGAGGATTTCGTTGGAAACGGTAATGTCTTCAAAGAAAATCTAGACAGAAACATCCTCAGAAACACCTTCGTGATGTTTGCAATCAAGTCACAGAGTTGAACCTTCCGTTTCATAGAGCAGGTTGGAAACACTCATTTTGTAGTATCTGGAATTGGACATTTGGAGCGATTTCAGGCCTATGGTGTAAAAGGAAATATCTTCCCATAAAAGCGACATTGAAGCTATCTCAGGAACTTGTTTATGATGCATCCAATCAACTAACAGTGTTGAACCTTTGTACTGACAGAGCAGTTTGAAACACTCTTTTTTTGGAATCTGCAAGTGGATATTTGTATCGCTTTGAGAATTTCGTTGGAAACGGGATTACATATAAAAAGTAGACAGCAGCATACTCAGAAAATACTTTGCCATATTTCCATTCAAGTCACAGAGTGGAACATTCCCATTCATAGAGCAGGTTTGAAACACTCTTTTTGGAGTATCTGGAAGTGGACATTTGGAGCGCTTTCTGAACTATGGTGAAAAAGGAAATATCTTCCAATGAAAACAAGACAGAAGCATTCTGAGAAACTTATTTGTGATGCGTGTCCTCAACTAACGGACTCGAAACTTTCGTTTCATGCAGTACTTCTGGAACACTCTTTTTGAAGATTCTGCATGCGGATATTTGGATAGCTTTGAGGATTTCGTTGGAAACGGGCTTACATATAAAAATTAGACAGCAGCATTCTCAGAAACTTCTTTGTGGTGTCTGCATTCAAGTCACAGAATTGAACATCCCCTCACATAGAGCAGTTGTGCAGCACTCTCTTTGTAGTATCTCGAAGTGGACATTTGGAGGGCTTTGTAGCCTATCTGGAAAAAGGAAATATCTTCCCATGAATGCGAGATAGAAGTAATCTCAGAAACATGTTTATGCTGTATCTACTCAACTAACTGTGCTGAACATTTCTATTGATAGAGCAGTTTTGAGACACTCTTCTTTTGGAATCTGCAAGTGGATATTTGGATAGATTTGAGGATTTCGTTGGAAACGGGATTATATATAAAAAGTAGACAGCAGCATTCTCAGAAACTTCTTTGTGATGTTTGCATCCAGCTCTCAGAGTTGAACATTCCCTTTCATAGAGTAGGTTTGAAACCCTCTTTTTATAGTGTCTGGAAGCGGGCATTTGGAGTGCTTTCAGGCCTATGCTTAAAATAGGAAATATCTACCTACAGAAACTAGACAGAAGCATTCTGAGAATCACGTTTGTGATGTGGGTACTCAACTAACAGTGTTGATCCATTCTTTTGATACAGCAGTTTTGAACCACACTTTTTGTAGAATCTGCAAGTGGATATTTGGATAGCTGTGAGGATTTCGTTGGAAACGGGAATGTCTTCATAGAAAATTTAGACAGAAGCATTCTCAGAACCTTGATTGTGATGTGTGTTCTCCACTAACAGAGTTGAACCTTTCTTTTGACAGAACTGTTCTGAAACATTCTTTTTATAGAATCTGGAAGTGGATATTTGGAAAGCTTTGAGGATTTCGTTGGAAACGGGAATATCTTCAAATCAAATCTAGCCAGAAGCATTCTAAGAAACATCTTAGGGATGTTTACATTCAAGTCACAGAGTTGAACATTCCCTTTCACAGAGCAGGTTTGAAACAATCTTCTCGTACTATCTGGCAGTGGACATTTTGAGCTCCTTGGGGCCTATGCTGAAAAAGGAAATATCTTCCGACAAAAACTAGACAGAAGCATTCGCAGAATCACGTTTGTGATGTGTGCACTCAACTGTCAGAATTGAACCTTGGTTTGGACAGAGCACTTTTGAAACACTCTTTTTGTAGAATCTGCAGGTGGATATTTGGCTAGCTTTGAGGATTTCGTTGGAAACGGTAATGTCTTCAAAGAAAATCTAGACAGAAGCATTCTCAGAAACACCTTCGTGATGTTTGCAATCAAGTCACAGAGTTGAACCTTCCGTTTCATAGAGCAGGTTGGAAACACTCTTTTTGTAGTATCTGGAAGTGGACATTTGGAGCGCTTTCAGGCCTATGGTGAAAAAGGAAATATCTTCCCATAAAAACGACATAGAAGCTATCTCAGGAACTTGTTTATGATGCATCTAATCAACTAACAGTGTTGAACCTTTGTACTGACAGAGCAGTTTGAAACACTCTTTTTTTGGAATCTGCAAGTGGATATTTGGATCGCTTTGAGGATTTCGTTGGAAACGGGATGCAATATAAAACGTACACAGCAGCATACTCAGAAAATACTTTGCCATATTTCCATTCAAGTCACAGAGTGGAACATTCCCATTCATAGAGCAGGTTTGAAACACTCTTTTTGGAGTATCTGGAAGTGGACTTTTGGAGCGCTTTCCGAACTATGGTGAAAAAGGAAGTATCTTCCAATGAAAACAAGACAGAAGCTTTATGAGAAACTTATTTGTGGTGTGTGTCCTCAACAAACGGACTTGAACCTTTCGTTTCATGCAGTACTTCTGGAACACTCTTTTTGAAGATTCTGCATGCGGATATTTGGATAGCTTTGAGGATTTCATTGGAAACGGGCTTACAAGTAAAAATTAGACAGCAGCATTCTCAGAAACTTCTTTGTGCTGTCTGCATTCAAGTCACAGAATTGAACTTCCCCTCACATAGAGCAGTTGTGCAGCACTCTATTTGTAGTATCTGGAAGTGGACATTTGGAGGGCTTTGTAGCCTATCTGGAAAAAGGAAATATCTTCCCATGAATGCGAGATAGAAGTAATCTCAGAAACATGTTTATGCTGTATCTACTCAACTAACTGTGCTGAACATTTCTATTGATAGAGCAGTTTTGAGACACTCTTCTTTTGGAATCTGCAAGTGGATATTTGGATAGATTTGAGGATTTCCTTGGAAACGGGATTATATATAAAAAGTAGACAGCAGCATTCTCAGAAACTTCTTTGTGATGTTTGCATCCAGCTCTCAGAGTTGAACATTCCCTTTCATAGAGTAGGTTTGAAACCCTCTTTTTATAGTGTCTGGAAGCGGGCATTTGGAGCGCTTTCAGGCCTATGCTGAAAAAGGAAATATCTACCTATAGAAACTAGACAGAAGCATTCTGAGAATCACGTTTGTGATGTGGGTACTCAACTAACAGTGTTGATCCATTCTTTTGATACAGCAGTTTTGAACCACACTTTTTGTAGAATCTGCAAGTGGATATTTGGATAGCTGTGAGGATTTCGTTGGAAACGGGAATGTCTTCATAGAAAATTTAGACAGAAGCATTCTCAGAACCTTGATTGTGATGTGTGTTCTCCACTAACAAAGTTGAACCTTTCTTTTGACAGAACTGTTCTGAAACATTCTTTTTATAGAATCTGGAAGTGGATATTTGGAAAGCTTTGAGGATTTCGTTGGAAACGGGAATATCTTCAAATCAAATCTAGCCAGAAGCATTCTAAGAAACATCTTAGGGATGTTTACATTCAAGTCACAGAGTTGAACATTCCCTTTCACAGAGCAGGTTTGAAACAATCTTCTCGTACTATCTGGCAGTGGACATTTTGAGCTCCTTGGGGCCTATGCTGAAAAAGGAAATATCTTCCGACAAAAACTAGACAGAAGCATTCGCAGAATCACGTTTGTGATGTGTGCACTCAACTGTCAGAATTGAACCTTGGTTTGGACAGAGCACTTTTGAAACACTCTTTTTGTAGAATCTGCAGGAGGATATTTGGCTAGCTTTGAGGATTTCGTTGGAAACGGTAATGTCTTCAAAGAAAATCTAGACAGAAGCATTCTCAGAAACACCTTCGTGATGTTTGCAATCAAGTCACAGAGTTGAACCTTCCGTCTCATAGAGCAGGTTGGAAACACTCTTTTTGTAGTATCTGGAAGTGGACATTTGGAGGGCTTTGTAGCCTATCTGGAAAAAGGAAATATCTTCCCATGAATGCGAGATAGAAGTAATCTCAGAAACATGTTTATGCTGTATCTACTCAACTAACTGTGCTGAACATTTCTATTGATAGAGCAGTTTTGAGACACTCTTCTTTTGGAATCTGCAAGTGGATATTTGGATAGATTTGAGGATTTCGTTGGAAACGGGATTATATATAAAAAGTAGACAGCAGCATTCTCAGAAACTTCTTTGTGATGTTTGCATCCAGCTCTCAGAGTTGAACATTCCCTTTCATAGAGTAGGTTTGAAACCCTCTTTTTATAGTGTCTGGAAGCGGGCATTTGGAGCGCTTTCGGGCCTATGCTGAAAAAGGAAATATCTACCTATAGAAACTAGACAGAAGCATTCTGAGAATCACGTTTGTGATGTGGGTACTCAACTAACAGTGTTGATCCATTCTTTTGATACAGCAGTTTTGAACCACACTTTTTGTAGAATCTGCAAGTGGATATTTGGATAGCTGTGAGGATTTCGTTGGAAACGGGAATGTCTTCATAGAAAATTTAGACAGAAGCATTCTCAGAACCTTGATTGTGATGTGTGTTCTCCACTAACAGAGTTGAACCTTTCTTTTGACAGAACTGTTATGAAACATTCTTTTTATAGAATCTGGAAGTGGATATTTGGAAAGCTTTGAGGATTTCGTTGGAAACGGGAATATCTTCAAATAAAATCTAGCCAGAAGCATTCTAAGAAACATCTTAGGGATGTTTACATTCAAGTCACAGAGTTGAACATTCCCTTTCACAGAGCAGGTTTGAAACAATCTTCTCGTACTATCTGGCAGTGGACATTTTGAGCTCCTTGGGGCCTATGCTGAAAAAGGAAATATCTTCCGACAAAAACTAGACAGAAGCATTCGCAGAATCACGTTTGTGATGTGTGCACTCAACTGTCAGAATTGAACCTTGGTTTGGACAGAGCACTTTTGAAACACTCTTTTTGTAGAATCTGCAGGTGGATATTTGGCTAGCTTTGAGGATTTCGTTGGAAACGGTAATGTCTTCAAAGAAAATCTAGACAGAAGCATTCTCAGAAACACCTTCGTGATGTTTGCAATCAAGTCACAGAGTTGAACCTTCCGTTTCATAGAGCAGGTTGGAAACACTCTTTTTGTAGTATCTGGAAGTGGACATTTGGAGCGCTTTCAGGCCTATGGTGAAAAAGGAAATATCTTCCCATAAAAACGACATAGAAGCTATCTCAGGAACTTGTTTATGATGCATCTAATCAACTAACAGTGTTGAACCTTTGTACTGACAGAGCAGTTTGAAACACTCTTTTTTTGGAATCTGCAAGTGGATATTTGGATCGCTTTGAGGATTTCGTTGGAAACGGGATGCAATATAAAACGTACACAGCAGCATACTCAGAAAATACTTTGCCATATTTCCATTCAAGTCACAGAGTGGAACATTCCCATTCATAGAGCAGGTTGGAAACACTCTTTTTGGAGTATCTGGAAGTGGACATTTGGAGCGCTTTCTGAACTATGGTGAAAAAGGAAATATCTTCCAATGAAAACAAGACAGAAGCATTCTGAGAAACTTATTTGTGATGTGTGTCCTCAACAAACGGACTTGAACCTTTCGTTTCATGCAGTACTTCTGGAACACTCTTTTTGAAGATTCTGCATGCGGATATTTGGATAGCTTTGAGGATTTCGTTGGAAACGGGCTTACATGTAAAAATTAGACAGCAGCATTCTCAGAAACTTCTTTGTGGTGTCTGCATTCAAGTCACAGAATTGAACATCCCCTCACATAGAGCAGTTGTGCAGCACTCTATTTGTAGTATCTGGAAGTGGACATTTGGAGGGCTTTGTAGCCTATCTGGAAAAAGGAAATATCTTCCCATGAATGCGAGATAGAAGTAATCTCAGAAACATGTTTATGCTGTATCTACTCAACTAACTGTGCTGAACATTTCTATTGATAGAGCAGTTTTGAGACACTCTTCTTTTGGAATCTGCAAGTGGATATTTGGATAGATTTGAGGATTTCGTTGGAAACGGGATTATATATAAAAAGTAGACAGCAGCATTCTCAGAAACTTCTTTGTGATGTTTGCATCCAGCTCTCAGAGTTGAACATTCCCTTTCATAGAGTAGGTTTGAAACCCTCTTTTTATAGTGTCTGGAAGCGGGCATTTGGAGCGCTTTCAGGCCTATGCTGAAAAAGGAAATATCTACCTATAGAAACTAGACAGAAGCATTCTGAGAATCACGTTTGTGATGTGGGTACTCAACTAACAGTGTTGATCCATTCTTTTGATACAGCAGTTTTGAACCACACTTTTTGTAGAATCTGGAAGTGGATATTTGGAAAGCTTTGAGGATTTCGTTGGAAACGGGAATGTCTTCATAGAAAATTTAGACGGAAGCATTCTCAGAACCTTGATTGTGATGTGTGTTCTCCACTAACAGAGTTGAACCTTTCTTTTGACAGAACTGTTCTGAAAGATTCTTTTTATAGAATCTGGAAGTGGATATTTGGAAAGCTTTGAGGATTTCGTTGGAAACGGGAATATCTTCAAATCAAATCTAGCCAGAAGCATTCTAAGAAACATCTTAGGGATGTTTACATTCAAGTCACAGAGTTGAACATTCCCTTTCACAGAGCAGGTTTGAAACAATCTTCTCGTACTATCTGGCAGTGGACATTTTGAGCTCCTTGGGGCCTATGCTGAAAAAGGAAATATCTTCCGACAAAAACTAGACAGAAGCATTCGCAGAATCACGTTTGTGATGTGTGCACTCAACTGTCAGAATTGAACCTTGGTTTGGACAGAGCACTTTTGAAACACTCTTTTTGTAGAATCTGCAGGTGGATATTTGGCTAGCTTTGAGGATTTCGTTGGAAACGGTAATGTCTTCAAAGAAAATCTAGACAGAAGCATTCTCAGAAACACCTTCGTGATGTTTGCAATCAAGTCACAGAGTTGAACCTTCCGTTTCATAGAGCAGGTTGGAAACACTCTTTTTGTAGTATCTGGAAGTGGACATTTGGAGGGCTTTGTAGCCTATCTGGAAAAAGGAAATATCTTCCCATGAATGCGAGATAGAAGTAATCTCAGAAACATGTTTATGCTGTATCTACTCAACTAACTGTGCTGAACATTTCTATTGATAGAGCAGTTTTGAGACACTCTTCTTTTGGAATCTGCAAGTGGATATTTGGATAGATTTGAGGATTTCGTTGGAAACGGGATTATATATAAAAAGTAGACAGCAGCATTCTCAGAAACTTCTTTGTGATGTTTGCATCCAGCTCTCAGAGTTGAACATTCCCTTTCATAGAGTAGGTTTGAAACCCTCTTTTTATAGTGTCTGGAAGCGGGCATTTGGAGCGCTTTCAGGCCTATGCTTAAAATAGGAAATATCTACCTACAGAAACTAGACAGAAGCATTCTGAGAATCACGTTTGTGATGTGGGTACTCAACTAACAGTGTTGATCCATTCTTTTGATACAGCAGTTTTGAACCACACTTTTTGTAGAATCTGCAAGTGGATATTTGGATAGCTGTGAGGATTTCGTTGGAAACGGGAATGTCTTCATAGAAAATTTAGACAGAAGCATTCTCAGAACCTTGATTGTGATGTGTGTTCTCCACTAACAGAGTTGAACCTTTCTTTTGACAGAACTGTTCTGAAACATTCTTTTTATAGAATCTGGAAGTGGATATTTGGAAAGCTTTGAGGATTTCGTTGGAAACGGGAATATCTTCAAATAAAATCTAGCCAGAAGCATTCTAAGAAACATCTTAGGGATGTTTACATTCAAGTCACAGAGTTGAACATTCCCTTTCACAGAGCAGGTTTGAAACAATCTTCTCGTACTATCTGGCAGTGGACATTTTGAGCTCCTTGGGGCCTATGCTGAAAAAGGAAATATCTTCCGACAAAAACTAGACAGAAGCATTCGCAGAATCACGTTTGTGATGTGTGCACTCAACTGTCAGAATTGAACCTTGGTTTGGACAGAGCACTTTTGAAACACTCTTTTTGTAGAATCTGCAGGTGGATATTTGGCTAGCTTTGAGGATTTCGTTGGAAACGGTAATGTCTTCAAAGAAAATCTAGACAGAAGCATTCTCAGAAACACCTTCGTGATGTTTGCAATCAAGTCACAGAGTTGAACCTTCCGTTTCATAGAGCAGGATGGAAACACTCTTTTTGTAGTATCTGGAAGTGGACATTTGGAGGGCTTTGTAGCCTATCTGGAAAAAGGAAATATCTTCCCATGAATGCGAGATAGAAGTAATCTCAGAAACATGTTTATGCTGTATCTACTCAACTAACTGTGCTGAACATTTCTATTGATAGAGCAGTTTTGAGACACTCTTCTTTTGGAATCTGCAAGTGGATATTTGGATAGATTTGAGGATTTCGTTGGAAACAGGATTATATATAAAAAGTAGACAGCAGCATTCTCAGAAACTTCTTTGTGATGTTTGCATCCAGCTCTCAGAGTTGAACATTCCCTTTCATAGAGTAGGTTTGAAACCCTCTTTTTATAGTGTCTGGAAGCGGGCATTTGGAGCGCTTTCAGGCCTATGCTGAAAAAGGAAATATCTACCTATAGAAACTAGACAGAAGCATTCTGAGAATCACGTTTGTGATGTGGGTACTCAACTAACAGTGTTGATCCATTCTTTTGATACAGCAGTTTTGAACCACACTTTTTGTAGAATCTGCAAGTGGATATTTGGATAGCTGTGAGGATTTCGTTGGAAACGGGAATGTCTTCATAGAAAATTTAGACAGAAGCATTCTCAGAACCTTGATTGTGATGTGTGTTCTCCACTAACAGAGTTGAACCTTTCTTGTGACAGAACTGTTCTGAAACATTCTTTTTATAGAATCTGGAAGTGGATATTTGGAAAGCTTTGAGGATTTCGTTGGAAACGGGAATATCTTCAAATAAAATCTAGCCAGAAGCATTCTAAGAAACATCTTAGGGATGTTTACATTCAAGTCACAGAGTTGAACATTCCCTTTCACAGAGCAGGTTTGAAACAATCTTCTCGTACTATCTGGCAGTGGACATTTTGAGCTCCTTGGGGCCTATGCTGAAAAAGGAAATATCTTCCGACAAAAACTAGACAGAAGCATTCGCAGAATCACGTTTGTGATGTGTGCACTCAACTGTCAGAATTGAACCTTGGTTTGGACAGAGCACTTTTGAAACACTCTTTTTGTAGAATCTGCAGGTGGATATTTGGCTAGCTTTGAGGATTTCGTTGGAAACGGTAATGTCTTCAAAGAAAATCTAGACAGAAGCATTCTCAGAAACAACTTCGTGATGTTTGCAATCAAGTCACAGAGTTGAACCTTCCGTTTCATAGAGCAGGTTGGAAACACTCTTTTTGTAGTATCTGGAAGTGGACATTTGGAGGGCTTTGTAGCCTATCTGGAAAAAGGAAATATCTTCCCATGAATGCGAGATAGAAGTAATCTCAGAAACATGTTTATGCTGTATCTACTCAACTAACTGTGCTGAACATTTCTATTGATAGAGCAGTTTTGAGACACTCTTCTTTTGGAATCTGCAAGTGGATATTTGGATAGATTTGAGGATTTCGTTGGAAACGGGATTATATATAAAAAGTAGACAGCAGCATTCTCAGAAACTTCTTTGTGATGTTTGCATCCAGCTCTCAGAGTTGAACATTCCCTTTCATAGAGTAGGTTTGAAACCCTCTTTTTATAGTGTCTGGAAGCGGGCATTTGGAGCGCTTTCAGGCCTATGCTTAAAATAGGAAATATCTACCTACAGAAACTAGACAGAAGCATTCTGAGAATCACGTTTGTGATGTGGGTACTCAACTAACAGTGTTGATCCATTCTTTTGATACAGCAGTTTTGAACCACACTTTTTGTAGAATCTGCAAGTGGATATTTGGATAGCTGTGAGGATTTCGTTGGAAACGGGAATGTCTTCAAAGAAAATCTAGACAGAAGCATTCTCAGAAACACCTTCGTGATGTTTGCAATCAAGTCACAGAGTTGAACCTTCCGTTTCATAGAGCAGGTTGGAAACACTCTTATTGTAGTATCTGGAAGTGGACATTTGGAGCGCTTTCAGGCCTATGGTGAAAAAGGAAATATCTTCCCATAAAAACGACATAGAAGCTATCTCAGGAACTTGTTTATGATGCATCTAATCAACTAACAGTGTTGAACCTTTGTACTGACAGAGGAGTTTGAAACACTCTTTTTTTGGAATCTGCAAGTGGATATTTGGATCGCTTTGAGGATTTCGTTGGAAACGGGATGCAATATAAAACGTACACAGCAGCATACTCAGAAAATACTTTGCCATATTTCCATTCAAGTCACAGAGTGGAACATTCCCATTCATAGAGCAGGTTGGAAACACTCTTTTTGGAGTATCTGGAAGTGGACATTTGGAGCGCTTTCTGAACTATGGTGAAAAAGGAAATATCTTCCAATGAAAACAAGACAGAAGCATTCTGAGAAACTTATTTGTGATGTGTGTCCTCAACAAACGGACTTGAACCTTTCGTTTCATACAGTACTTCTGGAACACTCTTTTTGAAGATTCTGCATGCGGATATTTGGATAGCTTTGAGGATTTCGTTGGAAACGGGCTTACATGTAAAAATTAGACAGCAGCATTCTCAGAAACTTCTTTGTGGTGTCTGCATTCAAGTCACAGAATTGAACATCCCCTCACATAGAGCAGTTGTGCAGCACTCTATTTGTAGTATCTGGAAGTGGACATTTGGAGGGCTTTGTAGCCTATCTGGAAAAAGGAAATATCTTCCCATGAATGCGAGATAGAAGTAATCTCAGAAACATGTTTATGCTGTATCTACTCAACTAACTGTGCTGAACATTTCTATTGATAGAGCAGTTTTGAGACACTCTTCTTTTGGAATCTGCAAGTGGATATTTGGATAGATTTGAGGATTTCGTTGGAAACGGGATTATATATAAAAAGTAGACAGCAGCATTCTCAGAAACTTCTTTGTGATGTTTGCATCCAGCTCTCAGAGTTGAACATTCCCTTTCATAGAGTAGGTTTGAAACCCTCTTTTTATAGTGTCTGGAAGCGGGCATTTGGAGCGCTTTCAGGCCTATGCTGAAAAAGGAAATATCTACCTATAGAAACTAGACAGAAGCATTCTGAGAATCACGTTTGTGATGTGGGTACTCAACTAACAGTGTTGATCCATTCTTTTGATACAGCAGTTTTGAACCACACTTTTTGTAGAATCTGCAAGTGGATATTTGGATAGCTGTGAGGATTTCGTTGGAAACGGGAATGTCTTCATAGAAAATTTAGACAGAAGCATTCTCAGAACCTTGATTGTGATGTGTGTTCTCCACTAACAGAGTTGAACCTTTCTTTTGACAGAACTGTTCTGAAACATTCTTTTTATAGAATCTGGAAGTGGATATTTGGAAAGCTTTGAGGATTTCGTTGGAAACGGGAATATCTTCAAATCAAATCTAGCCAGAAGCATTCTAAGAAACATCTTAGGGATGTTTACATTCAAGTCACAGAGTTGAACATTCCCTTTCACAGAGCAGGTTTGAAACAATCTTCTCGTACTATCTGGCAGTGGACATTTTGAGCTCCTTGGGGCCTATGCTGAAAAAGGAAATATCTTCCGACAAAAACTAGACAGAAGCGTTCGCAGAATCACGTTTGTGATGTGTGCACTCAACTGTCAGAATTGAACCTTGGTTTGGACAGAGCACTTTTGAAACACTCTTTTTGTAGAATCTGCAGGTGGATATTTGGCTAGCTTTGAGGATTTCGTTGGAAACGGTAATGTCTTCAAAGAAAATCTAGACAGAAACATTCTCAGAAACACCTTCGTGATGTTTGCAATCAAGTCACAGAGTTGAACCTTCCGTTTCATAGAGCAGGTTGGAAACACTCTTTTTGTAGTATCTGGAAGTGGACATTTGGAGCGCTTTCAGGCCTATGGTGAAAAAGGAAATATCTTCCCATAAAAACGACATAGAAGCTATCTCAGGAACTTGTTTATGATGCATCCAATCAACTAACAGTGTTGAACCTTTGTACTGACAGAGCAGTGTGAAACACTCTTTTTTTTGGAATCTGCAAGTGGATATTTGGATCGCTTTGAGGATTTCGTTGGAAACGGGATGCAATATAAAAGTACACAGCAGCATACTCAGAAAATACTTTGCCATATTTCCATTCAAGTCACAGAGTGGAACATTCCCATTCATAGAGCAGGTTTGACACACTCTTTTTGTAGTATCTGGAAGTGGACATTTGGAGCGCTTTCTGAACTATGGTGAAAAAGGAAATATCTTCCAATGAAAACAAGACAGAAGCATTCTGAGAAACTTATTTGTGATGTGTGTCCTCAACTAACGGACTTGAACCTTTCGTTTCATGCAGTACTTCTGGAACACTCTTTTTGAAGATTCTGCATGCGGATATTTGGATAGCTTTGAGGATTTCGTTGGAAACGGGCTTACATATAAAAATTAGACAGCAGCATTCTCAGAAACTTCTCTGTGGTGTCTGCATCCAAGTCACAGAATTGAACATCCCCTCACATAGAGCAGTTGTGCAGCACTCTATTTGTAGTATCTCGAAGTGGACATTTGGAGGGCTTTGTAGCCTATCTGGAAAAAGGAAATATCTTCCCATGAATGCGAGATAGAAGTAATCTCAGAAACATGTTTATGCTGTATCTACTCAACTAACTGTGCTGAACATTTCTATTGATAGAGCAGTTTTGAGACACTCTTCTTTTGGAATCTGCAAGTGGATATTTGGATAGATTTGAGGATTTCGTTGGCAACGGGATTATATATAAAAAGTAGACAGCCGCATTCTCAGAAACTTCTTTGTGATGTTTGCATCCAGCTCTCAGAGTTGAACATTCCCTTTCATAGAGTAGGTTTGAAACCCTCTTTTTATAGTGTCTGGAAGCGGGCATTTGGAGCGCTTTCAGGCCTATGCTGAAAAAGGAAATATCTACCTATAGAAACTAGACAGAAGCATTCTGAGAATCACGTTTGTGATGTGGGTACTCAACTAACAGTGTTGATCCATTCTTTTGATACAGCAGTTTTGAACCACACTTTTTGTAGAATCTGCAAGTGGATATTTGGATAGCTGTGAGGATTTCCTTGGAAACGGGAATGTCTTCATAGAAAATTTAGACAGAAGCATTCTCAGAACCTTGATTGTGATGTGTGTTCTCCACTAACAGGGTTGAACCTTTCTTTTGACAGAACTGTTCTGAAACATTCTTTTTATAGAATCTGGAAGTGGATATTTGGAAAGCTTTGAGGATTTCGTTTGAAACGGGAATATCTTCAAATCAAATCTAGCCAGAAGCATTCTAAGAAACATCTTAGGGATGTTTACATTCAAGTCACAGAGTTGAACATTCCCTTTCACAGAGCAGGTTTGAAACAATCTTCTCGTAGTATCTGGAAGTGGACATTTTGAGCTCCTTGGGGCCTATGCTGAAAAAGGAAATATCTTCCGACAAAAACTAGACAGAAGCATTCGCAGAATCACGTTTGTGATGTGTGCACTCAACTGTCAGAATTGAACCTTTGTTTGGACAGAGCACTTTTGAAACACTCTTTTTGTAGAATCTGCAGGTGGATATTTGGCTAGCTTTGAGGATTTCGTTGGAAACGGTAATGTCTTCAAAGAAAATCTAGACAGAAACATTCTCAGAAACACCTTCGTGATGTTTGCAATCAAGTCACAGAGTTGAACCTTCCGTTTCATAGAGCAGGTTGGAAACACTCTTTTTGTAGTATCTGGAAGTGGACATTTGGAGCGCTTTCAGGCCTATGGTGAAAAAGGAAATATCTTCCCATAAAAACGACATAGAAGCTATCTCAGGAACTTGTTTATGATGCATCCAATCAACTAACAGTGTTGAACTTTTGTACTGACAGAGCAGTGTGAAACACTCTTTTTTTTGGAATCTGCAAGTGGATATTTGGATCGCTTTGAGGATTTCGTTGGAAACGGGATGCAATATAAATCGTACACAGCAGCATACTCAGAAAATACTTTGCCATATTTCCATTCAAGTCACAGAGTGGAACATTCCCATTCATAGAGCAGGTTGGAAACACTCCTTTTGTAGTATCTGGAAGTGGACATTTGGAGCGCTTTCTGAACTATGGTGAAAGAGGAAATATCTTCCAATGAAAACAAGACAGAAGCATTCTGAGAAACTTATTTGTGATGTGTGTCCTCAACTAACGGACTTGAACCTTTCGTTTCATGCAGTACTTCTGGAACACTCTTTTTGAAGATTCTGCATGCGGATATTTGGATAGCTTTGAGGATTTCGTTGGAAACGGGCTTACATATAAAAATTAGACAGCAGCATTCTCAGAAACTTCTCTGTGGTGTCTGCATCCAAGTCACAGAATTGAACATCTCCTCACATACAGCAGTTGTGCAGCAATCTATTTGTAGTATCTCGAAGTGGACATTTGGAGGGCTTTGTAGCCTATCTGGAAAAAGGAAATATCTTCCCATGAATGCGAGATAGAAGTAATCTCAGAAACATGTTTATGCTGTATCTACTCAACTAACTGAGATGAACATTTCTATTGATAGAGCAGTTTTGAGACACTCTTCTTTTGGAATCTGCAAGTGGATATTTGGAAAGATTTGAGGATTTCGTTGGCAACGGGATTATATATAAAAAGTAGACAGCAGCATTCTCAGAAACTTCTTTGTGATGTTTGCATCCAGCTCTCAGAGTTGAACATTCCCTTTCGTAGAGTAGGTTTGAAACCCTCTTTTTATAGTGTCTGGAAGCGGGCATTTGGAGCGCTTTCAGGCCTATGCTGAAAAAGGAAATATCTACCTCTAGAAACTAGACAGAAGCATTCTGAGCAATCACGTTTGTGATGTGGGTACTCAACTAACAGTGTTGATCCATTCTTTTGATACAGCAGTTTTGAACCACACTTTTTGTAGAATCTGCAAGTGGATATTTGGATAGCTGTGAGGATTTCGTTGGAAACGGGAATGTCTTCATAGAAAATTTAGACAGAAGCATTCTCAGAACCTTGATTGTGATGTGTGTTCTCCACTAACAGAGTTGAACCTTTCTTTTGACAGAACTGTTCTGAAACATTCTTTTTATAGAATCTGGAAGTGGATATTTGGAAAGCTTTGAGGATTTCGTTGGAAACGGGAATATCTTCAAATCAAATCTAGCCAGAAGCATTCTAAGAAACATCTTAGGGATGTTTACATTCAAGTCACAGAGTTGAACATTCCCTTTCACAGAGCAGGTTTGAAACAATCTTCTCGTACTATCTGGCAGTGGACATTTTGAGCTCCTTGGGGCCTATGCTGAAAAAGGAAATATCTTCCGACAAAAACTAGACAGAAGCATTCGCAGAATCACGTTTGTGATGTGTGCACTCAACTGTCAGAATTGAACCTTGGTTTGGACAGAGCACTTTTGAAACACTCTTTTTGTAGAATCTGCAGGTGGATATTTGGCTAGCTTTGAGGATTTCGTTGGAAACGGTAATGTCTTCAAAGAAAATCTAGACAGAAGCATTCTCAGAAACACCTTCGTGATGTTTGCAATCAAGTCACAGAGTTGAACCTTCCGTTTCATAGAGCAGGTTGGAAACACTCTTTTTGTAGTATCTGGAAGTGGACATTTGGAGGGCTTTGTAGCCTATCTGGAAAAAGGAAATATCTTCCCATGAATGCGAGATAGAAGTAATCTCAGAAACATGTTTATGCTGTATCTACTCAACTAACTGTGCTGAACATTTCTATTGATAGAGCAGTTTTGAGACACTCTTCTTTTGGAATCTGCAAGTGGATATTTGGATAGATTTGAGGATTTCGTTGGAAACGGGATTATATATAAAAAGTAGACAGCAGCATTCTCAGAAACTTCTTTGTGATGTTTGCATCCAGCTCTCAGAGTTGAACATTCCCTTTCATAGAGTAGGTTTGAAACCCTCTTTTTATAGTGTCTGGAAGCGGGCATTTGGAGCGCTTTCAGGCCTATGCTTAAAATAGGAAATATCTACCTACAGAAACTAGACAGAAGCATTCTGAGAATCACGTTTGTGATGTGGGTACTCAACTAACAGTGTTGATCCATTCTTTTGATACAGCAGTTTTGAACCACACTTTTTGTAGAATCTGCAAGAGGATATTTGGATAGCTGTGAGGATTTCGTTGGAAACGGGAATGTCTTCAAAGAAAATCTAGACAGAAGCATTCTCAGAAACACCTTCGTGATGTTTGCAATCAAGTCACAGAGTTGAACCTTCCGTTTCATAGAGCAGGTTGGAAACACTCTTTTTGTAGTATCTGGAAGTGGACATCTGGAGCGCTTTCAGGCCTATGGTGAAAAAGGAAATATCTTCCCAGAAAAACGATATAGAAGCTATCTCAGGAACTTGTTTATGATGCATCCAATCAACTAACAGTGTTGAACATTTGTACTGACAGAGCAGTGTGAAACACTCTTTTTTTTGGAATCTGCAAGTGGATATTAGGATCGCTTTGAGGATTTCGTTGGAAACGGGATGCAATATAAAACGTACACAGCAGCATACTCAGAAAATACTTTGCCATATTTCCATTCAAGTCACAGAGTGGAACATTCCCATTCATAGAGCAGGTTGGAAACACTCCTTTTGTAGTATCTGGAAGTGGACATTTGGAGCGCTTTCTGAACTATGGTGAAAAAGGAAATATCTTCGAATGAAAACAAGACAGAAGCATTCTGAGAAACTTATTTGTGATGTGTGTCCTCAACTAACGGACTTGAACCTTTCGTTTCATGCAGTATTTCTGGAACACTCTTTTTGAAGATTCTGCATGCGGATATTTGGATAGCTTTGAGGATTTCTTTGGAAACGGGCTTACATATAAAAATTAGACAGCAGCATTCTCAGAAACTTCTTTGTGGTGTCTGCATTCAAGTCACAGAATTGAACATCCCCTCACATAGAGCAGTTGTGCAGCACTCTATTTGTAGTATCTCGAAGTGGACATTTGGAGGGCTTTGTAGCCTATCTGGAAAAAGGAAATATCTTCCCATGAATGCGAGATAGAAGTAATCTCAGAAACATGTTTATGCTGTATCTACTCAACTAACTGTGCTGAACATTTCTATTGATAGAGCAGTTTTGAGACACTCTCCTTTTGGAATCTGCAAGTGGATATTTGGATAGATTTGAGGATTTCCTTGGAAACGGGATTATATATCAAAAGTAGACAGCAGCATTCTCAGAAACTTCTTTGTGAGTTTTGCATCCAGCTCTCAGAGTTGAACATTCCCTTTCGTGGAGTAGGTTTGAAACCCTCTTTTTATAGTGTCTGGAAGCGGGCATTTGGAGCGCTTTCAGGCCTATGCTGAAAAAGGAAATATCTACCTATAGAAACTAGACAGAAGCATTCTGAGAATCACGTTTGTGATGTGGGTACTCAACTAACAGTGTTGATCCATTCTTTTGATACAGCAGTTTTGAACCACACTTTTTGTAGAATCTGCAAGTGGATATTTGGATAGCTGTGAGGATTTCCTTGGATACGGGAATGTCTTCATAGAAAATTTAGACAGAAGCATTCTCAGAACCTTGATTGTGATGTGTGTTCTCCACTAACAGGTTTGAACCTTTCTTTTGACAGAACTGTTTTGAAACATTCTTTTTATAGAATCTGGAAGTGGATATTTGGAAAGCTTTGAGGATTTCGTTGGAAACGGGAATATCTTCAAATAAAATCTAGCCAGAAGCATTCTAAGAAACATCTTAGGGATGTTTACATTCAAGTCACAGAGTTGAACATTCCCTTTCACAGAGCAGGTTTGAAACAATCTTCTCGTACTATCTGGAAGTGGACATTTTGAGCTCCTTGGGGCCTATGCTGAGAAAGGAAATATCTTCCGACAAAAACTAGACAGAAGCATTCGCAGAATCACGTTTGTGATGTGTGCACTCAACTGTCAGAATTGAACCTTGGTTTGGACAGAGCACTTTTGAAACACTCTTTTTGTAGAATCTGCAGGTGGATATTTGGCTAGCTTTGAGGATTTCGTTGGAAACGGTAATGTCTTCAAAGAAAATCTAGACAGAAACATTCTCAGAAACACCTTCGTGATGTTTGCAATCAAGTCACAGAGTTGAACCTTCCGTTTCATAGAGCAGGTTGGAAACACTCTTTTTGTAGTATCTGGAAGTGGACATTTGGAGCGCTTTCAGGCCTATGGTGAAAAAGGAAATATCTTCCCATAAAAACGACATAGAAGCTATCTCAGGAACTTGTTTATGATGCATCCAATCAACTAACAGTGTTGAACCTTTGTACTGACAGAGCAGTGTGAAACACTCTTTTTTTTGGAATCTGCAAGTGGATATTTGGATCGCTTTGAGGATTTCGTTGGAAACGGGATGCAATATAAAAGTACACAGCAGCATACTCAGAAAATACTTTGCCATATATCCATTCAAGTCACAGAGTGGAACATTCCCATTCATAGAGCAGGTTTGACACACTCTTTTTGTAGTATCTGGAAGTGGACATTTGGAGCGCTTTCTGAACTATGGTGAAAAAGGAAATATCTTCCAATGAAAACAAGACAGAAGCATTCTGAGAAACTTATTTGTGATGTGTGTCCTCAACTAACGGACTTGAACCTTTCGTTTCATGCAGTACTTCTGGAGCACTCTTTTTGAAGATTCTGCATGTGGATATTTGGATAGCTTTGAGGATTTCGTTGGAAACGGGCTTACATATAAAAAGTAGACAGCAGCATTCTCAGAAACTACTTTGTGGTGTCTGCATTCAAGTCACAGAATTGAACATCCCCTCACATAGAGCAGTTGTGCAGCACTCTATTTGTAGTATCTCGAAGTGGACATTTGGAGGGCTTTGTAGCCTATCTGGAAAAAGGAAATATCTTCCCATGAATGCGAGATAGAAGTAATCTCAGAAACATGTTTATGCTGTATCTACTCAACTAACTGTGCTGAACATTTCTATTGATTGAGCAGTTTTGAGGCACTCTTCTTTTGGAATCTGCAAGTGGATATTTGGATAGATTTGACGATTTCGTTGGCAACGGGATCATATATAAAAAGTAGACAGCCGCATTCTCAGAAACTTCTTTGTGATGTTTGCATCCAGCTCTCAGAGTTGAACATTCCCTTTCATAGAGTAGGTTTGAAACCCTCTTTTTATAGTGTCTGGAAGCGGGCATTTGGAGCGCTTTCAGGCCTATGCTGAAAAAGGAAATATCTACCTATAGAAACTAGACAGAAGCATTCTGAGAATCACGTTTGTGATGTGGGTACTCAATTAACAGTGTTGATCCATACTTTTGATACAGCAGTTTCGAACCACACTTTTTGTAGAATCTGCAAGTGGATATTTGGATAGCTGTGAGGATTTCCTTGGAAACGGGAATGTCTTCATAGACAATTTAGACAGAAGCATTCTGAGAACCTTGATTGTGATGTGTGTTCTCCACTAAAAGGGCTGAACCTTTCTTTTGACAGAACTGTTCTGAAACATTCTTTTTATAGAATCTGGAAGTGGATATTTGGAATGATTTGGGGATTTCGTTGGAAACGGGAATATCTTCAAATAAAATCTAGCCAGAAGCATTCTAAGAAACATCTTAGGGATGTTTACATTCAAGTCACAGAGTTGAACATTCCCTTTCACAGAGCAGGTTTGAAACAATCTTCTCGTACTATCTGGAAGTGGACATTTTGAGCTCCTTGGGGCCTATGCTGAAAAAGGAAATATCTTCCGACAAAAACTAGACAGAAGCATTCGCAGAATCACGTTTGTGATGTGTGCACTCAACTGTCAGAATTGAACCTTGGTTTGGACAGAGCACTTTTGAAACACTCTTTTTGTAGAATCTGCAGGTGGATATTTGGCTAGCTTTGAGGATTTCGTTGGAAACGGTAATGTCTTCAAAGAAAATCTACACAGAAGCATTCTCAGAAACACCTTCGTGATGTTTGCAATCAAGTCACAGAGTTGAACCTTCCGTTTCATAGAGCAGGTTGGAAACACTCTTTTTGTAGTATCTGGAAGTGGACATTTGGAGGGCTTTGTAGCCTTTCTGGAAAAAGGAAATATCTTCCCATGAATGCGAGATAGAAGTAATCTCAGAAACATGTTTATGCTGTATCTACTCAACTAACTGTGCTGAACATTTCTATTGATAGAGCAGTTTTGAGACACTCTTCTTTTGGAATCTGCAAGTGGATATTTGGATAGATTTGAGGATTTCGTTGGAAACGGGATTATATATAAAAAGTTGACAGCAGCATTCTCAGAAACTTCTTTGTGATGTTTGCATCCAGCTCTCAGAGTTGAACATTCCCTTTCATAGAGTAGGTTTGAAACCCTCTTTTTATAGTGTCTGGAAGCGGGCATTTGGAGCGCTTTCAGGCCTATGCTTAAAATAGGAAATATCTACCTACAGAAACTAGACAGAAGCATTCTGAGAATCACGTTTGTGATGTGGGTACTCAACTAACAGTGTTGATCCATTCTTTTGATACAACAGTTTTGAACCACACTTTTTGTAGAATCTGCAAGAGGATATTTGGATAGCTGTGAGGATTTCGTTGGAAACGGGAATGTCTTCAAAGAAAATCTAGACAGAAGCATTCTCAGAAACACCTTCGTGATGTTTGCAATCAAGTCACAGAGTTGAACCTTCCGTTTCATAGAGCAGGTTGGAAACACTCTTATTGTAGTATCTGGAAGTGGACATTTGGAGCGCTTTCAGGCCTATGGTGAAAAAGGAAATATCTTCCCATAAAAACGACATAGAAGCTATCTCAGGAACTTGTTTATGATGCATCTAATCAACTAACAGTGTTGAACCTTTGTACTGACAGAGCAGTTTGAAACACTCTTTTTTTGGAATCTGCAAGTGGATATTTGGATCGCTTTGAGGATTTCGTTGGAAACGGGATGCAATATAAAACGTACACAGCAGCATACTCAGAAAATACTTTGCCATATTTCCATTCAAGTCACAGAGTGGAACATTCCCATTCATAGAGCAGGTTTGAAACACTCTTTTTGGAGTATCTGGAAGTGGACATTTGGAGCGCTTTCTGAACTATGGTGAAAAAGGAAATATCTTCCAATGAAAACAAGACAGAAGCATTCTGAGAAACTTATTTGTGATGTGTGTCCTCAACAAACGGACTTGAACCTTTCGTTTCATGCAGTACTTCTGGAACACTCTTTTTGAAGATTCTGCATGTGGATATTTGGATAGCTTTGAGGATTTCGTTGGAAACGGGCTTACATGTAAAAATTAGACAGCAGCATTCTCAGAAACTTCTTTGTGGTGTCTGCATTCAAGTCACAGAATTGAACATCCCCTCACATAGAGCAGTTGTGCAGCACTCTATTTGTAGTATCTGGAAGTGGACATTTGGAGGGCTTTGTAGCCTATCTGGAAAAAGGAAATATCTTCCCATGAATGCGAGATAGAAGTAATCTCAGAAACATGTTTATGCTGTATCTACTCAACTAACTGTGCTGAACATTTCTATTGATAGAGCAGTTTTGAGACACTCTTCTTTTGGAATCTGCAAGTGGATATTTGGATAGATTTGAGGATTTCGTTGGAAACGGGATTATATATCAAAAGTAGACAGCAGCATTCTCAGAAACTTCTTTGTGATGTTTGCATCCAGCTCTCAGAGTTGAACATTCCCTTTCATACAGTAGGTTTGAAACCCTCTTTTTATAGTGTCTGGAAGCGGGCATTTGGAGCGCTTTCAGGCCTATGCTGAAAAAGGAAATATCTACCTATAGAAACTAGACAGAAGCATTCTGAGAATCACGTTTGTGATGTGGGTACTCAACTAACAGTGTTGATCCATTCTTTTGATACAGCAGTTTTGAACCACACTTTTTGTAGAATCTGCAAGTGGATATTTGGATAGCTGTGAGGATTTCGTTGGAAACGGGAATGTCTTCATAGAAAATTTAGACAGAAGCATTCTCAGAACCTTGATTGTGATGTGTGTTCTCCACTAACAGAGTTGAACCTTTCTTTTGACAGAACTGTTCTGAAACATTCTTTTTATAGAATCTGGAAGTGGATATTTGGAAAGCTTTGAGGATTTCGTTGGAAACGGGAATATCTTCAAATAAAATCTAGCCAGAAGCATTCTAAGAAACATCTTAGGGATGTTTACATTCAAGTCACAGAGTTGAACATTCCCTTTCGCAGAGCAGGTTTGAAACAATCTTCTCGTACTATCTGGCAGTGGACATTTTGAGCTCCTTGGGGCCTATGCTGAAAAAGGAAATATCTTCGGACAAAAACTAGACAGAAGCATTCGCAGAATCACGTTTGTGATGTGTGCACTCAACTGTCAGAATTGAACCTTGGTTTGGCCAGAGCACTTTTGAAACACTCTTTTTGTAGAATCTGCAGGTGGATATTTGGCTAGCTTTGAGGATTTCGTTGGAAACGGTAATGTCTTCAAAGAAAATCTAGACAGAAGCATTCTCAGAAACACCTTCGTGATGTTTGCAATCAAGTCACAGAGTTGAACCTTCCGTTTCATAGAGCAGGTTGGAAACACTCTTATTGTAGTATCTGGAAGTGGACATTTGGAGCGCTTTCAGGCCTATGGTGAAAAAGGAAATATCTTCCCATAAAAACGACATAGAAGCTATCTCAGGAACTTGTTTATGAGGCATCTAATCAACTAACAGTGTTGAACCTTTGTACTGACAGAGCAGTTTGAAACACTCTTTTTTTGGAATCTGCAAGTGGATATTTGGATCGCTTTGAGGATTTCGTTGGAAACGGGATGCAATATAAAACGTACACAGCAGCATACTCAGAAAATTCTTTGCCATATTTCCATTCAAGTCACAGAGTGGAACATTCCCATTCATAGAGCAGGTTGGAAACACTCTTTTTGGAGTATCTGGAAGTGGACATTTGGAGCGCTTTCTGAACTATGGTGAAAAAGGAAATATCTTCCAATGAAAACAAGACAGAAGCATTCTGAGAAACTTATTTGTGATGTGTGTCCTCAACAAACGGACTTGAACCTTTCGTTTCATGCAGTACTTCTGGAACACTCTTTTTGAAGATTCTGCATGCGGATATTTGGATAGCTTTGAGGATTTCATTGGAAACGGGCTTACATGTAAAAATTAGACAGCAGCATTCTCAGAAACTTCTTTGTGGTGTCTGCATTCAAGTCACAGAATTGAACTTCCCCTCACATAGAGCAGTTGTGCAGCACTCTATTTGTAGTATCTCGAAGTGGACATTTGGAGGGCTTTGTAGCCTATCTGGAAAAAGGAAATATCTTCCCATGAATGCGAGATAGAAGTAATCTCAGAAACATGTTTATGCTGTATCTACTCAACTAACTGTGCTGAACATTTCTATTGATAGAGCAGTTTTGAGACACTCTTCTTTTGAAATCTGCAAGTGGATATTTGGATAGATTTGAGGATTTCGTTGGAAACGGGATTATATATAAAAAGTAGACAGCAGCATTCTCAGAAACTTCTTTGTGATGTTTGCATCCAGCTCTCAGAGTTGAACATTCCCTTTCATAGAGTAGGTTTGAAACCCTCTTTTTATAGTGTCTGGAAGCGGGCATTTGGAGCGCTTTCAGGCCTATGCTTAAAATAGGAAATATCTACCTACAGAAACTAGACAGAAGCATTCTGAGAATCACGTTTGTGATGTGGGTACTCAACTAACAGTGTTGATCCATTCTTTTGATACAGCAGTTTTGAACCACACTTTTTGTAGAATCTGCAAGAGGATATTTGGATAGCTGTGAGGATTTCGTTGGAAACGGGAATGTCTTCAAAGAAAATCTAGACAGAAGCATTCTCAGAAACACCTTCGTGATGTTTGCAATCAAGTCACAGAGTTGAACCTTCCGTTTCATAGAGCAGGTTGGAAACACTCTTATTGTAGTATCTGGAAGTGGACATTTGGAGCGCTTTCAGGCCTATGGTGAAAAAGGAAATATCTTCCCATAAAAACGACATAGAAGCTATCTCAGGAACTTGTTTATGATGCATCTAATCAACTAACAGTGTTGAACCTTTGTACTGACAGAGCACTTTGAAACACTCTTTTTTTGGAATCTGCAAGTGGATATTTGGATCGCTTTGAGGATTTCGTTGGAAACGGGATGCAATATAAAACGTACACAGCAGCATACTCAGAAAATACTTTGCCATATTTCCATTCAAGTCACAGAGTGGAACATTCCCATTCATAGAGCAGGTTGGAAACACTCTTTTTGGAGTATCTGGAAGTGGACATTTGGAGCGCTTTCTGAACTATGGTGAAAAAGGAAATATCTTCCAATGAAAACAAGACAGAAGCATTCTGAGAAACTTATTTGTGATGTGTGTCCTCAACAAACGGACTTGAACCTTTCGTTTCATGCAGTACTTCTGGAACACTCTTTTTGAAGATTCTGCATGCGGATATTTGGATAGCTTTGAGGATTTCGTTGGAAACGGGCTTACATGTAAAAATTAGACAGCAGCATTCTCAGAAACTTCTTTGTGGTGTCTGCATTCAAGTCACAGAATTGAACATCCCCTCACATAGAGCAGTTGTGCAGCACTCTATTTGTAGTATCTCGAAGTGGACATTTGGAGGGCTTTGTAGCCTATGTGGAAAAAGGAAATATCTTCCCATGAATGCGAGATAGAAGTAATCTCAGAAACATGTTTATGCTGTATCTACTCAACTAACTGTGCTGAACATTTCTATTGATAGAGCAGTTTTGAGACACTCTTCTTTTGGAATCTGCAAGTGGATATTTGGATAGATTTGAGGATTTCGTTGGAAACGGGATTATATATAAAAAGTAGACAGCAAGCATTATCAGAAACTTCTTTGTGATGTTTGCATCCAGCTCTCAGAGTTGAACATTCCCTTTCATAGAGTAGGTTTGAAACCCTCTTTTTATAGTGTCTGGAAGCGGGCATTTGGAGCGCTTTCAGGCCTATGCTTAAAATAGGAAATATCTACCTACAGGAACTAGACAGAAGCATTCTGAGAATCACGTTTGTGATGTGGGTACTCAACTAACAGAGTTGATCCATTCTTTTGATACAGCAGTTTTGAACCACACTTTTTGTAGAATCTGCAAGAGGATATTTGGATAGCTGTGAGGATTTCGTTGGAAACGGGAATGTCTTCAAAGAAAATCTAGACAGAAGCATTCTCAGAAACACCTTCGTTATGTTTGCAATCAAGTCACAGAGTTGAACCTTCCGTTTCATAGAGCAGGTTGGAAACACTCTTATTGTAGTATCTGGAAGTGGACATTTGGAGCGCTTTCAGGCCTATGGTGAAAAAGGAAATATCTTCCCATAAAAACGACATAGAAGCTATCTCAGGAACTTGTTTATGATGCATCTAATCAACTAACAGTGTTGAACCTTTGCACTGACAGAGCAGTTTGAAACACTCTTTTTTTGGAATCTGCAAGTGGATATTTGGATCGCTATGAGGATTTCGTTGGAAACGGGATGCAATATAAAACGTACACAGCAGCATACTCAGAAAATACTTTGCCATATTTCCATTCAAGTCACAGAGTGGAACATTCCCATTCATAGAGCAGGTTGGAAACACTCTTTTTGGAGTATCTGGAAGTGGACATTTGGAGCGCTTTCTGAACTATGGTGAAAAAGGAAATATCTTCCAATGAAAACAAGACAGAAGCATTCTGAGAAACTTATTTGTGATGTGTGTCCTCAACAAACGGACTTGAACCTTTCGTTTCATGCAGTACTTCTGGAACACTCTTTTTGAAGATTCTGCATGCGGATATTTGGATAGCTTTGAGGATTTCGTTGGAAACGGGCTTACATGTAAAAATTAGACAGCAGCATTCTCAGAAACTTCTTTGTGGTGTCTGCATTCAAGTCACAGAATTGAACTTCCCCTCACATAGAGCAGTTGTGCAGCACTCTATTTGTAGTATCTGGAAGTGGACATTTGGAGGGCTTTGTAGCCTATCTGGAAAAAGGAAATATCTTCCCATGAATGCGAGATAGAAGTAATCTCAGAAACATGTTTATGCTGTATCTACTCAACTAACTGTGCTGAACATTTCTATTGATAGAGCAGTTTTGAGACACTCTTCTTTTGGAATCTGCAAGTGGATATTTGGATAGATTTGAGGATTTCGTTGGAAACGGGATTATATATAAAAAGTAGACAGCAGCATTCTCAGAAACTTCTTTGTGATGTTTGCATCCAGCTCTCAGAGTTGAACATTCCCTTTCATAGAGTAGGTTTGAAACCCTCTTTTTATAGTGTCTGGAAGCGGGCATTTGGAGCGCTTTCAGGCCTATGCTTAAAATAGGAAATATCTACCTACAGAAACTAGACAGAAGCATTCTGAGAATCACGTTTGTGATGTGGGTACTCAACTAACAGTGTTGATCCATTCTTTTGATACAGCAGTTTTGAACCACACTTTTTGTAGAATCTGCAAGAGGATATTTGGATAGCTGTGAGGATTTCGTTGGAAACGGGCATGTCTTCAAAGAAAATCTAGACAGAAGCATTCTCAGAACCTTGATTGTGATGTGTGTTCTCCACTAACAGAGTTGAACCTTTCTTTTGACAGAACTGTTCTGAAACATTCTTTTTATAGAATCTGGAAGTGGATATTTGGAAAGCTTTGAGGATTTCGTTGGAAACGGGAATATCTTCAAATCAAATCTAGCCAGAAGCATTCTAAGAAACAGCTTAGGGATGTTTACATTCAAGTCACAGAGTTGAACATTCCCTTTCACAGAGCAGGTTTGAAACAATCTTCTCGTACTATCTGGCAGTGGACATTTTGAGCTCTTTGGGGCCTATGCTGAAAAAGGAAATATCTTCCGACAAAAACTAGACAGAAGCATTCGCAGAATCACGTTTGTGATGTGTGCACTCAACTGTCAGAATTGAACCTTGGTTTGGAGAGAGCACTTTTGAAACACTCTTTTTGTAGAATCTGCAGGTGGATATTTGGCTAGCTTTGAGGATTTCGTTGGAAACGGTAATGTCTTCAAAGAAAATCTAGACAGAAACATTCTCAGAAACACCTTCGTGATGTTTGCAATCAAGTCACAGAGTTGAACCTTCCGTTTCATAGAGCAGGTTGGAAACACTCTTTTTGTAGTATCTGGAAGTGGACATTTGGAGCGCTTTCAGGCCTATGGTGAAAAAGGAAATATCTTCCCATAAAAACGACATAGAAGCTATCTCAGGAACTTGTTTATGATGCATCTAATCAACTAACAGTGTTGAACCTTTGTACTGACAGAGCAGTTTGAAACACTCTTTTTTTGGAATCTGCAAGTGGATATTTGGATCGCTTTGAGGATTTCGTTGGAAACGGGATGCAATATAAAACGTACACAGCAGCATACTCAGAAAATACTTTGCCATATTTCCATTCAAGTCACAGAGTGGAACATTCCCATTCATAGAGCAGGTTGGAAACACTCTTTTTGGAGTATCTGGAAGTGGACATTTGGAGCGCTTTCTGAACTATGGTGAAAAAGGAAATATCTTCCAATGAAAACAAGACAGAAGCATTCTGAGAAACTTATTTGTGATGTGTGTCCTCAACAAACGGACTTGAACCTTTCGTTTCATGCAGTACTTCTGGAACACTCTTTTTGAAGATTCTGCATGCGGATATTTGGATAGCTTTGAGGATTTCGTTGGAAACGGGCTTACATGTAAAAATTAGACAGCAGAATTCTCAGAAACTTCTTTGTGGTGTCTGCATTCAAGTCACAGAATTGAACTTCCCCTCACATAGAGCAGTTGTGCAGCACTCTATTTGTAGTATCTGGAAATGGACATTTGGAGGGCTTTGTAGCCTATCTGGAAAAAGGAAATATCTTCCCATGAATGCGAGATAGAAGTAATCTCAGAAACATGTTTATGCTGTATCTACTCAACTAACTGTGCTGAACATTTCTATTGATAGAGCAGTTTTGAGACACTCTTCTTTTGGAATCTGCAAGTGGATATTTGGATAGATTTGAGGATTTCGTTGGAAACGGGATTATATATAAAAAGTAGACAGCAGCATTCTCAGAAACTTCTTTGTGATGTTTGCATCCAGCTCTCAGAGTTGAACATTCCCTTTCATAGAGTAGGTTTGAAACCCTCTTTTTATAGTGTCTGGAAGCGGGCATTTGGAGCGCTTTCAGGCCTATGCTTAAAATAGGAAATATCTACCTACAGAAACTAGACAGAAGCATTCTGAGAATCACGTTTGTGATGTGGGTACTCAACTAACAGTGTTGATCCATTCTTTTGATACAGCAGTTTTGAACCACACTTTTTGTAGAATCTGCAAGAGGATATTTGGATAGCTGTGAGGATTTCGTTGGAAACGGGAATGTCTTCAAAGAAAATCTAGACAAAAGCATTCTCAGAAACACCTTCGTGATGTTTGCAATCAAGTCACAGAGTTGAACCTTCCGTTTCATAGAGCAGGTTGGAAACACTCTTATTGTAGTATCTGGAAGTGGACATTTGGAGCGCTTTCAGGCCTATGGTGAAAAAGGAAATATCTTCCCATAAAAACGACATAGAAGCTATCTCAGGAACTTGTTTATGATGCATCTAATCAACTAACAGTGTTGAACCTTTGTACTGACAGAGCAGTTTGAAACACTCTTTTTTTGGAATCTGCAAGTGGATATTTGGATCGCTTTGAGGATTTCGTTGGAAACGGGATGCAATATAAATCGTACACAGCAGCATACTCAGAAAATACTTTGCCATATTTCCATTCAAGTCACAGAGTGGAACATTCCCATTCATAGAGCAGGTTGGAAACACTCTTTTTGGAGTATCTGGAAGTGGACATTTGGAGCGCTTTCTGAACTATGGTGAAAAAGGAAATATCTTCCAATGAAAACAAGACAGAAGCATTCTGAGAAACTTATTTGTGATGTGTGTCCTCAACAAACGGACTTGAACCTTTCGTTTCATGCAGTACTTCTGGAACACTCTTTTTGAAGATTCTGCATGCGGATATTTGGATAGCTTTGAGGATTTCGTTGGAAACGGGCTTACATGTAAAAATTAGACAGCAGCATTCTCAGTAAACTTCTTTGTGGTGTCTGCATTCAAGTCACAGAATTGAACTTCCCCTCACATAGAGCAGTTGTGCAGCACTCTATTTGTAGTATCTGGAAGTGGACATTTGGAGGGCTTTGTAGCCTATCTGGAAAAAGGAAATATCTTCCCATGAATGCGAGATAGAAGTAATCTCAGAAACATGTTTATGCTGTATCTACTCAACTAACTGTGCTGAACATTTCTATTGATAGAGCAGTTTTGAGACACTCTTCTTTTGGAATCTGCAAGTGGATATTTGGATAGATTTGAGGATTTCGTTGGAAACGGGATTATATATCAAAAGTAGACAGCAGCATTCTCAGAAACTTCTTTGTGATGTTTGCATCCAGCTCTCAGAGTTGAACATTCCCTTTCATAGAGTAGGTTTGAAACCCTCTTTTTATAGTGTCTGGAAGCGGGCATTTGGAGCGCTTTCAGGCCTATGCTGAAAAAGGAAATATCTACCTATAGAAACTAGACAGAAGCATTCTGAGAATCACGTTTGTGATGTGGGTACTCAACTAACAGTGTTGATCCATTCTTTTGATACAGCAGTTTTGAACCACACTTTTTGTAGAATCTGCAAGTGGATATTTGGATAGCTGTGAGGATTTCGTTGGAAACGGGAATGTGCTTCATAGAAAATTTAGACAGAAGCATTCTCAGAACCTTGATTGTGATGTGTGTTCTCCACTAACAGAGTTGAACCTTTCTTTTGACAGAACTGTTCTGAAACATTCTTTTTATAGAATCTGGAAGTGCATATTTGGAAAGCTTTGAGGACTTCGTTTGAAACGGGAATATCTTCAAATCAAATCTAGCCAGAAGCATTCTAAGAAACATCTTAGGGATGTTTACATTCAAGTCACAGAGTTGAACATTCCCTTTCACAGAGCAGGTTTGAAACAATCTTCTCGTACTATCTGGCAGTGGACATTTTGAGCTCCTTGGGGCCTATGCTGAAAAAGGAAATATCTTCCGACAAAAACTAGACAGAAGCATTCGCAGAATCACGTTTGTGATGTGTGCACTCAACTGTCAGAATTGAACCTTGGTTTGGACAGAGCACTTTTGAAACACTCTTTTTGTAGAATCTGCAGGTGGATATTTGGCTAGCTTTGAGGATTTCGTTGGAAACGGTAATGTCTTCAAAGAAAATCTAGACAGAAGCATTCTCAGAAACACCTTCGTGATGTTTGCAATCAAGTCACAGAGTTGAACCTTCCGTTTCATAGAGCAGGTTGGAAACACTCTTTTTGTAGTATCTGGAAGTGGACATTTGGAGCGCTTTCAGGCCTATGGTGAAAAAGGAAATATCTTCCCATAAAAACGACATAGAATCTATATCAGGAACTTGTTTATGATGCATCTAATCAACTAACAGTGTTGAACCTTTGTACTGACAGAGCAGTTTGAAACACTCTTTTTTTGGAATCTGCAAGTGGATATTTGGATCGCTTTGAGGATTTCGTTGGAAACGGGATGCAATATAAAACGTACACAGCAGCATACTCAGAAAATACTTTGCCATATTTCCATTCAAGTCACAGAGTGGAACATTCCCATTCATAGAGCAGGTTTGAAACACTCTTTTTGGAGTATCTGGAAGTGGACATTTGGAGCGCTTTCTGAACTATGGTGAAAAAGGAAATATCTTCCAATGAAAACAAGACAGAAGCATTCTGAGAAACTTATTTGTGATGCATGTCCTCAACTAACGGACTCGAACCTTTCGTTTCATGCAGTACTTCTGGAACACTCTTTTTGAAGATTCTGCATGCGGATATTTGGATAGCTTTGAGGATTTCGTTGGAAACGGGCTTACATATAAAAATTAGACAGCAGCATTCTCAGAAACTTCTTTGTGGTGTCTGCATTCAAGTCACAGAATTGAACATCCCCTCACATTGGGCAGTTGTGCAGCACTCTATTTGTAGTATCTCGATGTGGACATTTGGAGGGCTTTGTAGCCTATCTGGAAAAAGGAAATATCTTCCCATGAATGCGAGATAGAAGTAATCTCAGAAACATGTTTATGCTGTATCTACTCAACTAACTGTGCTGAACATTTCTATTGATAGAGCAGTTTTGAGACACTCTTCTTTTGGAATCTGCAAGTGGATATTTGGCTAGATTTGAGGATTTCGTTGGAAACGGGATTATATATCAAAAGTAGACAGCAGCATTCTCAGAAACTTCTTTGTGATGTTTGCATCCAGCTCTCAGAGTTGAACATTCCCTTTCATAGAGTAGGTTTGAAACCCCCTTTTTATAGTGTCTGGAAGCGGGCATTTGGAGCGCTCTCAGGCCTATGCTGAAAAAGGAAATATCTACCTACAGAAACTAGACAGAAGCATTCTGAGAATCACGTTTGTGATGTGGGTACTCAACTAACAGTGTTGATCCATTCTTTTGATACAGCAGTTTTGAACCACACTTTTTGTAGAATCTGCAAGTGGATATTTGGATAGCTGTGAGGATTTCGTTGGAAACGGGAATGTCTTCATAGAAAATTTAGACAGAAGCATTCTAAGAAACATCTTAGGGATGTGTACATTCAAGTCACAGAGTTGAACATTCCCCTTTCTCAGAGCAGGTTTGAAACAATCTTCTCGTACTATCTGGAAGTGGACATTTTGAGCTCCTTGGGGCCTATGCTGAAAAAGGAAATATCTTCCGACAAAAAGTAGACAGAAGCATTCGCAGAATCACGTTTGTGATGTGTGCACTCAACTGTCAGAATTGAACCTTTGTTTGGACAGAGCACCTTTGAAACACTCTTTTTGTAGAATCTGCAGGTGGATATTTGGCTAGCTTTGAGGATTTCGTTGGAAACGGTAATGTCTTCAAAGAAAATCTAGACAGAAACATCCTCAGAAACACCTTCGTGATGTTTGCAATCAAGTCACAGAGTTGAACCTTCCGTTTCATAGAGCAGGTTGGAAACACTCATTTTGTAGTATCTGGAAGTGGACATTTGGAGCGCTTTCAGGCCTATGGTGTAAAAGGAAATATGTTCCCATAAAAACGACATAGAAGCTATCTCAGGAACTTGTTTATGATGCATCTAATCAACTAACAGTGTTGAACCTTTGTACTGACAGAGCAGTTTGAAACACTCTTTTTTTGGAATCTGCAAGTGGATATTTGGATCGCTTTGAGGATTTCGTTGGAAACGGGATGCAATATAAAACGTACACAGCAGCATACTCAGAAAATACTTTGCCATATTTCCATTCAAGTCACAGAGTGGAACATTCCCATTCATAGAGCAGGTTTGAAACACTCTTTTTGGAGTATCTGGAAGTGGACATTTGGAGCGCTTTCTGAACTATGGTGAAAAAGGAAATATCTTCCAATGAAAACAACACAGAAGCATTCTGAGAAACTTATTTGTGATGTGTGTCCTCAACAAACGGACTTGAACCTTTCGTTTCATGCAGTACTTCTGGAACACTCTTTTTGAAGATTCTGCATGCGGATATTTGGATAGCTTTGAGGATTTCGTTGGAAAAGGGCTTACATGTAAAAATTAGACAGCAGCATTCTCAGAAACTTCTTTGTGGTGTCTGCATTCAAGTCACAGAATTGAACTTCCCCTCACATAGAGCAGTTGTGCAGCACTCTATTTGTAGTATCTCGAAGTGGACATTTGGAGGGCTTTGTAGCCTATCTGGAAAAAGGAAATATCTTCCCATGAATGCGAGATAGAAGTAATCTCAGAAACATGTTTATGCTGTATCTACTCAACTAACTGTGCTGAACATTTCTATTGATAGAGCAGTTTTCAGACACTCTTCTTTTGGAATCTGCAAGTGGATATTTGGATAGATTTGAGGATTTCGTTGGAAACGGGATTATATATAAAAAGTAGACAGCAGCATTCTCAGAAACTTCTTTGTGATGTTTGCATCCAGCTCTCAGAGTTGAACATTCCCTTTCATAGAGTAGGTTTGAAACCCTCTTTTTATAGTGTCTGGAAGCGGGCATTTGGAGCGCTTTCAGGCCTATGCTGAAAAAGGAAATATCTACCTATAGAAACTAGACAGAAAGCATTCTGAGAATCACGTTTGTGATGTGGGTACTCAACTAACAGTGTTGATCCATTCTTTTGATACAGCAGTTTTGAACCACACTTTTTGTAGAATCTGCAAGAGGATATTTGGATAGCTGTGAGGATTTCGTTGGAAACGGGAATGTCTTTAAAGAAAATCTAGACAGAAACATTCTCAGAAACACCTTCATGATGTTTGCAATCAAGTCACAGAGTTGAACCTTCCGTTTCATAGAGCAGGTTGGAAACACTCTTTTTGTAGTATCTGGAAGTGGACATTTGGAGCGCTTTCAGGCCTATGGTGAAAAAGGAAATATCTTCCCATAAAAACGACATAGAAGCTATCTCAGGATCTTGTTTATGATGCATCTAATCAACTAACAGTGTTGAACCTTTGTACTGACAGAGCACTTTGAAACACTCTTTTTTTGGAATCTGCAAGTGGATATTTGGATCGCTTTGAGGATTTCGTTGGAAACGGGATGCAATATAAAACGTACACAGCAGCATACTCAGAAAATACTTTGCCATATTTCCATTCAAGTCACAGAGTGGAACATTCCCATTCATAGAGCAGGTTTGAAACACTCTTTTTGGAGTATCTGGAAGTGGACATTTGGAGCGCTTTCTGAACTATGGTGAAAAAGGAAATATCTTCCAATGAAAACAAGACAGAAGCATTCTGAGAAACTTCTTTGTGATGTGTGTCCTCAACAAACGGACTTGAACCTTTCGTTTCATGCAGTACTTCTGGAACACTCTTTTTGAAGATTCTGCATGCGGATATTTGGATAGCTTTGAGGATTTCGTTGGAAACGGGCTTACATGTAAAAATTAGACAGCAGCATTCTCAGAAACTTCTTTGTGGTGTCTGCATTCAAGTCACAGAATTGAACTTCCCCTCACATAGAGCAGTTGTGCAGCACTCTATTTGTAGTATCTGGAAGTGGACATTTGGAGGGCTTTGTAGCCTATCTGGAAAAAGGAAATATCTTCCCATGAATGCGAGATAGAAGTAATCTCAGAAACATGTTTATGCTGTATCTACTCAACTAACTGTGCTGAACATTTCTATTGATAGAGCAGTTTTGAGACACTCTTCTTTTGGAATCTGCAAGTGGATATTTGGATAGATTTGAGGATTTCGTTGGAAACGGGATTATATATAAAAAGTAGACAGCAGCATTCTCAGAAACTTCTTTGTGATGTTTGCATCCAGCTCTCAGAGTTGAACATTCCCTTTCATAGAGTAGGTTTGAAACCCTCTTTTTATAGTGTCTGGAAGCGGGCATTTGGAGCGCTTTCAGGCCTATGCTTAAAATAGGAAATATCTACCTACAGAAACTAGACAGAAGCATTCTGAGAATCACGTTTGTGATGTGGGTACTCAACTAACAGTGTTGATCCATTCTTTTGATACAGCAGTTTTGAACCACACTTTTTGTAGAATCTGCAAGTGGATATTTGGATAGCTGTGAGGATTTCGTTGGAAACGGTAATGTCTTCAAAGAAAATCTAGACAGAAGCATTCTCAGAAACACCTTCGTGATGTTTGCAATCAAGTCACAGAGTTGAACCTTCCGTTTCATAGAGCAGGTTGGAAACACTCTTATTGTAGTATCTGGAAGTGGACATTTGGAGCGCTTTCAGGCCTATGGTGAAAAAGGAAATATCTTCCCATAAAAACGACATAGAAGCTATCTCAGGAACTTGTTTATGATGCATCTAATCAACTAACAGTGTTGAACCTTTGTACTGACAGAGCAGTTTGAAACACTCTTTTTTTGGAATCTGCAAGTGGATATTTGGATCGCTTTGAGGATTTCGTTGGAAACGGGATGCAATATAAAACGTACACAGCGGCATACTCAGAAAATACTTTGCCATATTTCCATTCAAGTCACAGAGTGGAACATTCCCATTCATAGAGCAGGTTTGAAACACTCTTTTTGGAGTATCTGGAAGTGGACATTTGGAGCGCTTTCTGAACTATGGTGAAAAAGGAAATATCTTCCAATGAAAACAAGACAGAAGCATTCTGAGAAACTTATTTGTGATGTGTGTCCTCAACAAACGGACTTGAACCTTTCGTTTCATGCAGTACTTCTGGAACACTCTTTTTGAAGATTCTGCATGCGGATATTTGGATTGCTTTGAGGATTTCGTTGGAAACGGGCTTACATGTAAAAATTAGACAGCAGCATTCTCAGAAACTTCTTTGTGGTGTCTGCATTCAAGTCACAGAATTGAACATCCCCTCACATAGAGCAGTTGTGCAGCACTCTATTTGTAGTATCTGGAAGTGGACATTTGGAGGGCTTTGTAGCCTATCTGGAAAAAGGAAATATCTTCCCATGAATGCGAGATAGTAGTAATCTCAGAAACATGTTTATGCTGTATCTACTCAACTAACTGTGCTGAACATTTCTATTGATAGAGCAGTTTTGAGACACTCTTCTTTTGGAATCTGGAAGTGGATATTTGGATAGATTTGAGGATTTCGTTGGAAACGGGATTATATATAAAAAGTAGACAGCAGCATTCTCAGAAACTTCTTTGTGATGTTTGCATCCAGCTCTCAGAGTTGAACATTCCCTTTCATAGAGTAGGTTTGAAACCCTCTTTTTATAGTGTCTGGAAGCGGGCATTTGGAGCGCTTTCAGGCCTATGCTGAAAAAGGAAATATCTACCTATAGAAACTAGACAGAAGCATTCTGAGAATCACGTTTGTGATGTGGGTACTCAACTAACAGTGTTGATCCATTCTTTTGATACAGCAGTTTTGAACCACACTTTTTGTAGAATCTGCAAGTGGATATTTGGATAGCTGTGAGGATTTCGTTGGAAACGGGAATGTCTTCATAGAAAATTTAGACAGAAGCATTCTCAGAACCTTGATTGTGATGTGTGTTCTCCACTAACAGAGTTGAACCTTTCTTTTGACAGAACTGTTCTGAAACATTCTTTTTATAGAATCTGGAAGTGGATATTTGGAAAGCTTTGAGGATTTCGTTGGAAACGGGAATATCTTCAAATAAAATCTAGCCAGAAGCATTCTAAGAAACATCTTAGGGATGTTTACATTCAAGTCACAGAGTTGAACATTCCCTTTCACAGAGCAGGTTTGAAACAATCTTCTCGTACTATCTGGCAGTGGACATTTTGAGCTCCTTGGGGCCTATGCTGAAAAAGGAAATATCTTCCGACAAAAACTAGACAGAAGCATTCGCAGAATCACGTTTGTGATGTGTGCACTCAACTGTCAGAATTGAACCTTGGTTTGGACAGAGCACTTTTGAAACACTCTTTTTGTAGAATCTGCAGGTGGATATTTGGCTAGCTTTGAGGATTTCGTTGGAAACGGTAATGTCTTCAAAGAAAATCTAGACAGAAGCATTCTCAGAAACACCTTCGTGATGTTTGCAATCAAGTCACAGAGTTGAACCTTCCGTTTCATAGAGCAGGTTGGAAACACTCTTTTTGTAGTATCTGGAAGTGGACATTTGGAGGGCTTTGTAGCCTATCTGGAAAAAGGAAATATCTTCCCATGAATGCGAGATAGAAGTAATCTCAGAAACATGTTTATGCTGTATCTACTCAACTAACTGTGCTGAACATTTCTATTGATAGAGCAGTTTTGAGACACTCTTCTTTTGGAATCTGCAAGTGGATATTTGGATAGATTTGAGGATTTCGTTGGAAACGGGATTATATATAAAAAGTAGACAGCAGCATTCTCAGAAACTTCTTTGTGATGTTTGCATCCAGCTCTCAGAGTTGAACATTCCCTTTCATAGAGTAGGTTTGAAACCCTCTTTTTATAGTGTCTGGAAGCGGGCATTTGGAGCGCTTTCAGGCCTATGCTGAAAAAGGAAATATCTACCTATAGAAACTAGACAGAAGCATTCTGAGAATCACGTTTGTGATGTGGGTACTCAACTAACAGTGTTGATCCATTCTTTTGATACAGCAGTTTTGAACCACACTTTTTGTAGAATCTGCAAGTGGATATTTGGATAGCTGTGAGGATTTCGTTGGAAACGGGAATGTCTTCATAGAAAATTTAGACAGAAGCATTCTCAGAACCTTGATTGTGATGTGTGTTCTCCACTAACAGAGTTGAACCTTTCTTTTGACAGAACTGTTCTGAAACATTCTTTTTATAGAATCTGGAAGTGGATATTTGGAAAGCTTTGAGGATTTCGTTGGAAACGGGAATATCTTCAAATCAAATTAGCCAGAAGCATTCTAAGAAACATCTTAGGGATGTTTACATTCAAGTCACAGAGTTGAACATTCCCTTTCACAGAGCAGGTTTGAAACAATCTTCTCGTACTATCTGGAAGTGGACATTTTGAGCTCCTTGGGGCCTAGGCTGAAAAAGGAAATATCTTCCGACAAAAACTAGACAGAAGCATTCGCAGAATCACGTTTGTGATGTGTGCACTCAACTGTCAGAATTGAACCTTGGTTTGGACAGAGCACTTTTGAAACACTCTTTTTGTAGAATCTGCAGGTGGATATTTGGCTAGCTTTGAGGATTTCGTTGGAAACGGTAATGTCTTCAAAGAAAATCTAGACAGAAGCATTCTCAGAAACACCTTCGTGATGTTTGCAATCAAGTCACAGAGTTGAACCTTCCGTTTCATAGAGCAGGTTGGAAACACACTTTTTGTAGTATCTAGAAGTGGACATTTGGAGCGCTTTCAGGCCTATGGTGAAAAAGGAAATATCTTCCCATAAAAACGACATAGAAGCTATCTCAGGAACTTGTCTATGATGCATCTAATCAGCTAACAGTGTTGAACCTTTGTACTGACAGAACAGTTTGAAACACTCTTTTTTTGGAATCTGCAAGTGGATATTTGGATCGCTTTGAGGATTTCGTTGGAAACGGGATGCAATATAAAACGTACACAGCAGCATACTCAGAAAATACTTTGCCATATTTCCATTCAAGTCACAGAGTGGAACATTCCCATTCATAGAGCAGGTTGGAAACACTCTTTTTGGAGTATCTGGAAGTGGACATTTGGAGCGCTTTCTGAACTATGGTGAAAAAGGAAATATCTTCCAATGAAAACAAGACAGAAGCATTCTGAGAAACTTATTTGTGATGTGTGTCCTCAACAAACGGACTTGAACCTTTCGTTTCATGCAGTACTTCTGGAACACTCTTTTTGAAGATTCTGCATGCGGATATTTGGATAGCTTTGAGGATTTCGTTGGAAACGGGCTTACATGTAAAAATTAGACAGCAGCATTCTCAGAAACTTCTTTGTGGTGTCTGCATTCAAGTCACAGAATTGAACTTCCCCTCACATAGAGCAGTTGTGCAGCACTCTATTTGTAGTATCTGGAAGTGGACATTTGGAGGGCTTTGTAGCCTATCTGGAAAAAGGAAATATCTTCCCATGAATGCGAGATAGAAGTAATCTCAGAAACATGTTTATGCTGTATCTACTCAACTAACTGTGCTGAACATTTCTATTGATAGAGCAGTTTTGAGACACTCTTCTTTTGGAATCTGCAAGTGGATATTTGGATAGATTTGAGGATTTCGTTGGAAACGGGATTATATATAAAAAGTAGACAGCAGCATTCTCAGAAACTTCTTTGTGATGTTTGCATCCAGCTCTCAGAGTTGAACATTCCCTTTCATAGAGTAGGTTTGAAACCCTCTTTTTATAGTGTCTGGAAGCGGGCATTTGGAGCGCTTTCAGGCCTATGCTGAAAAAGGAAATATCTACCTATAGAAACTAGACAGAAGCATTCTGAGAATCACGTTTGTGATGTGGGTACTCAACTAACAGTGTTGATCCATTCTTTTGATACAGCAGTTTTGAACCACACTTTTTGTAGAATCTGCAAGTGGATATTTGGATAGCTGTGAGGATTTCGTTGGAAACGGGAATGTCTTCATAGAAAATTTAGACAGAAGCATTCTCAGAACCTTGATTGTGATGTGTGTTCTCCACTAACAGAGTTGAACCTTTCTTTTGACAGAAATGTTCTGAAACATTCTTTTTATAGAATCTGGAAGTGGATATTTGGAAAGCTTTGAGGATTTCATTGGAAACGGGAATATCTTCAAATAAAATCTAGCCAGAAGCATTCTAAGAAACATCTTAGGGATGTTTACATTCAAGTCACAGAGTTGAACATTCCCTTTCACAGAGCAGGTTTGAAACAATCTTCTCGTACTATCTGGCAGTGGACATTTTGAGCTCCTTGGGGCCTATGCTGAAAAAGGAAATATCTTCCGACAAAAACTAGACAGAAGCATTCGCAGAATCACGTTTGTGATGTGTGCACTCAACTGTCAGAATTGAACCTTGGTTTGGACAGAGCACTTTTGAAACACTCTTTTTGTAGAATCTGCAGGTGGATATTTGGCTAGCTTTGAGGATTTCGTTGGAAACGGTAATGTCTTCAAAGAAAATCTAGACAGAAGCATTCTCAGAAACACCTTCGTGATGTTTGCAATCAAGTCACAGAGTTGAACCTTCCGTTTCATAGAGCAGGTTGGAAACACTCTTTTTGTAGTATCTGGAAGTGGACATTTGGAGGGCTTTGTAGCCTATGTGGAAAAAGGAAATATCTTCCCATGAATGCGAGATAGAAGTAATCTCAGAAACATGTTTATGCTGTATCTACTCAACTAACTGTGCTGAACATTTCTATTGATAGAGCAGTTTTGAGACACTCTTCTTTTGGAATCTGCAAGTGGATATTTGGAGAGATTTGAGGATTTCGTTGGAAACGGGATTATATATAAAAAGTAGACAGCAGCATTCTCAGAAACTTCTTTGTGATGTTTGCATCCAGCTCTCAGAGTTGAACATTCCCTTTCATAGAGTAGGTTTGAAACCCTCTTTTTATAGTGTCTGGAAGCGGGCATTTGGAGCGCTTTCAGGCCTATGCTTAAAATAGGAAATATCTACCTACAGAAACTAGACAGAAGCATTCTGAGAATCTCGTTTGTGATGTGGGTACTCAACTAACAGTGTTGATCCATTCTTTTGATACAGCAGTTTTGAACCACACTTTTTGTAGAATCTGCAAGAGGATATTTGGATAGCTGTGAGGATTTCGTTGGAAACGGGAATGTCTTCAAAGAAAATGCTAGACAGAAGCATTCTCAGAACCTTGATTGTGATGTGTGTTCTCCACTAACAGAGTTGAACCTTTCTTTTGACAGAACTGTTCTGAAACATTCTTTTTATAGAATCTGGAAGTGGATATTTGGAAAGCTTTGAGGATTTCGTTGGAAACGGGAATATCTTCAAATCAAATCTAGCCAGAAGCATTCTAAGAAACATCTTAGGGATGTTTACATTCAAGTCACAGAGTTGAACATTCCCTTTCACAGAGCAGGTTTGAAACAATCTTCTCGTACTATCTGGCAGTGGACATTTTGAGCTCCTTGGGGCCTATGCTGAAAAAGGAAATATCTTCCGACAAAAACTAGACAGAAGCATTCGCAGAATCACGTTTGTGATGTGTGCACTCAATTGTCAGAATTGAACCTTGGTTTGGACAGAGCACTTTTGAAACACTCTTTTTGTAGAATCTGCAGGTGGATATTTGGCTAGCTTTGAGGATTTCGTTGGAAACGGTAATGTCTTCAAAGAAAATCTAGACAGAAGCATTCTCAGAAACACCTTCGTGATGTTTGCAATCAAGTCACAGAGTTGAACCTTCCGTTTCATAGAGCAGGTTGGAAACACTCTTTTTGTAGTATCTGGAAGTGGACATTTGGAGGGCTTTGTAGCCTATGTGGAAAAAGGAAATATCTTCCCATGAATGCGAGATAGAAGTAATCTCAGAAACATGTTTATGCTGTATCTACTCAACTAACTGTGCTGAACATTTCTATTGATAGAGCAGTTTTGAGACACTCTTCTTTTGGAATCTGCAAGTGGATATTTGGAGAGATTTGAGGATTTCGTTGGAAACGGGATTATATATAAAAAGTAGACAGCAGCATTCTCAGAAACTTCTTTGTGATGTTTGCATCCAGCTCTCAGAGTTGAACATTCCCTTTCATAGAGTAGGTTTGAAACCCTCTTTTTATAGTGTCTGGAAGCGGGCATTTGGAGCGCTTTCAGGCCTATGCTTAAAATAGGAAATATCTACCTACAGAAACTAGACAGAAGCATTCTGAGAATCTCGTTTGTGATGTGGGTACTCAACTAACAGTGTTGATCCATTCTTTTGATACAGCAGTTTTGAACCACACTTTTTGTAGAATCTGCAAGAGGATATTTGGATAGCTGTGAGGATTTCGTTGGAAACGGGAATGTCTTCAAAGAAAATCTAGACAGAAACATTCTCAGAAACACCTTCGTGATGTTTGCAATCAAGTCACAGAGTTGAACCTTCCGTTTCATAGAGCAGGTTGGAAACACTCTTATTGTAGTATCTGGAAGTGGACATTTGGAGCGCTTTCAGGCCTATGGTGAAAAAGGAAATATCTTCCCATAAAAACGACATAGAAGCTATCTCAGGAACTTGTTTGTGATGCATCTAATCAACTAACAGTGTTGAACCTTTGTACTGACAGAGCAGTCTGAAACACTCTTTTTTTGGAATCTGCAAGTGGATATTTGGATCGCTTTGAGGATTTCGTTGGAAACGGGATGCAATATAAAACGTACACAGCGGCATACTCAGAAAATACTTTGCCATATTTCCATTCAAGTCACAGAGTGGAACATTCCCATTCATGGAGCAGGTTTGAAACACTCTTTTTGGAGTATCTGGAAGTGGACATTTGGAGCGCTTTCTGAACTATGGTGAAAAAGGAAATATCTTCCAATGAAAACAAGACAGAAGCATTCTGAGAAACTTATTTGTGATGTGTGTCCTCAACAAACGGACTTGAACCTTTCGTTTCATGCAGTACTTCTGGAACACTCTTTTTGAAGATTCTGCATGCGGATATTTGGATTGCTTTGAGGATTTCGTTGGAAACGGGCTTACATGTAAAAATTAGACAGCAGCATTCTCAGAAACTTCTTTGTGGTGTCTGCATTCAAGTCACAGAATTGAACTTCCCCTCACATAGAGCAGTTGTGCAGCACTCTATTTGTAGTATCTGGAAGTGGACATTTGGAGGGCTTTGTAGCCTATCTGGAAAAAGGAAATATCTTCCCATGAATGCGAGATAGAAGTAATCTCAGAAACATGTTTATGCTGTATCTACTCAACTAACTGTGCTGAACATTTCTATTGATAGAGCAGTTTTGAGACACTCTTCTTTTGGAATCTGCAAGTGGATATTTGGATAGATTTGAGGATTTCGTTGGAAACGGGATTATATATAAAAAGTAGACAGCAGCATTCTCAGAAACTTCTTTGTGATGTTTGCATCCAGCTCTCAGAGTTGAACATTCCCTTTCATAGAGTAGGTTTGAAACCCTCTTTTTATAGTGTCTGGAAGCGGGCATTTGGAGCGCTTTCAGGCCTATGCTGAAAAAGGAAATATCTACCTATAGAAACTAGACAGAAGCATTCTGAGAATCACGTTTGTGATGTGGGTACTCAACTAACAGTGTTGATCCATTCTTTTGATACAGCAGTTTTGAACCACCCTTTTTGTAGAATCTGCAAGTGGATATTTGGATAGCTGTGAGGATTTCGTTGGAAACGGGAATGTCTTCATAGAAAATTTAGACAGAAGCATTCTCAGAACCTGGATTGTGATGTGTGTTCTCCACTAACAGAGTTGAACCTTTCTTTGGACAGAACTGTTTTGAAACATTCTTTTTATAGAATCTGTAAGTGGATAGTTGGAAAGCTTTGAGGATTTCGTTGGAAACGGGAATATCTTCAAGTAAAATCTAGCCAGAAGCATTCTAAGAAACATCTTAGGGATGTTTACATTCAAGTCACAGAGTTGAACATTCCCTTTCACAGAGCAGGTTTGAAACAATCTTCTCGTACTATCTGGCAGTGGACATTTTGAGCTCCTTGGGGCCTATGCTGAAAAAGGAAATATCTTCCGACAAAAACTAGACAGAAGCATTCGCAGAATCACGTTTGTGATGTGTGCACTCAACTGTCAGAATTGAACCTTGGTTTGGAGAGAGCACTCTTGAAACACTCTTTTTGTAGAATCTGCAGGTGGATATTTGGCTAGCTTTGAGGATTTCGTTGGAAACGGGAATGTCTTCAAAGAAAATCTAGACAGAAGCATTCTCAGAAACACCTTCGTGATGTTTGCAATCAAGTCACAGAGTTGAACCTTCCGTTTCATAGAGCAGGTTGGAAACACTCTTTTTGTAGTATCTGGAAGTGGACATTTGGAGTGCTTTCAGGCCTATGGTGAAAAAGGAAATATCTTCCCATAAAAACGACATAGAAGCTATCTCAGGAACTTGTTTATGATGCATCTAATCAACTAACAGTGTTGAACCTTTGTACTGACAGAGCAGTTTGAAACACTCTTTTTTTGGAATCTGCAAGTGGATATTTGGATCGCTTTGAGGATTTCGTTGGAAACGGGATGCAATATAAAACGTACACAGCAGCATACTCAGAAAATACTTTGCCATATTTCCATTCAAGTCACAGAGTGGAACATTCCCATTCATAGAGCAGGTTGGAAACACTCTTTTTGGAGTATCTGGAAGTGGACATTTGGAGCGCTTTCTGAACTATGGTGAAAAAGGAAATATCTTCCAATGAAAACAAGACAGAAGCATTCTGAGAAACTTATTTGTGATGTGTGTCCTCAACAAACGGACTTGAACCTTTCGTTTCATGCAGTACTTCTGGAACACTCTTTTTGAAGATTCTGCATGCGGATATTTGGATAGCTTTGAGGATTTCGTTGGAAACGGGCTTACATGTAAAAATTAGACAGCAGCATTCTCAGAAACTTCTTTGTGGTGTCTGCATTCAAGTCACAGAATTGAACTTCCCCTCACATAGAGCAGTTGTGCAGCACTCTATTTGTAGTATCTGGAAGTGGACATTTGGAGGGCTTTGTAGCCTATCTGGAAAAAGGAAATATCTTCCCATGAATGCGAGATAGAAGTAATCTCAGAAACATGTTTATGCTGTATCTACTCAACTAACTGTGCTGAACATTTCTATTGATAGAGCAGTTTTGAGACACTCTTCTTTTGGAATCTGCAAGTGGATATTTGGATAGATTTGAGGATTTCGTTGGAAACGGGATTATATATAAAAAGTAGACAGCAGCATTCTCAGAAACTTCTTTGTGATGTTTGCATCCAGCTCTCAGAGTTGAGCATTCCCTTTCATAGAGTAGGTTTGAAACCCTCTTTTTATAGTGTCTGGAAGCGGGCATTTGGAGCGCTTTCAGGCCTATGCTTAAAATAGGAAATATCTACCTACAGAAACTAGACAGAAGCATTCTGAGAATCACGTTTGTGATGTGGGTACTCAACTAACAGTGTTGATCCATTCTTTTGATACAGCAGTTTTGAACCACACTTTTTGTAGAATCTGCAAGTGGATATTTGGATAGCTGTGAGGATTTCGTTGGAAACGGGAATGTCTTCATAGAAAATTTAGACAGAAGCATTCTCAGAACCTTGAATAGTGATGTGTGTTCTCCACTAACAGAGTTGAACCTTTCTTTTGACAGAACTGTTCTGAAACATTCTTTTTATAGAATCTGGAAGTGGATATTTGGAAAGCTTTGAGGATTTCGTTGGAAACGGGAATATCTTCAAATAAAATCTAGCCAGAAAGCATTCTAAGAAACATCTTAGGGATGTTTACATTCAAGTCACAGAGTTGAACATTCCCTTTCACAGAGCAGGTTTGAAACAATCTTCTCGTACTATCTGGCAGTGGACATTTTGAGCTCTTTGGGGCCTATGCTGAAAAAGGAAATATCTTCCGACAAAAACTAGACAGAGCATTCGCAGAATCACGTTTGTGATGTGTGCACTCAACTGTCAGAATTGAACCTTGGTTTGGACAGAGCACTTTTGAAACACTCTTTTTGTAGAATCTGCAGGTGGATATTTGGCTAGCTTTGAGGATTTCGTTGGAAACGGTAATGTCTTCAAAGAAAATCTAGACAGAAGCATTCTCAGAAACACCTTCGTGATGTTTGCAATCAAGTCACAGAGTTGAACCTTCCGTTTCATAGAGCAGGTTGGAAACACTCTTTTTGTAGTATCTGGAAGTGGACATTTGGAGCGCTTTCAGGCCTATGGTGAAAAAGGAAATATCTTCCCATAAAAACGACATAGAAGCTATCTCAGGAACTTGTTTATGATGCATCTAATCAACTAACAGTGTTGAACCTTTGTACTGACAGAGCAGTTTGAAACACTCTTTTTTTGGAATCTGCAAGTGGATATTTGGATCGCTTTGAGGATTTCGTTGGAAACGGGATGCAATATAAAACGTACACAGCAGCATACTCAGAAAATACTTTGCCATATTTCCATTCAAGTCACAGAGTGGAACATTCCCATTCATAGAGCAGGTTGGAAACACTCTTTTTGGAGTATCTGGAAGTGGACATTTGGAGCGCTTTCTGAACTATGGTGAAAAAGGAAATATCTTCCAATGAAAACAAGACAGAAGCATTCTGAGAAACTTATTTGTGATGTGTGTCCTCAACAAACGGACTTGAACCTTTCGTTTCATGCAGTACTTCTGGAACACTCTTTTTGAAGATTCTGCATGCGGATATTTGGATAGATTTGAGGATTTCGTTGGAAACGGGCTTACATGTAAAAATTAGACAGCAGCATTCTCAGAAACTTCTTTGTGGTGTCTGCATTCAAGTCACAGAATTGAACATCCCCTCACATAGAGCAGTTGTGCAGCACTCTATTTGTAGTATCTGGAAGTGGACATTTGGAGGGCTTTGTAGCCTATGTGGAAAAAGGAAATATCTTCCCATGAATGCGAGATAGAAGTAATCTCAGAAACATGTTTATGCTGTACCTACTCAACTAACTGTGCTGAACATTTCTATTGATAGAGCAGTTTTGAGACACTCTTCTTTTGGAATCTGCAAGTGGATATTTGGATAGATTTGAGGATTTCGTTGGAAACGGGATTATATATAAAAAGTAGACAGCAGCATTCTCAGAAACTTCTTTGTGATGTTTGCATCCAGCTCTCAGAGTTGAACATTCCCTTTCATAGAGTAGGTTTGAAACCCTCTTTTTATAGTGTCTGGAAGCGGGCATTTGGAGCGCTTTCAGGCCTATGCTGAAAAAGGAAATATCTACCTATAGAAACTAGACAGAAGCATTCTGAGAATCACGTTTGTGATGTGGGTACTCAACTAACAGTGTTGATCCATTCTTTTGATACAGCAGTTTTGAACCACACTTTTTGTAGAATCTGCAAGTGGATATTTGGATAGCTGTGAGGATTTCGTTGGAAACGGGAATGTCTTCATAGAAAATTTAGACAGAAGCATTCTCAGAACCTTGATTGTGATGTGTGTTCTCCACTAACAGAGTTGAACCTTTCTTTTGACAGAACTGTTCTGAAACATTCTTTTTATAGAATCTGGAAGTGGATATTTGGAAAGCTTTGAGGATTTCGTTGGAAACGGGAATATCTTCAAATAAAATCTAGCCAGAAGCATTCTAAGAAACATCTTAGGGATGTTTACATTCAAGTCACAGAGTTGAACATTCCCTTTCACAGAGCAGGTTTGAAACAATCTTCTCGTACTATCTGGCAGTGGACATTTTGAGCTGCCTTGGGGCCTATGCTGAAAAAGGAAATATCTTCTGACAAAAACTAGACAGAAGCATTCGCAGAATCACGTTTGTGATGTGTGCACTCAACTGTCAGAATTGAACCTTGGTTTGGAGAGAGCACTTTTGAAACACTCTTTTTGTAGAATCTGCAGGTGGATATTTGGCTAGCTTTGAGGATTTCGTTGGAAACGGTAATGTCTTCAAAGAAAATCTAGACAGAAGCATTCTCAGAAACACCTTCGTGATGTTTGCAATCAAGTCACAGAGTTGAACCTTCCGTTTCATAGAGCAGGTTGGAAACACACTTTTTGTAGTATCTGGAAGTGGACATTTGGAGGGCTTTGTAGCCTATCTGGAAAAAGGAAATATCTTCCCATGAATGCGAGATAGAAGTAATCTCAGAAACATGTTTATGCTGTATCTACTCAACTAACTGTGCTGAACATTTCTATTGATAGAGCAGTTTTGAGACACTCTTCTTTTGGAATCTGCAAGTGGATATTTGGATAGATTTGAGGATTTCGTTGGAAACGGGATTATATATAAAAAGTAGACAGCAGCATTCTCAGAAACTTCTTTGTGATGTTTGCATCTAGCTCCCAGAGTTGAACATTCCCTTTCATAGAGTAGTTTTGAAACCCTCTTTTTATAGTGTCTGGAAGCGGGCATTTGGAGCGCTTTCAGGCCTATGCTGAAAAAGGAAATATCTACCTATAGAAACTAGACAGAAGCATTCTGAGAATCACGTTTGTGATGTGGGTACTCAACTAACAGTGTTGATCCATTCTTTTGATACAGCAGTTTTGAACCACACTTTTTGTAGAATCTGCAAGTGGATATTTGGATAGCTGTGAGGATTTCGTTGGAAACGGGAATGTCTTCATAGAAAATTTAGACAGAAGCATTCTCAGAACCTTGATTGTGATGTGTGTTCTCCACTAACAGAGTTGAACCTTTCTTTTGACAGAACTGTTCTGAAACATTCTTTTTATAGAATCTGGAAGTGGATATTTGGAAAGCTTTGAGGATTTCGTTGGAAACGGGAATATCTTCCAATCAAATCTAGCCAGAAGCATTCTAAGAAACATCTTAGGGATGTTTACATTCAAGTCACAGAGTTGAACATTCCCTTTCACAGAGCAGGTTTGAAACAATCTTCTCGTACTATCTGGCAGTGGACATTTTGAGCTCCTTGGGGCCTATGCTGAAAAAGGAAATATCTTCCGACAAAAACTAGACAGAAGCATTCGCAGAATCACGTTTGTGATGTGTGCACTCAACTGTCAGAATTGAACCTTGGTTTGGACAGAGCACTTTTGAAACACTCTTTTTGTAGAATCTGCAGGTGGATATTTGGCTAGCTTTGAGGATTTCGTTGGAAACGGTAATGTCTTCAAAGAAAATCTAGACAGAAGCATTCTCAGAAACACCTTCATGATGTTTGCAATCAAGTCACAGAGTTGAACCTTCCGTTTCATAGAGCAGGTTGGAAACACTCTTTTTGTAGTATCTGGAAGTGGACATTTGGAGGGCTTTGTAGCCTATCTGGAAAAAGGAAATATATTCCCATGAATGCGAGATAGAAGTAATCTCAGAAACATGTTTATGCTGTATCTACTCAACTAACTGTGCTGAACATTTCTATTGATAGAGCAGTTTTGAGACACTCTTCTTTTGGAATCTGCAAGTGGATATTTGGATAGATTTGAGGATTTCTTTGGAAACGGGATTATATATAAAAAGTAGACAGCAGCATTCTCAGAAACTTCTTTGTGATGTTTGCATCCAGTTCTCAGAGTTGAACATTCCCTTTCATAGAGTAGGTTTGAAACCCTCTTTTTATAGTGTCTGGAAGCGGGCATTTGGAGCGCTTTCAGGCCTATGCTTAAAATAGGAAATATCTACCTACAGAAACTAGACAGAAGCATTCTGAGAATCACGTTTGTGATGTGGGTACTCAACTAACAGTGTTGATCCATTCTTTTGATACAGCAGTTTTGAACCACACTTTTTGTAGAATCTGCAAGAGGATATTTGGAAAGCTGTGAGGATTTCGTTGGAAACGGGAATGTCTTCAAAGAAAATCTAGACAGAAGCATTCTCAGAAACACCTTCGTGATGTTTGCAATCAAGTCACAGAGTTGAACCTTCCGTTTCATAGAGCAGGTTGGAAACACTCTTTTTGTAGTTTGTGGAAGTGGACATTTGGAGCGCTTTGAGGCCTATGGTGAAAAAGGAAATATCTTCCCATAAAAACGACATAGAAGCTATCTCAGGAACTTGTTTATGATGCATCTAATCAACTAACAGTGTTGAACCTTTGTACTGACAGAGCAGTTTGAAACACTCTTTTTTTGGAATCTGCAAGTGGATATTTGGATCGCTTTGAGGATTTCGTTGGAAACGGGATGCAATATAAAACGTACACAGCAGCATACTCAGAAAATACTTTGCCATATTTCCATTCAAGTCACAGAGTGGAACATTCCCATTCATAGAGCAGGTTGGAAACACTCTTTTTGGAGTATCTGGAAGTGGACATTTGGAGCGCTTTCTGAACTATGGTGAAAAAGGAAATATCTTCCAATGAAAACAAGACAGAAGCATTCTGAGAAACTTATTTGTGATGTGTGTCCTCAACAAACGGACTTGAACCTTTCGTTTCATGCAGTACTTCTGGAACACTCTTTTTGAAGATTCTGCATGCGGATATTTGGATAGCTTTGAGGATTTCGTTGGAAACGGGCTTACATGTAAAAATTAGACAGCAGCATTCTCAGAAACTTCTTTGTGGTGTCTGCATTCAAGTCACAGAATTGAACTTCCCCTCACATAGAGCAGCTGTGCAGCACTCTATTTGTAGTATCTGGAAGTGGACATTTGGAGGGCTTTGTAGCCTATCTGGAAAAAGGAAATATCTTCCCATGAATGCGAGATAGAAGTAATCTCAGAAACATGTTTATGCTGTATCTACTCAACTAACTGTGCTGAACATTTCTATTGATAGAGCAGTTTTGAGACACTCTTCTTTTGGAATCTGCAAGTGGATATTTGGATAGATTTGAGGATTTTCGTTGGAAACGGGATTATATATCAAAAGTAGACAGCAGCATTCTCAGAAACTTCTTTGTGATGTTTGCATCCAGCTCCCAGAGTTGAACATTCCCTTTCATAGAGTAGGTTTGAAACCCTCTTTTTATAGTGTCTGGAAGCGGGCATTTGGAGCGCTTTCAGGCCTATGCTGAAAAAGGAAATATCTACCTATAGAAACTAGACAGAAGCATTCTGAGAATCACGTTTGTGATGTGGGTACTCAACTAACAGTGTTGATCCATTCTTTTGATACAGCAGTTTTGAACCACACTTTTTGTAGAATCTGCAAGTGGATATTTGGATAGCTGTGAGGATTTCGTTGGAAACGGGAATGTCTTCATAGAAAATTTAGACAGAAGCATTCTCAGAACCTTGATTGTGATGTGTGTTCTCCACTAACAGAGCTGAACCTTTCTTTTGACAGAACTGTTCTGAAACATTCTTTTTATAGAATCTGGAAGTGGATATTTGGAAAGCTTTGAGGATTTCGTTGGAAACGGGAATATCTTCAAATCAAATCTAGCCAGAAGCATTCTAAGAAACAGCTTAGGGATGTTTACATTCAAGTCACAGAGTTGAACATTCCCTTTCACAGAGCAGGTTTGAAACAATCTTCTCGTACTATCTGGCAGTGGACATTTTGAGCTCCTTGGGGCCTATGCTGAAAAAGGAAATATCTTCCGACAAAAACTAGACAGAAGCATTCGCAGAATCACGTTTGTGATGTGTGCACTCAACTGTCAGAATTGAACCTTGGTTTGGAGAGAGCACTCTTGAAACACTCTTTTTGTAGAATCTGCAGGTGGATATTTGGCTAGCTTTGAGGATTTCGTTGGAAACGGTAATGTCTTCAAAGAAAATCTAGACAGAAGCATTCTCAGAAACACCTTCGTGATGTTTGCAATCAAGTCACAGAGTTGAACCTTCCGTTTCATAGAGCAGGTTGGAAACACTCTTTTTGTAGTATCTGGAAGTGGACATTTGGAGTGCTTTCAGGCCTATGGTGAAAAAGGAAATATCTTCCCATAAAAACGACATAGAAGCTATCTCAGGAACTTGTTTATGATGCATCTAATCAACTAACAGTGTTGAACCTTTGTACTGACAGAGCAGTTTGAAACACTCTTTTTTTGGAATCTGCAAGTGGATATTTGGATCGCTTTGAGGATTTCGTTGGAAACGGGATGCAATATAAAACGTACACAGCAGCATACTCAGAAAATACTTTGCCATATTTCCATTCAAGTCACAGAGTGGAACATTCCCATTCATAGAGCAGGTTGGAAACACTCTTTTTGGAGTATCTGGAAGTGGACATTTGGAGCGCTTTCTGAACTATGGTGAAAAAGGAAATATCTTCCAATGAAAACAAGACAGAAGCATTCTGAGAAACTTATTTGTGATGTGTGTCCTCAACAAACGGACTTGAACCTTTCGTTTCATGCAGTACTTCTGGAACACTCTTTTTGAAGATTCTGCATGCGGATATTTGGATAGCTTTGAGGATTTCGTTGGAAACGGGCTTACATGTAAAAATTAGACAGCAGCATTCTCAGAAACTTCTTTGTGGTGTCTGCATTCAAGTCACAGAATTGAACTTCCCCTCACATAGAGCAGTTGTGCAGCACTCTATTTGTAGTATCTGGAAGTGGACATTTGGAGGGCTTTGTAGCCTATCTGGAAAAAGGAAATATCTTCCCATGAATGCGAGATAGAAGTAATCTCAGAAACATGTTTATGCTGTATCTACTCAACTAACTGTGCTGAACATTTCTATTGATAGAGCAGTTTTGAGACACTCTTCTTTTGGAATCTGCAAGTGGATATTTGGATAGATTTGAGGATTTCGTTGGAAACGGGATTATATATAAAAAGTAGACAGCAGCATTCTCAGAAACTTCTTTGTGATGTTTGCATCCAGCTCTCAGAGTTGAACATTCCCTTTCATAGAGTAGGTTTGAAACCCTCTTTTTATAGTGTCTGGAAGCGGGCATTTGGAGCGCTTTCAGGCCTATGCTTAAAATAGGAAATATCTACCTACAGAAACTAGACAGAAGCATTCTGAGAATCACGTTTGTGATGTGGGTACTCAACTAACAGTGTTGATCCATTCTTTTGATACAGCAGTTTTGAACCACACTTTTTGTAGAATCTGCAAGAGGATATTTGGATAGCTGTGAGGATTTCGTTGGAAACGGGAATGTCTTCATAGAAAATTTAGACAGGAAGCATTCTCAGAACCTTGATTGTGATGTGTGTTCTCCACTAACAGAGTTGAACCTTTCTTTTGACAGAACTGTTCTGAAACATTCTTGTTATAGAATCTGGAAGTGGATATTTGGAAAGCTTTGAGGATTTCGTTGGAAACGGGAATATCTTCAAATCAAATCTAGCCAGAAGCATTCTAAGAAACATCTTAGGGATGTTTACATTCAAGTCACAGAGTTGAACATTCCCTTTCACAGAGCAGGTTTGAAACAATCTTCTCGTACTATCTGGCAGTGGACATTTTGAGCTCCTTGGGGCCTATGCTGAAAAAGGAAATATCTTCCGACAAAAACTAGACAGAAGCATTCGCAGAATCACGTTTGTGATGTGTGCACTCAACTGTCAGAATTGAACCTTGGTTTGGACAGAGCACTTTTGAAACACTCTTTTTGTAGAATCTGCAGGTGGATATTTGGCTAGCTTTGAGGATTTCGTTGGAAACGGTAATGTCTTCAAAGAAAATCTAGACAGAAGCATTCTCAGAAACACCTTCGTGATGTTTGCAATCAAGTCACAGAGTTGAACCTTCCGTTTCATAGAGCAGGTTGGAAACACTCTTTTTGTAGTATCTGGAAGTGGACATTTGGAGGGCTTTGTAGCCTATGTGGAAAAAGGAAATATCTTCCCATGAATGCGAGATAGAAGTAATCTCAGAAACATGTTTATGCTGTATCTACTCAACTAACTGTGCTGAACATTTCTATTGATAGAGCAGTTTTGAGACACTCTTCTTTTGGAATCTGCAAGTGGATATTTGGAGAGATTTGAGGATTTCGTTGGAAACGGGATTATATATAAAAAGTAGACAGCAGCATTCTCAGAAACTTCTTTGTGATGTTTGCATCCAGCTCTCAGAGTTGAACATTCCCTTTCATAGAGTAGGTTTGAAACCCTCTTTTTATAGTGTCTGGAAGCGGGCATTTGGAGCGCTTTCAGACCTATGCTTAAAATAGGAAATATCTACCTACAGAAACTAGACAGAAGCATTCTGAGAATCTCGTTTGTGATGTGGGTACTCAACTAACAGTGTTGATCCATTCTTTTGATACAGCAGTTTTGAACCACACTTTTTGTAGAATCTGCAAGAGGATATTTGGATAGCTGTGAGGATTTCGTTGGAAACGGGAATGTCTTCAAAGAAAATCTAGACAGAAACATTCTCAGAAACACCTTCGTGATGTTTGCAATCAAGTCACAGAGTTGAACCTTCCGTTTCATAGAGCAGGTTGGAAACACTCTTTTTGTAGTATCTGGAAGTGGACATTTGGAGCGCTTTCAGGCCTATGGTGAAAAAGGAAATATCTTCCCATAAAAACGACATAGAATCTATATCAGGAACTTGTTTATGATGCATCTAATCAACTAACAGTGTTGAACCTTTGTACTGACAGAGCAGTTTGAAACACTCTTTTTTTGGAATCTGCAAGTGGATATTTGGATCGCTTTGAGGATTTCGTTGGAAACGGGATGCAATATAAAACGTACACAGCAGCATACTCAGAAAATACTTTGCCATATTTCCATTCAAGTCACAGAGTGGAACATTCCCATTCATAGAGCAGGTTTGAAACACTCTTTTTGGAGTATCTGGAAGTGGACATTTGGAGCGCTTTCTGAACTATGGTGAAAAAGGAAATATCTTCCAATGAAAACAAGACAGAAGCATTCTGAGAAACTTATTTGTGATGTGTGTCCTCAACAAACGGACTTGAACCTTTCGTTTCATGCAGTACTTCTGGAACACTCTTTTTGAAGATTCTGCATGCGGATATTTGGATAGCTTTGAGGATTTCGTTGGAAACGGGCTTACATGTAAAAATTAGACAGCAGCATTCTCAGAAACTTCTTTGTGGTGTCTGCATTCAAGTCACAGAATTGAACTTCCCCTCACATAGAGCAGTTGTGCAGCACTCTATTTGTAGTATCTGGAAGTGGACATTTGGAGGGCTTTGTAGCCTATCTGGAAAAAGGAAATATCTTCCCATGAATGCGAGATAGAAGTAATCTCAGAAACATGTTTATGCTGTATCTACTCAACTAACTGTGCTGAACATTTCTATTGATAGAGCAGTTTTGAGACCCTCTTCTTTTGGAATCTGCAAGTGGATATTTGGATAGATTTGAGGATTTCGTTGGAAACGGGATTATATATAAAAAGTAGACAGCAGCATTCTCAGAAACTTCTTTGTGATGTTTGCATCCAGCTCTCAGAGTTGAACATTCCCTTTCATAGAGTAGGTTTGAAACCCTCTTTTTATAGTGTCTGGAAGCGGGCATTTGGAGCGCTTTCAGGCCTATGCTGAAAAAGGAAATATCTACCTATAGAAACTAGACAGAAGCATTCTGAGAATCACGTTTGTGATGTGGGTACTCAACTAACAGTGTTGATCCATTCTTTTGATACAGCAGTTTTGAACCACACTTTTTGTAGAATCTGCAAGTGGATATTTGGATAGCTGTGAGGATTTCGTTGGAAACGGGAATGTCTTCATAGAAAATTTAGACAGAAGCATTCTCAGAACCTTGATTGTGAAGTGTGTTCTCCACTAACAGAGTTGAACCTTTCTTTTGACAGAACTGTTCTGAAACATTCTTTTTATAGAATCTGGAAGTGGATATTTGGAAAGCTTTGAGGATTTCGTTGGAAACGGGAATATCTTCAAATCAAATCTAGCCAGAAGCATTCTAAGAAACATCTTAGGGATGTTTACATTCAAGTCACAGAGTTGAACATTCCCTTTCACAGAGCAGGTTTGAAACAATCTTCTCGTACTATCTGGCAGTGGACATTTTGAGCTCCTTGGGGCCTATGCTGAAAAAGGAAATATCTTCCGACAAAAACTAGACAGAAGCATTCGCAGAATCACGTTTGTGATGTGTGCACTCAACTGTCAGAATTGAACCTTGGTTTGGACAGAGCACTTTTGAAACACTCTTTTTGTAGAATCTGCAGGTGGATATTTGGCTAGCTTTGAGGATTTCGTTGGAAACGGTAATGTCTTCAAAGAAAATCTAGACAGAAGCATTCTCAGAAACACCTTCGTGATGTTTGCAATCAAGTCACAGAGTTGAACCTTCCGTTTCATAGAGCAGGTTGGAAACACTCTTTTTGTAGTATCTGGAAGTGGACATTTGGAGGGCTTTGTAGCCTATCTGGAAAAAGGAAATATCTTCCCATGAATGCGAGATAGAAGTAATCTCAGAAACATGTTTATGCTGTATCTACTCAACTAACTGTGCTGAACATTTCTATTGATAGAGCAGTTTTGAGACACTCTTCTTTTGGAATCTGCAAGTGGATATTTGGATAGATTTGAGGATTTCGTTGGAAACGGGATTATATATAAAAAGTAGACAGCAGCATTCTCAGAAACTTCTTTGTGATGTTTGCATCCAGCTCTCAGAGTTGAACATTCCCTTTCATAGAGTAGGTTTGAAACCCTCTTTTTATAGTGTCTGGAAGCGGGCATTTGGAGCGCTTTCAGGCCTATGCTGAAAAAGGAAATATCTACCTATAGAAACTAGACAGAAGCATTCTGAGAATCACGTTTGTGATGTGGGTACTCAACTAACAGTGTTGATCCATTCTTTTGATACAGCAGTTTTGAACCACACTTTTTGTAGAATCTGCAAGTGGATATTTGGATAGCTGTGAGGATTTCGTTGGAAACGGGAATGTCTTCATAGAAAATTTAGACAGAAGCATTCTCAGAACCTTGATTGTGATGTGTGTTCTCCACTAACAGAGTTGAACCTTTCTTTTGACAGAACTGTTCTGAAACATTCTTTTTATAGAATCTGGAAGTGGATATTTGGAAAGCTTTGCGGATTTCGTTGGAAACGGGAATATCTTCAAATAAAATCTAGCCAGAAGCATTCTAAGAAACATCTTAGGGATGTTTACATTCAAGTCACAGAGTTGAACATTCCCTTTCACGGAGCAGGTTTGAAACAATCTTCTCGTACTATCTGGCAGTGGACATTTTGAGCTCTTTGGGGCCTATGCTGAAAAAGGAAATATCTTCCGACAAAAACTAGACAGAAGCATTCGCAGAATCACGTTTGTGATGTGTGCACTCAACTGTCAGAATTGAACCTTGGTTTGGAGAGAGCACTTTTGAAACACTCTTTTTGTAGAATCTGCAGGTGGATATTTGGCTAGCTTTGAGGATTTCGTTGGAAACGGTAATGTCTTCAAAGAAAATCTAGACAGAAGCATTCTCAGAAACACCTTCGTGATGTTTGCAATCAAGTCACAGAGTTGAACCTTCCGTTTCATAGAGCAGGTTGGAAACACTCTTTTTGTAGTATCTGGAAGTGGACATTTGGAGGGCTTTGTAGCCTATCTGGAAAAAGGAAATATCTTCCCATGAATGCGAGATAGAAGTAATCTCAGAAACATGTTTATGCTGTATCTACTCAACTAACTGTGCTGAACATTTCTATTGATAGAGCAGTTTTGAGACACTCTTCTTTTGGAATCTGCAAGTGGATATTTGGATAGATTTGAGGATTTCGTTGGAAACGGGATTATATATAAAAAGTAGACAGCAGCATTCTCAGAAACTTCTTTGTGATGTTTGCATCCAGCTCCCAGAGTTGAACATTCCCTTTCATAGAGTAGGTTTGAAACCCTCTTTTTATAGTGTCTGGAAGCGGGCATTTGGAGCGCTTTCAGGCCTATGCTGAAAAAGGAAATATCTACCTATAGAAACTAGACAGAAGCATTCTGAGAATCACGTTTGTGATGTGGGTACTCAACTAACAGTGTCGATCCATTCTTTTGATACAGCAGTTTTGAACCACACTTTTTGTAGAATCTGCAAGTGGATATTTGGATAGCTGTGAGGATTTCGTTGGAAACGGGAATGTCTTCATAGAAAATTTAGACAGAAGCATTCTCAGAACCTTGATTGTGATGTGTGTTCTCCACTAACAGAGCTGAACCTTTCTTTTGACAGAACTGTTCTGAAACATTCTTTTTATAGAATCTGGAAGTGGATATTTGGAAAGCTTTGAGGATTTCGTTGGAAACGGGAATATCTTCAAATCAAATCTAGCCAGAAGCATTCTAAGAAACAGCTTAGGGATGTTTACATTCAAGTCACAGAGTTGAACATTCCCTTTCACAGAGCAGGTTTGAAACAATCTTCTCGTACTATCTGGCAGTGGACATTTTGAGCTCCTTGGGGCCTATGCTGAAAAAGGAAATATCTTCCGACAAAAACTAGACAGAAGCATTCGCAGAATCACGTTTGTGATGTGTGCACTCAACTGTCAGAATTGAACCTTGGTTTGGAGAGAGCACTTTTGAAACACTCTTTTTGTAGAATCTGCAGGTGGATATTTGGCTAGCTTTGAGGATTTCGTTGGAAACGGTAATGTCTTCAAAGAAAATCTAGACAGAAGCATTCTCAGAAACACCTTCGTGATGTTTGCAATCAAGTCACAGAGTTGAACCTTCCGTTTCATAGAGCAGGTTGGAAACACTCTTTTTGTAGTATCTGGAAGTGGACATTTGGAGGGCTTTGTAGCCTATCTGGAAAAAGGAAATATCTTCCCATGAATGCGAGATAGAAGTAATCTCAGAAACATGTTTATGCTGTATCTACTCAACTAACTGTGCTGAACATTTCTATTGATAGAGCAGTTTTCAGACACTCTTCTTTTGGAATCTGCAAGTGGATATTTGGATAGATTTGAGGATTTCGTTGGAAACGGGATTATATATAAAAAGTAGACAGCAGCATTCTCAGAAACTTCTTTGTGATGTTTGCATCCAGCTCTCAGAGTTGAACATTCCCTTTCATAGAGTAGGTTTGAAACCCTCTTTTTATAGTGTCTGGAAGCGGGCATTTGGAGCGCTTTCAGGCCTATGCTTAAAATAGGAAATATCTACCTACAGAAACTAGACAGAAGCATTCTGAGAATCACGTTTGTGATGTGGGTACTCAACTAACAGTGTTGATCCATTCTTTTGATACAGCAGTTTTGAACCACACTTTTTGTAGAATCTGCAAGAGGATATTTGGATAGCTGTGAGGATTTCGTTGGAAACGGGAATGTCTTCAAAGAAAATCTAGACAGAAGCATTCTCAGAAACACCTTCGTGATGTTTGCAATCAAGTCACAGAGTTGAACCTTCCGTTTCATAGAGCAGGTTGGAAACACTCTTATTGTAGTATCTGGAAGTGGACATTTGGAGCGCTTTCAGGCCTATGGTGAAAAAGGAAATATCTTCCCATAAAAACGACATAGAAGCTATCTCAGGAACTTGTTTATGATGCATCTAATCAACTAACAGTGTTGAACCTTTGTACTGACAGAGCAGTTTGAAACACTCTTTTTTTGGAATCTGAAAGTGGATATTTGGATCGCTTTGAGGATTTCGTTGGAAACGGGATGCAATATAAAACGTACACAGCAGCATACTCAGAAAATACTTTGCCATATTTCCATTCAAGTCACAGAGTGGAACATTCCCATTCATAGAGCAGGTTTGAAACACTCTTTTTGGAGTATCTGGAAGTGGACATTTGGAGCGCTTTCTGAACTATGGTGAAAAAGGAAATATCTTCCAATGAAAACAAGACAGAAGCATTCTGAGAAACTTATTTGTGATGTGTGTCCTCAACAAACGGACTTGAACCTTTCGTTTCATGCAGTACTTCTGGAACACTCTTTTTGAAGATTCTGCATGCGGATATTTGGATAGCTTTGAGGATTTCGTTGGAAACGGGCTTACATGTAAAAATTAGACAGCAGCATTCTCAGAAACTTCTTTGTGGTGTCTGCATTCAAGTCACAGAATTGAACTTCCCCTCACATAGAGCAGTTGTGCAGCACTCTATTTGTAGTATCTGGAAGTGGACATTTGGAGGGCTTTGTAGCCTATCTGGAAAAAGGAAATATCTTCCCATGAATGCGAGATAGAGAAGTAATCTCAGAAACATGTTTATGCTGTATCTACTCAACTAACTGTGCTGAACATTTCTATTGATAGAGCAGTTTTGAGACCCTCTTCTTTTGGAATCTGCAAGTGGATATTTGGATAGATTTGAGGATTTCGTTGGAAACGGGATTATATATAAAAAGTAGACAGCAGCATTCTCAGAAACTTCTTTGTGATGTTTGCATCCAGCTCTCAGAGTTGAACATTCCCTTTCATAGAGTAGGTTTGAAACCCTCTTTTTATAGTGTCTGGAAGCGGGCATTTGGAGCGCTTTCAGGCCTATGCTGAAAAAGGAGATATCTACCTATAGAAACTAGACAGAAGCATTCTGAGAATCACGTTTGTGATGTGGGTACTCAACTAACAGTGTTGATCCATTCTTTTGATACAGCAGTTTTGAACCACACTTTTTGTAGAATCTGCAAGTGGATATTTGGATAGCTGTGAGGATTTCGTTGGAAACGGGAATGTCTTCATAGAAAATTTAGAGAGAAGCATTCTCAGAACCTTGATTGTGATGTGTGTTCTCCACTAACAGAGTTGAACCTTTCTTTTGACAGAACTGTTCTGAAACATTCTTTTTATAGAATCTGGAAGTGGATATTTGGAAAGCTTTGAGGATTTCGTTGGAAACGGGAATATCTTCAAATAAAATCTAGCCAGAAGCATTCTAAGAAACATCTTAGGGATGTTTACATTCAAGTCACAGAGTTGAACATTCCCTTTCACAGAGCAGGTTTGAAACAATCTTCTCGTACTATCTGGCAGTGGACATTTTGAGCTCTTTGGGGCCTATGCTGAAAAAGGAAATATCTTCCAACAAAAACTAGACAGAAGCATTCGCAGAATCACGTTTGTGATGTGTGCACTCAACTGTCAGAATTGAACCTTGGTTTGGACAGAGCACTTTTGAAACACTCTTTTTGTAGAATCTGCAGGTGGATATTTGGCTAGCTTTGAGGATTTCGTTGGAAACGGTAATGTCTTCAAAGAAAATCTAGACAGAAGCATTCTCAGAAACACCTTCGTGATGTTTGCAATCAAGTCACAGAGTTGAACCTTCCGTTTCATAGAGCAGGTTGGAAACACTCTTTTTGTAGTATCTGGAAGTGGACATTTGGAGGGCTTTGTAGCCTATGTGGAAAAAGGAAATATCTTCCCATGAATGCGAGATAGAAGTAATCTCAGAAACATGTTTATGCTGTATCTACTCAACTAACTGTGCTGAACATTTCTATTGATAGAGCAGTTTTGAGACACTCTTCTTTTGGAATCTGCAAGTGGATATTTGGATAGATTTGAGGATTTCCTTGGAAACGGGATTATATATCAAAAGTAGACAACAGCATCCTCAGAAACTTCTTTGTGATGTTTGCATCCAGCTCTCAGAGTTGAACATTCCCTTTCGTGGAGTAGGTTTGAAACCCTCTTTTTATAGTGTCTGGAAGCAGGCATTTGGAGCGCTTTCAGGCCAATGCTGAAAAAGGAAATATCTACCTATAGAAACTAGACAGAAGCATTCTGAGAATCACGTTTGTGATGTGGGTACTCAACTAACAGTGTTGATCCATTCTTTTGATACAGCAGTTTTGAACCACACTTTTTGTAGAATCTGCAAGAGGATATTTGGATAGCTGTGAGGATTTCGTTGGAAACGGGAATGTCTTCAAAGAAAATCTAGACAGAAGCATTCTCAGAAACACCTTTCGTGATGTTTGCAATCAAGTCACAGAGTTGAACCTTCCGTTTCATAGAGCAGGTTGGAAACACTCTTATTGTAGTATCTGGAAGTGGACATTTGGAGCGCTTTCAGGCCTATGGTGAAAAAGGAAATATCTTCCCATAAAAACGACATAGAAGCTATCTCAGGAACTTGTTTATGATGCATCTAATCAACTAACAGTGTTGAACCTTTGTACTGACAGAGCACTTTGAAACACTCTTTTTTTGGAATCTGCAAGTGGATATTTGGATCGCTTTGAGGATTTCGTTGGAAACGGGATGCAATATAAAACGTACACAGCAGCATACTCAGAAAATACTTTGCCATATTTCCATTCAAGTCACAGAGTGGAACATTCCCATTCATAGAGCAGGTTGGAAACACTCTTTTTGGAGTATCTGGAAGTGGACATTTGGAGCGCTTTCTGAACTATGGTGAAAAAGGAAATATCTTCCAATGAAAACAAGACAGAAGCATTCTGAGAAACTTATTTGTGATGTGTGTCCTCAACAAACGGACTTGAACCTTTCGTTTCATGCAGTACTTCTGGAACACTCTTTTTGAAGATTCTGCATGCGGATATTTGGATAGCTTTGAGGATTTCGTTGGAAACGGGCTTACATGTAAAAATTAGACAGCAGCATTCTCAGAAACTTCTTTGTGGTGTCTGCATTCAAGTCACAGAATTGAACTTCCCCTCACATAGAGCAGTTGTGCAGCACTCTATTTGTAGTATCTGGAAGTGGACATTTGGAGGGCTTTGTAGCCTATCTGGAAAAAGGAAATATCTTCCCATGAATGCGAGATAGAAGTAATCTCAGAAACATGTTTATGCTGTATCTACTCAACTAACTGTGCTGAACATTTCTATTGATAGAGCAGTTTTGAGACACTCTTCTTTTGGAATCTGCAAGTGGATATTTGGATAGATTTGAGGATTTCGTTGGAAACGGGATTATATATAAAAAGTAGACAGCAGCATTCTCAGAAACTTCTTTGTGATGTTTGCATCCAGCTCTCAGAGTTGAACATTCCCTTTCATAGAGTAGGTTTGAAACCCTCTTTTTATAGTGTCTGGAAGCGGGCATTTGGAGCGCTTTCAGGCCTATGCTGAAAAAGGAAATATCTACCTATAGAAACTAGACAGAAGCATTCTGAGAATCACGTTTGTGATGTGGGTACTCAACTAACAGTGTTGATCCATTCTTTTGATACAGCAGTTTTGAACCACACTTTTTGTAGAATCTGCAAGTGGATATTTGGATAGCTGTGAGGATTTCGTTGGAAACGGGAATGTCTTCATAGAAAATTTAGACAGAAGCATTCTCAGAACCTTGATTGTGATGTGTGTTCTCCACTAACAGAGTTGAACCTTTCTTTTGACAGAACTGTTCTGAAACATTCTTTTTATAGAATCTGGAAGTGGATATTTGGAAAGCTTTGAGGATTTCGTTGGAAACGGGAATATCTTCAAATCAAATCTAGCCAGAAGCATTCTAAGAAACAGCTTAGGGATGTTTACATTCAAGTCACAGAGTTGAACATTCCCTTTCACAGAGCAGGTTTGAAACAATCTTCTCGTACTATCTGGCAGTGGACATTTTGAGCTCCTTGGGGCCTATGCTGAAAAAGGAAATATCTTCCGACAAAAACTAGACAGAAGCATTCGCAGAATCACGTTTGTGATGTGTGCACTCAACTGTCAGAATTGAACCTTGGTTTGGAGAGAGCACTTTTGAAACACTCTTTTTGTAGAATCTGCAGGTGGATATTTGGCTAGCTTTGAGGATTTCGTTGGAAACGGTAATGTCTTCAAAGAAAATCTAGACAGAAGCATTCTCAGAAACACCTTCGTGATGTTTGCAATCAAGTCACAGAGTTGAACCTTCCGTTTCATAGAGCAGGTTGGAAACACACTTTTTGTAGTATCTGGAAGTGGACATTTGGAGGGCTTTGTAGCCTATCTGGAAAAAGGAAATATCTTCCCATGAATGCGAGATAGAAGTAATCTCAGAAACATGTTTATGCTGTATCTACTCAACTAACTGTGCTGAACATTTCTATTGATAGAGCAGTTTTGAGACACTCTTCTTTTGGAATCTGCAAGTGGATATTTGGATAGATTTGAGGATTTCGTTGGAAACGGGATTATATATAAAAAGTAGACAGCAGCATTCTCAGAAACTTCTTTGTGATGTTTGCATCCAGCTCCCAGAGTTGAACATTCCCTTTCATAGAGTAGGTTTGAAACCCTCTTTTTATAGTGTCTGGAAGCGGGCATTTGGAGCGCTTTCAGGCCTATGCTGAAAAAGGAAATATCTACCTATAGAAACTAGACAGAAGCATTCTGAGAATCACGTTTGTGATGTGGGTACTCAACTAACAGTGTTGATCCATTCTTTTGATACAGCAGTTTTGAACAACACTTTTTGTAGAATCTGCAAGTGGATATTTGGATAGCTGTGAGGATTTCGTTGGAAACGGGAATGTCTTCATAGAAAATTTAGACAGAAGCATTCTCAGAACCTTGATTGTGATGTGTGTTCTCCACTAACAGAGTTGAACCTTTCTTTTGACAGAACTGTTCTGAAACATTCTTTTTATAGAATCTGGAAGTGGATATTTGGAAAGCTTTGAGGATTTCGTTGGAAACGGGAATATCTTCAAATCAAATCTAGCCAGAAGCATTCTAAGAAACATCTTAGGGATGTTTACATTCAAGTCACAGAGTTGAACATTCCCTTTCACAGAGCAGGTTTGAAACAATCTTCTCGTACTATCTGGCAGTGGACATTTTGAGCTCCTTGGGGCCTATGCTGAAAAAGGAAATATCTTCTGACAAAAACTAGACAGAAGCATTCGCAGAATCACGTTTGTGATGTGTGCACTCAACTGTCAGAATTGAACCTTGGTTTGGACAGAGCACTTTTGAAACACTCTTTTTGTAGAATCTGCAGGTGGATATTTGGCTAGCTTTGAGGATTTCGTTGGAAACGGTAATGTCTTCAAAGAAAATCTAGACAGAAGCATTCTCAGAAACACCTTCGTGATGTTTGCAATCAAGTCACAGAGTTGAACCTTCCGTTTCATAGAGCAGGTTGGAAACACTCTTTTTGTAGTATCTGGAAGTGGACATTTGGAGGGCTTTGTAGCCTATCTGGAAAAAGGAAATATCTTCCCATGAATGCGAGATAGAAGTAATCTCAGAAACATGTTTATGCTGTATCTACTCAACTAACTGTGCTGAACATTTCTATTGATAGAGCAGTTTTGAGACACTCTTCTTTTGGAATCTGCAAGTGGATATTTGGATAGATTTGAGGATTTCGTTGGAAACGGGATTATATATAAAAAGTAGACAGCAGCATTCTCAGAAACTTCTTTGTGATGTTTGCATCCAGCTCTCAGAGTTGAACATTCCCTTTCATAGAGTAGGTTTGAAACCCTCTTTTTATAGTGTCTGGAAGCGGGCATTTGGAGCGCTTTCAGGCCTATGCTGAAAAAGGAAATATCTACCTATAGAAACTAGACAGAAGCATTCTGAGAATCACGTTGGTGATGTGGGTACTCAACTAACAGTGTTGATCCATTCTTTTGATACAGCAGTTTTGAACCACACTTTTTGTAGAATCTGCAAGTGGATATTTGGATAGCTGTGAGGATTTTCCTTGGAAACGGGAATGTCTTCATAGAAAATTTAGACAGAAGCATTCTCAGAACCTTGATTGTGATGTGTGTTCTCCACTAACAGAGTTGAACCTTTCTTTTGACAGAACTGTTCTGAAACATTCTTTTTGTAGAATCTGGAAGTGGATATTTGGAAAGCTTTGAGGATTTCGTTGGAAACGGGAATATCTTCAAATAAAATCTAGCCAGAAGCATTCTAAGAAACATCTTAGGGATGTTTACATTCAAGTCACAGAGTTGAACATTCCCTTTCACAGAGCAGGTTTGAAACAATCTTCTCGTACTATCTGGCAGTGGACATTTTGAGCTCCTTGGGGCCTATGCTGAAAAAGGAAATATCTTCCGACAAAAACTAGACAGAAGCATTCGCAGAATCACGTTTGTGATGTGTGCACTCAACTGTCAGAATTGAACCTTGGTTTGGACAGAGCACTTTTGAAACACTCTTTTTGTAGAATCTGCAGGTGGATATTTGGCTAGCTTTGAGGATTTCGTTGGAAACGGTAATGTCTTCAAAGAAAATCTAGACAGAAGCATTCTCAGAAACACCTTCGTGATGTTTGCAATCAAGTCACAGAGTTGAACCTTCCGTTTCATAGAGCAGGTTGGAAACACTCTTTTTGTAGTATCTGGAAGTGGACATTTGGAGGGCTTTGTAGCCTATCTGGAAAAAGGAAATATCTTCCCATGAATGCGAGATAGAAGTAATCTCAGAAACATGTTTATGCTGTATCTACTCAACTAACTGTGCTGAACATTTCTATTGATAGAGCAGTTTTGAGACACTCTTCTTTTGGAATCTGCAAGTGGATATTTGGATAGATTTGAGGATTTCGTTGGAAACGGGATTATATATCAAAAGTAGACAGCAGCATTCTCAGAAACTTCTTTGTGATGTTTGCATCCAGCTCTCAGAGTTGAACATTCCCTTTCATAGAGTAGGTTTGAAACCCTCTTTTTATAGTGTCTGGAAGCGGGCATTTGGAGCGCTTTCAGGCCTATGCTGAAAAAGGAAATATCTACCTATAGAAACTAGACAGAAGCATTCTGAGAATCACGTTTGTGATGTGGGTACTCAACTAACAGTGTTGATCCATTCTTTTGATACAGCAGTTTTGAACCACACCTTTTGTAGAATCTGCAAGTGGATATTTGGATAGCTGTGAGGATTTCGTTGGAAACGGGAATGTCTTCATAGAAAATTTAGACAGAAGCATTCTCAGAACCTTGATTGTGATGTGTGTTCTCCACTAACAGAGTTGAACCTTTCTTTTAACAGAACTGTTCTGAAACATTCTTTTTATAGAATCTGGAAGTGGATATTTGGAAAGCTTTGAGGATTTCGTTGGAAACGGGAATATCTTCAAATAAAATCTAGCCAGAAGCATTCTAAGAAACATCTTAGGGATGTTTACATTCAAGTCACAGAGTTGAACATTCCCTTTCACAGAGCAGGTTTGAAACAATCTTCTCGTACTATCTGGCAGTGGACATTTTGAGCTCCTTGGGGCCTATGCTGAAAAAGGAAATATCTTCCGACAAAAACTAGACAGAAGCATTCGCAGAATCACGTTTGTGATGTGTGCACTCAACTGTCAGAATTGAACCTTGGTTTGGACAGAGCACTTTTGAAACACTCTTTTTGTAGAATCTGCAGGTGGATATTTGGCTAGCTTTGAGGATTTCGTTGGAAACGGTAATGTCTTCAAAGAAAATCTAGACAGAAGCATTCTCAGAAACACCTTCGTGATGTTTGCAATCAAGTCACAGAGTTGAACCTTCCGTTTCATAGAGCAGGTTGGAAACACTCTTTTTGTAGTATCTGGAAGTGGACATTGGGAGGGCTTTGTAGCCTATGTGGAAAAAGGAAATATCTTCCCATGAATGCGAGATAGAAGTAATCTCAGAAACATGTTTATGCTGTATCTACTCAACTAACTGTGCTGAACATTTCTATTGATAGAGCAGTTTTGAGACACTCTTCTTTTGGAATCTGCAAGTGGATATTTGGATAGATTTGAGGATTTCGTTGGAAACGGGATTATATATCAAAAGTAGACAGCAGCATTCTCAGAAACTTCTTTGTGATGTTTGCATCCAGCTCTCAGAGTTGAACATTCCCTTTCATAGAGTAGGTTTGAAACCCTCTTTTTATAGTGTCTGGAAGCGGGCATTTGGAGCGCTTTCAGGCCTATGCTGAAAAAGGAAATATCTACCTATAGAAACTAGACAGAAGCATTCTGAGAATCACGTTTGTGATGTGGGTACTCAACTAACAGTGTTGATCCATTCTTTTGATACAGCAGTTTTGAACCACACTTTTTGTAGAATCTGCAAGTGGATATTTGGATAGCTGTGAGGATTTCGTTGGAAACGGGAATGTCTTCATAGAAAATTTAGACAGAAGCATTCTCAGAACCTTGATTGTGATGTGTGTTCTCCACTAACAGAGTTGAACCTTTCTTTTGACAGAACTGTTCTGAAACATTCTTTTTATAGAATCTGGAAGTGGATATTTGGAAAGCTTTGAGGATTTCGTTGGAAACGGGAATATCTTCAAATCAAATCTAGCCAGAAGCATTCTAAGAAACATCTTAGGGATGTTTACATTCAAGTCACAGAGTTGAACATTCCCTTTCACAGAGCAGGTTTGAAACAATCTTCTCGTACTATCTGGCAGTGGACATTTTGAGCTACTTGGGGCCTATGCTGAAAAAGGAAATATCTTCCGACTAAAACTAGACAGAAGCATTCGCAGAATCACGTTTGTGATGTGTGCACTCAACTGTCAGAATTGAACCTTGGTTTGGACAGAGCACTTTTGAAACACTCTTTTTGTAGAATCTGCAGGTGGATATTTGGCTAGCTTTGAGGATTTCGTTGGAAACGGTAATGTCTTCAAAGAAAATCTAGACAGAAGCATTCTCAGAAACACCTTCGTGATGTTTGCAATCAAGTCACAGAGTTGAACCTTCCGTTTCATAGAGCAGGTTGGAAACACTCTTTTTGTAGTATCTGGAAGTGGACATTGGGAGGGCTTTGTAGCCTATGTGGAAAAAGGAAATATCTTCCCATGAATGCGAGATAGAAGTAATCTCAGAAACATGTTTATGCTGTATCTACTCAACTAACTGTGCTGAACATTTCTATTGATAGAGCAGTTTTGAGACACTCTTCTTTTGGAATCTGCAAGTGGATATTTGGATAGATTTGAGGATTTCGTTGGAAACGGGATTATATATAAAAAGTAGACAGCAGCATTCTCAGAAACTTCTTTGTGATGTTTGCATCCAGCTCTCAGAGTTGAACATTCCCTTTCATAGAGTAGGTTTGAAACCCTCTTTTTATAGTGTCTGGAAGCGGGCATTTGGAGCGCTTTCAGGCCTATGCTGAAAAAGGAAATATCTACCTATAGAAACTAGACAGAAGCATTCTGAGAATCACGTTTGTGATGTGGGTACTCAACTAACAGTGTTGATCCATTCTTTTGATACAGCAGTTTTGAACCACACTTTTTGTAGAATCTGCAAGAGGATATTTGGATAGCTGTGAGGATTTCGTTGGAAACGGGAATGTCTTCATAGAAAATTTAGACAGAAGCATTCTCAGAACCTTGATTGTGATGTGTGTTCTCCACTAACAGGGTTGAACCTTTCTTTTGACAGAACTGTTCTGAAACATTCTTTTTATAGAATCTGGAAGTGGATATTTGGAAAGCTTTGAGGATTTCGTTGGAAACGGGAATATCTTCAAATCAAATCTAGTCAGAAGCATTCTAAGAAACATCTTAGGGATGTTTACATTCAAGTCACAGAGTTGAACATTCCCTTTCACAGAGCAGGTTTGAAACAATCTTCTCGTACTATCTGGCAGTGGACATTTTGAGCTCCTTGGGGCCTATGCTGAAAAAGGAAATATCTTCCGACAAAAACTAGACAGAAGCATTCGCAGAATCACGTTTGTGATGTGTGCACTCAACTGTCAGAATTGAACCTTGGTTTGGACAGAGCACTTTTGAAACACTCTTTTTGTAGAATCTGCAGGTGGATATTTGGCTAGCTTTGAGGATTTCGTTGGAAACGGTAATGTCTTCAAAGAAAATCTAGACAGAAGCATTCTCAGAAACACCTTCGTGATGTTTGCAATCAAGTCACAGAGTTGAACCTTCCGTTTCATAGAGCAGGTTGGAAACACTCTTTTTGTAGTATCTGGAAGTGGACATTTGGAGGGCTTTGTAGCCTATCTGGAAAAAGGAAATATCTTCCCATGAATGCGAGATAGAAGTAATCTCAGAAACATGTTTATGCTGTATCTACTCAACTAACTGTGCTGAACATTTCTATTGATAGAGCAGTTTTGAGACACTCTTCTTTTGGAATCTGCAAGTGGATATTTGGATAGATTTGAGGATTTCGTTGGAAACGGGATTATATATCAAAAGTAGACAGCAGCATTCTCAGAAACTTCTTTGTGATGTTTGCATCCAGCTCTCAGAGTTGAACATTCCCTTTCATAGAGTAGGTTTGAAACCCTCTTTTTATAGTGTCTGGAAGCGGACATTTGGAGCGCTTTCAGGCCTATGCTTAAAATAGGAAATATCTACCTACAGAAACTAGACAGAAGCATTCTGAGAATCACGTTGGTGATGTGGGTACTCAACTAACAGTGTTGATCCATTCTTTTGATACAGCAGTTTTGAACCACACTTTTTGTAGAATCTGCAAGTGGATATTTGGATAGCTGTGAGGATTTCCTTGGAAACGGGAATGTCTTCATAGAAAATTTAGACAGAAGCATTCTCAGAACCTTGATTGTGATGTGTGTTCTCCACTAACAGGGTTGAACCTTTCTTTTGACAGAACTGTTTTGAAACATTCTTTTTATAGAATCTGGAAGTGGATATTTGGAAAGCTTTGAGGATTTCGTTGGAAACGGAAATATCTTCAAATAAAATCTAGCCAGAAGCATTCTAAGAAACATCTTAGGGATGTTTACATTCAAGTCACAGAGTTGAACATTCCCTTTCACAGAGCAGGTTTGAAACAATCTTCTCGTACTATCTGGAAGTGGACATTTTGAGCTCCTTGGGGCCTATGCTGAAAAAGGAAATATCTTCCGACAAAAACTAGACAGAAGCATTCGCAGAATCACGTTTGTGATGTGTGCACTCAACTGTCAGAATTGAACCTTTGTTTGGACAGAGCACTTTTGAAACACTCTTTTTGTAGAATCTGCAGGTGGATATTTGGCTAGCTTTGAGGATTTCGTTGGAAACGGTAATGTCTTCAAAGAAAATCTAGACAGAAACATTCTCAGAAACACCTTCGTGATGTTTGCAATCAAGTCACAGAGTTGAACCTTCCGTTTCATAGAGCAGGTTGGAAACACTCTTTTTGTAGTATCTGGAAGTGGACATTTGGAGCGCTTTCAGGCCTATGGTGAAAAAGGAAATATCTTCCCATAAAAACGACATAGAAGCTATCTCAGGAACTTGTTTATGATGCATCCAATCAACTAACAGTGTTGAACTTTTGTACTGACAGAGCAGTGTGAAACACTCTTTTTTTTCGAATCTGCAAGTGGATATTTGGATCGCTTTGAGGATTTCGTTGGAAACGGGATGCAATATAAATCGCACACAGCAGCATACTCAGAAAATACTTTGCCATATTTCCATTCAAGTCACAGAGTGGAACATTCCCATTCATAGAGCAGGTTGGAAACACTCCTTTTGTAGTATCTGGAAGTGGACATTTGGAGCGCTTTCTGAACTATGGTGAAAGAGGAAATATACTTCCAATGAAAACAAGACAGAAGCATTCTGAGAAACTTATTTGTGATGTGTGTCCTCAACTAACGGACTTGAACCTTTCGTTTCATGCAGTATTTCTGGAACACTCTTTTTGAAGATTCTGCATGCGGATATTTGGATAGCTTTGAGGATTTCTTTGGAAACGGGCTTACATATAAAAATTAGACAGCAGCATTCTCAGAAACTTCTTTGTGGTGTCTGCATTCAAGTCACAGAATTGAACATCCCCTCACATAGAGCAGTTGTGCAGCACTCTATTTGTAGTATCTCGAAGTGGACATTTGGAGGGCTTTGTAGCCTATCTGGAAAAAGGAAATATCTTCCCATGAATGCGAGATAGAAGTAATCTCAGAAACATGTTTATGCTGTATCTACTCAACTAACTGTGCTCAACATTTCTATTGATAGAGCAGTTTTGAGACACTCTTCTTTTGGAATCTGCAAGTGGATATTTGGATAGATTTGAGGATTTCGTTGGCAACGGGATTATATATAAAAAGTAGACAGCCGCATTCTCAGAAACTTCTTTGTGATGTTTGCATCCAGCTCTCAGAGTTGAACATTCCCTTTCATAGAGTAGGTTTGAAACCCTCTTTTTATAGTGTCTGGAAGCGGGCATTTGGAGCGCTTTCAGGCCTATGCTGAAAAAGGAAATATCTACCTATAGAAACTAGACAGAAGCATTCTGAGAATCACGTTTGTGATGTGGGTACTCAACTAACAGTGTTGATCCATTCTTTTGATACAGCAGTTTTGAACCACACTTTTTGTAGAATCTGCAAGTGGATATTTGGATAGCTGTGAGGATTTCCTTGGAAACGGGAATGTCTTCATAGAAAATTTAGACAGAAGCATTCTCAGAACCTTGATTGTGATGTGTGTTCTCCACTAACAGGGTTGAACCTTTCTTTTGACAGAACTGTTTTGAAACATTCTTTTTATAGAATCTGGAAGTGGATATTTGGAAAGCTTTGAGGATTTCGTTGGAAACGGGAATATCTTCAAATCAAATCTAGCCAGAAGCATTCTAAGAAACATCTTAGGGATGTTTACATTCAAGTCACAGAGTTGAACATTCCCTTTCACAGAGCAGGTTTGAAACAATCTTCTCGTACTATCTGGAAGTGGACATTTTGAGCTCCTTGGGGCCTATGCTGAGAAAGGAAATATCTTCCGACAAAAACTAGACAGAAGCATTCGCAGAATCACGTTTGTGATGTGTGCACTCAACTGTCAGAATTGAACCTTTGTTTGGACACAGCACTTTTGAAACACTCTTTTTGTAGAATCTGCAGGTGGATATTTGGCTAGCTTTGAGGATTTCGTTGGAAACGGTAATGTCTTCAAAGAAAATCTAGACAGAAGCATTCTCAGAAACACCTTCGTGATGTTTGCAATCAAGTCACAGAGTTGAACCTTCCGTTTCATAGAGCAGGTTGGAAACACTCTTATTGTAGTATCTGGAAGTGGACATTTGGAGCGCTTTCAGGCCTATGGTGAAAAAGGAAATATCTTCCCATAAAAACGACATAGAAGCTATCTCAGGAACTTGTTTATGATGCATCTAATCAACTAACAGTGTTGAACCTTTGTACTGACAGAGCACTTTGAAACACTCTTTTTTTGGAATCTGCAAGTGGATATTTGGATCGCTTTGAGGATTTCGTTGGAAACGGGATGCAATATAAAACGTACACAGCAGCATACTCAGAAAATACTTTGCCATATTTCCATTCAAGTCACAGAGTGGAACATTCCCATTCATAGAGCAGGTTGGAAACACTCTTTTTGGAGTATCTGGAAGTGGACATTTGGAGCGCTTTCTGAACTATGGTGAAAAAGGAAATATCTTCCAATGAAAACAAGACAGAAGCATTCTGAGAAACTTATTTGTGATGTGTGTCCTCAACAAACGGACTTGAACCTTTCGTTTCATGCAGTACTTCTGGAACACTCTTTTTGAAGATTCTGCATGCGGATATTTGGATAGCTTTGAGGATTTCGTTGGAAACGGGCTTACATGTAAAAATTAGACAGCAGCATTCTCAGAAACTTCTTTGTGGTGTCTGCATTCAAGTCACAGAATTGAACTTCCCCTCACATAGAGCAGTTGTGCAGCACTCTATTTGTAGTATCTGGAAGTGGACATTTGGAGGGCTTTGTAGCCTATCTGGAAAAAGGAAATATCTTCCCATGAATGCGAGATAGAAGTAATCTCAGAAACATGTTTATGCTGTATCTACTCAACTAACTGTGCTGAACATTTCTATTGATAGAGCAGTTTTGAGACACTCTTCTTTTGGAATCTGCAAGTGGATATTTGGATAGATTTGAGGATTTCGTTGGAAACGGGATTATATATCAAAAGTAGACAGCAGCATTCTCAGAAACTTCTTTGTGATGTTTGCATCCAGCTCTCAGAGTTGAACATTCCCTTTCATAGAGTAGGTTTGAAACCCTCTTTTTATAGTGTCTGGAAGCGGGCATTTGGAGCGCTTTCAGGCCTATGCTGAAAAAGGAAATATCTACCTATAGAAACTAGACAGAAGCATTCTGAGAATCACGTTTGTGATGTGGGTACTCAACTAACAGTGTTGATCCATTCTTTTGATACAGCAGTTTTGAACCACACTTTTTGTAGAATCTGCAAGTGGATATTTGGATAGCTGTGAGGATTTCGTTGGAAACGGGAATGTCTTCATAGAAAATTTAGACAGAACCATTCTCAGAACCTTGATTGTGATGTGTGTTCTCCACTAACAGAGTTGAACCTTTCTTTTGACAGAACTGTTCTGAAACATTCTTTTTGTAGAATCTGGAAGTGGATATTTGGAAAGCTTTGAGGATTTCGTTGGAAACGGGAATATCTTCAAATCAAATCTAGCCAGAAGCATTCTAAGAAACATCTTAGGGATGTTTACATTCAAGTCACAGAGTTGAACATTCCCTTTCACAGAGCAGGTTTGAAACAATCTTCTCGTACTATCTGGCAGTGGACATTTTGAGCTCCTTGGGGCCTATGCTGAAAAAGGAAATATCTTCCGACAAAAACTAGACAGAAGCATTCGCAGAATCACGTTTGTGATGTGTGCACTCAACTGTCAGAATTGAACCTTGGTTTGGACAGAGCACTTTTGAAACACTCTTTTTGTAGAATCTGCAGGTGGATATTTGGCTAGCTTTGAGGATTTCGTTGGAAACGGTAATGTCTTCAAAGAAAATCTAGACAGAAGCATTCTCAGAAACATCTTCGTGATGTTTGCAATCAAGTCACAGAGTTGAACCTTCCGTTTCATAGAGCAGGTTGGAAACACTCTTTTTGTAGTATCTGGAAGTGGACATTTGGAGGGCTTTGTAGCCTATGTGGAAAAAGGAAATATCTTCCCATGAATGCGAGATAGAAGCTATCTCAGGTAACTTGTTTATGATGCATCTAATCAACTAACAGTGTTGAACCTTTGTACTGACAGAGCAGTTTGAAACACTCTTTTTTTGGAATCTGCAAGTGGATATTTGGATCGCTTTGAGGATTTCGTTGGAAACGGGATGCAATATAAAACGTACACAGCAGCATACTCAGAAAATACTTTGCCATATTTCCATTCAAGTCACAGAGTGGAACATTCCCATTCATAGAGCAGGTTGGAAACACTCTTTTTGGAGTATCTGGAAGTGGACATTTGGAGCGCTTTCTGAACTATGGTGAAAAAGGAAATATCTTCCAATGAAAACAAGACAGAAGCATTCTGAGAAACTTATTTGTGATGTGTGTCCTCAACAAACGGACTTGAACCTTTCGTTTCATGCAGTACTTCTGGAACACTCTTTTTGAAGATTCTGCATGCGGATATTTGGATAGCTTTGAGGATTTCGTTGGAAACGGGCTTACATGTAAAAATTAGACAGCAGCATTCTCAGAAACTTCTTTGTGGTGTCTGCATTCAAGTCACAGAATTGAACTTCCCCTCACATAGAGCAGTTGTGCAGCACTCTATTTGTAGTATCTGGAAGTGGACATTTGGAGGGCTTTGTAGCCTATGTGGAAAAAGGAAATATCTTCCCATGAATGCGAGATAGAAGTAATCTCAGAAACATGTTTATGCTGTATCTACTCAACTAACTGTGCTGAACATTTCTATTGATAGAGCAGTTTTGAGACACTCTTCTTTTGGAATCTGCAAGTGGATATTTGGATAGATTTGAGGATTTCGTTGGAAACGGGATTATATATAAAAAGTAGACAGCAGCATTCTCAGAAACTTCTTTGTGATGTTTGCATCCAGCTCTCAGAGTTGAACATTCCCTTTCATAGAGTAGGTTTGAAACCCTCTTTTTATAGTGTCTGGAAGCGGGCATTTGGAGCGCTTTCAGGCCTATGCTGAAAAAGGAAATATCTACCTATAGAAACTAGACAGAAGCATTCTGAGAATCACGTTTGTGATGTGGGTACTCAACTAACAGTGTTGATCCATTCTTTTGATACAGCAGTTTTGAACCACACTTTTTGTAGAATCTGCAAGTGGATATTTGGATAGCTGTGAGGATTTCGTTGGAAACGGGAATGTCTTCATAGAAAATGTAGACAGAAGCATTCTCAGAACCTTGATTGTGATGTGTGTTCTCCACTAACAGAGTTGAACCTTTCTTTTGACAGAACTGTTCTGAAACATTCTTTTTATAGAATCTGGAAGTGGATATTTGGAAAGCTTTGAGGATTTCGTTGGAAACGGGAATATCTTCAAATAAAATCTAGCCAGAAGCATTCTAAGAAACATCTTAGGGATGTTTACATTCAAGTCACAGAGTTGAACATTCCCTTTCACAGAGCAGGTTTGAAACAATCTTCTCGTACTATCTGGAAGTGGACATTTTGAGCTCCTTGGGGCCTATGCTGAAAAAGGAAATATCTTCCGACAAAAACTAGACAGAAGCATTCGCAGAATCACGTTTGTGATGTGTGCACTCAACTGTCAGAATTGAACCTTTGTTTGGACAGAGCACTTTTGAAACACTCTTTTTGTAGAATCTGCAGGTGGATATTTGGCTAGCTTTGAGGATTTCGTTGGAAACGGTAATGTCTTCAAAGAAAATCTAGACAGAAACATTCTCAGAAACACATTCGTGATGTTTGCAATCAAGTCACAGAGTTGAACCTTCCGTTTCATAGAGCAGGTTGGAAACACTCTTTTTGTAGTATCTGGAAGTGGACATTTGGAGCGCTTTCAGGCCTATGGTGAAGAAGGAAATATCTTCCCATAAAAACGACATAGAAGCTATCTCAGGAACTTGTTTATGATGCATCCAATCAACTAACAGTGTTGAACCTTTGTACTGACAGAGCAGTGTGAAACACTCTTTTTTTTGGAATCTGCAAGTGGATATTTGGATCGCTTTGAGGATTTCGTTGGAAACGGGATGCAATATAAAACGTACACAGCAGCATACTCAGAAAATACTTTGCCATATTTCCATTCAAGTCACAGAGTGTAACATTCCCATTCATAGAGCAGGTTTGACACACTCTTTTTGTAGTATCTGGAAGTGGACATTTGGAGCGCTTTCTGAACTATGGTGAAAAAGGAAATATCTTCCAATGAAAACAAGACAGAAGCATTCTGAGAAACTTATTTGTGATGTGTGTCCTCAACTAACGGACTTGAACCTTTCGTTTCATGCAGTACTTCTGGAACACTCTTTTTGAAGATTCTGCATGCGGATATTTGGATAGCTTTGAGGATTTCGTTGGAAACGGGCTTACATATAAAAATTAGACAGCAGCATTCTCAGAAACTTCTTTGTGGTGTCTGCATTCAAGTCACAGAATTGAACATACCCTCACATAGAGCAGCTGTGCAGCACTCTATTTGTAGTATCTCGAAGTGGACATTTGGAGGGCTTTGTAGCCTATCTGTAAAAAGGAAATATCTTCCCATGAATGCGAGATAGAAGTAATCTCAGAAACATGTTTATGCTGTATCTACTCAAGTAACTGTGCTGAACAATTCTATTGATAGAGCAGTTTTGAGACACTCTTCTTTTGGAATCTGCAAGTGGATATTTGGATAGATTTGAGGATTTCCTTGGAAACGGGATTATATATCAAAAGTAGACAGCAGCATTCTCAGAAACTTCTTTGTGATGTTTGCATCCAGCTCTCAGAGTTGAACATTCCCTTTCGTAGATTAGGTTTGAAACCCTCTTTTTATAGTGTCTGGAAGCGGGCATTTGGAACGCTTTGAGGCCTATGCTGAAAAAGGAAATATCTACCTATAGAAACTAGACAGAAGCATTCTGAGAATCACGTTTGTGATGTGGGTACTCAACTAACAGTGTTGATCCATTCTTTTGATACAGCAGTTTTGAACCACACTTTTTGTAGAATCTGCAAGTGGATATTTGGATAGCTGTGAGGATTTCCTTGGAAACGGGAATGTCTTCATAGAAAATTTAGACAGAAGCATTCTCAGAACCTTGATTGTGATGTGTGTTCTCCACTAACAGGGTTGAACCTTTCTTTTGACAGAACTGTTCTGAAACATTCTTTGTATAGAATCTGGAAGTGCATATTTGGAAAGCTTTGAGGACTTCGTTTGAAACGGGAATATCTTCAAATCAAATCTAGCCAGAAGCATTCTAAGAAACATCTTAGGGATGTTTACATTCAAGTCACAGAGTTGAACATTCCCTTTCACAGAGCAGGTTTGAAACAATCTTCTCGTAGTATCTGGAAGTGGACATTTTGAGCTCCTTGGGGCCTATGCTGAAAAAGGAAATATCTTCCGACAAAAACTAGACAGAAGCATTCGCAGAATCAGGTTTGTGATGTGTGCACTCAACTGTCGGAATTGAACCTTTGTTTGGAAAGAGCACTTTTGAAACACTCTTTTTGTAGAATCTGCAGGTGGATATTTGGCTAGCTTTGAGGATTTCGTTGGAAACGGTAATGTCTTCAAAGAAAATCTAGACAGAAGCATTCTCAGAAACACCTTCGTGATGTTTGCAATCAAGTCACAGAGTTGAACCTTCCGTTTCATAGAGCAGGTTGGAAACACTCTTTTTGTAGTATGTGGAAGTGGACATTTGGAGCGCTTTCAGGCCTATGGTGTAAAAGGAAATATCTTCCCATAAAAACGACATAGAAGCTATCTCAGGAACTTGTTTATGATGCATCTAATCAACTAACAGTGTTGAACCTTTGTACTGACAGAGCAGTTTGAAACACTCTTTTTTTGGAATCTGCAAGTGGATATTTGGATCGCTTTGAGGATTTCGTTGGAAACGGGATGCAATATAAAACGTACACAGCAGCATACTCAGAAAATACTTTGCCATATTTCCATTCAAGTCACAGAGTGGAACATTCCCATTCATAGAGCAGGTTTGAAACACTCTTTTTGGAGTATCTGGAAGTGGACATTTGGAGCGCTTTCTGAACTATGGTGAAAAAGGAAATATCTTCCAATGAAAACAAGACAGAAGCATTCTGAGAAACTTATTTGTGATGTGTGTCCTCAACAAACGGACTTGAACCTTTCGTTTCATGCAGTACTTCTGGAACACTCTTTTTGAAGATTCTGCATGCGGATATTTGGATAGCTTTGAGGATTTCGTTGGAAACGGGCTTACATGTAAAAATTAGACAGCAGCATTCTCAGAAACTTCTTTGTGGTGTCTGCATTCAAGTCACAGAATTGAACTTCCCCTCACATAGAGCAGTTGTGCAGCACTCTATTTGTAGTATCTGGAAGTGGACATTTGGAGGGCTTTGTAGCCTATCTGGAAAAAGGAAATATCTTCCCATGAATGCGAGATAGAAGTAATCTCAGAAACATGTTTATGCTGTATCTACTCAACTAACTGTGCTGAACATTTCTATTGATAGAGCAGTTTTGAGACACTCTTCTTTTGGAATCTGCAAGTGGATATTTGGATAGATTTGAGGATTTCGTTGGAAACGGGATTATATATAAAAAGTAGACAGCAGCATTCTCAGAAACTTCTTTGTGATGTTTGCATCCAGCTCTCAGAGTTGAACATTCCCTTTCATAGAGTAGGTTTGAAACCCTCTTTTTATAGTGTCTGGAAGCGGGCATTTGGAGCGCTTTCAGGCCTATGCTGAAAAAGGAAATATCTACCTATAGAAACTAGACAGAAGCATTCTGAGAATCACGTTTGTGATGTGGGTACTCAACTAACAGTGTTGATCCATTCTTTTGATACAGCAGTTTTGAACCACACTTTTTGTAGAATCTGCAAGTGGATATTTGGATAGCTGTGAGGATTTCGTTGGAAACGGGAATGTCTTCATAGAAAATTTAGACAGAAGCATTCTCAGAACCTTGATTGTGATGTGTGTTCTCCACTAACAGAGTTGAACCTTTCTTTTGACAGAACTGTTCTGAAACATTCTTTTTATAGAATCTGGAAGTGGATATTTGGAAAGCTTTGAGGATTTTGTTGGAAACGGGAATATCTTCAAATCAAATCTAGCCAGAAGCATTCTAAGAAACATCTTAGGGATGTTTACATTCAAGTCACAGAGTTGAACATTCCCTTTCACAGAACAGGTTTGAAACAATCTTCTCGTACTATCTGGCAGTGGACATTTTGAGCTCCTTGGGGCCTATGCTGAAAAAGGAAATATCTTCCGACAAAAACTAGACAGAAGCATTCGCAGAATCACGTTTGTGATGTGTGCACTCAACTGTCAGAATTGAACCTTGGTTTGGACAGAGCACTTTTGAAACACTCTTTTTGTAGAATCTGCAGGTGGATATTTGGCTAGCTTTGAGGATTTCGTTGGAAACGGTAATGTCTTCAAAGAAAATCTAGACAGAAGCATTCTCAGAAACACCTTCGTGATGTTTGCAATCAAGTCACAGAGTTGAACCTTCCGTTTCATAGAGCAGGTTGGAAACACTCTTTTTGTAGTATCTGGAAGTGGACATTTGGAGGGCTTTGTAGCCTATCTGGAAAAAGGAAATATCTTCCCATGAATGCGAGATAGAAGTAATCTCAGAAACATGTTTATGCTGTATCTACTCAACTAACTGTGCTGAACATTTCTATTGATAGAGCAGTTTTGAGACACTCTTCTTTTGGAATCTGCAAGTGGATATTTGGATAGATTTGAGGATTTCGTTGGAAACGGGATTATATATAAAAAGTAGACAGCAGCATTCTCAGAAACTTCTTTGTGATGTTTGCATCCAGCTCTCAGAGTTGAACATTCCCTTTCATAGAGTAGGTTTGAAACCCTCTTTTTATAGTGTCTGGAAGCGGGCATTTGGAGCGCTTTCAGGCCTATGCTGAAAAAGGAAATATCTACCTATAGAAACTAGACAGAAGCATTCTGAGAATCACGTTTGTGATGTGGGTACTCAACTAACAGTGTTGATCCATTCTTTTGATACAGCAGTTTTGAACCACACTTTTTGTAGAATCTGCAAGTGGATATTTGGATAGCTGTGAGGATTTCGTTGGAAACGGGAATGTCTTCATAGAAAATTTAGACAGAAGCATTCTCAGAACCTTGATTGTGATGTGTGTTCTCCACTAACAGAGTTGAACCTTTCTTTTGACAGAACTGTTCTGAAACATTCTTTTTATAGAATCTGGAAGTGGATATTTGGAAAGCTTTGAGGATTTCGTTGGAAACGGGAATATCTTCAAATCAAATCTAGCCAGAAGCATTCTAAGAAACATCTTAGGGATGTTTACATTCAAGTCACAGAGTTGAACATTCCCTTTCACAGAGCAGGTTTGAAACAATCTTCTCGTACTATCTGGCAGTGGACATTTTGAGCTCCTTGGGGCCTATGCTGAAAAAGGAAATATCTTCCGACAAAAACTAGACAGAAGCATTCGCAGAATCACGTTTGTGATGTGTGCACTCAACTGTCAGAATTGAACCTTGGTTTGGACAGAGCACTTTTGAAACACTCTTTTTGTAGAATCTGCAGGTGGATATTTGGCTAGCTTTGAGGATTTCGTTGGAAACGGTAATGTCTTCAAAGAAAATCTAGACAGAAGCATTCTCAGAAACACCTTCGTGATGTTTGCAATCAAGTCACAGAGTTGAACCTTCCGTTTCATAGAGCAGGTTGGAAACACTCTTTTTGTAGTATCTGGAAGTGGACATTTGGAGGGCTTTGTAGCCTATGTGGAAAAAGGAAATATCTTCCCATGAATGCGAGATAGAAGTAATCTCAGAAACATGTTTATGCTGTATCTACTCAACTAACTGTGCTGAACATTTCTATTGATAGAGCAGTTTTGAGACACTCTTCTTTTGGAATCTGCAAGTGGATATTTGGATAGATTTGAGGATTTCGTTGGAAACGGGATTATATATAAAAAGTAGACAGCAGCATTCTCAGAAACTTCTTTGTGATGTTTGCATCCAGCTCTCAGAGTTGAACATTCCCTTTCATAGAGTAGGTTTGAAACCCTCTTTTTATAGTGTCTGGAAGCGGGCATTTGGAGCGCTTTCAGGCCTATGCTTAAAATAGGAAATATCTACCTACAGAAACTAGACAGAAGCATTCTGAGAATCACGTTTGTGATGTGGGTACTCAACTAACAGTGTTGATCCATTCTTTTGATACAGCAGTTTTGAACCACACTTTTTGTAGAATCTGCAAGAGGATATTTGGATAGCTGTGAGGATTTCGTTGGAAACGGGAATGTCTTCAAAGAAAATCTAGACAGAAGCATTCTCAGAAACACCTTCGTGATGTTTGCAATCAAGTCACAGAGTTGAACCTTCCGTTTCATAGAGCAGGTTGGAAACACTCTTATTGTAGTATCTGGAAGTGGACATTTGGAGCGCTTTCAGGCCTATGGTGAAAAAGGAAATATCTTCCCATAAAAACGACATAGAAGCTATCTCAGGAACTTGTTTATGATGCATCTAATCAACTAACAGTGTTGAACCTTTGTACTGACAGAGCAGTTTGAAACACTCTTTTTTTGGAATCTGCAAGTGGATATTTGGATCGGTTTGAGGATTTCGTTGGAAACGGGATGCAATATAAAACGTACACAGCAGCATACTCAGAAAATACTTTGCCATATTTCCATTCAAGTCACAGAGTGGAACATTCCCATTCATAGAGCAGGTTTGAAACACTCTTTTTGGAGTATCTGGAAGTGGACATTTGGAGCGCTTTCTGAACTATGGTGAAAAAGGAAATATCTTCCAATGAAAACAAGACAGAAGCATTCTGAGAAACTTATTTGTGATGTGTGTCCTCAACAAACGGACTTGAACCTTTCGTTTCATGCAGTACTTCTGGAACACTCTTTTTGAAGATTCTGCATGCGGATATTTGGATAGCTTTGAGGATTTCGTTGGAAACGGGCTTACATGTAAAAATTAGACAGCAGCATTCTCAGAAACTTCTTTGTGGTGTCTGCATTCAAGTCACAGAATTGAACTTCCCCTCACATAGAGCAGTTGTGCAGCACTCTATTTGTAGTATCTGGAAGTGGACATTTGGAGGGCTTTGTAGCCTATCTGGAAAAAGGAAATATCTTCCCATGAATGCGAGATAGAAGTAATCTCAGAAACATGTTTATGCTGTATCTACTCAACTAACTGTGCTGAACATTTCTATTGATAGAGCAGTTTTGAGACACTCTTCTTTTGGAATCTGCAAGTGGATATTTGGATAGATTTGAGGATTTCGTTGGAAACGGGATTATATATAAAAAGTAGACAGCAGCATTCTCAGAAACTTCTTTGTGATGTTTGCATCCAGCTCTCAGAGTTGAACATTCCCTTTCATAGAGTAGGTTTGAAACCCTCTTTTTATAGTGTCTGGAAGCGGGCATTTGGAGCGCTTTCAGGCCTATGCTTAAAATAGGAAATATCTACCTACAGAAACTAGACAGAAGCATTCTGAGAATCACGTTTGTGATGTGGGTACTCAACTAACAGTGTTGATCCATTCTTTTGATACAGCAGTTTTGAACCACACTTTTTGTAGAATCTGCAAGAGGATATTTGGATAGCTGTGAGGATTTCGTTGGAAACGGGAATGTCTTCAAAGAAAATCTAGACAGAAGCATTCTCAGAAACACCTTCGTGATGTTTGCAATCAAGTCACAGAGTTGAACCTTCCGTTTCATAGAGCAGGTTGGAAACACTCTTATTGTAGTATCTGGAAGTGGACATTTGGAGCGCTTTCAGGCCTATGGTGAAAAAGGAAATATCTTCCCATAAAAACGACATAGAAGCTATCTCAGGAACTTGTTTATGATGCATCTAATCAACTAACAGTGTTGAACCTTTGTACTGACAGAGCAGTTTGAAACACTCTTTTTTTGGAATCTGCAAGTGGATATTTGGATCACTTTGAGGATTTCGTTGGAAACGGGAGGCAATATAAAACGTACACAGCAGCATACTCAGAAAATACTTTGCCATGTTTCCATTCAAGTCACAGAGTGGAACATTCCCATTCATAGAGCAGGTTGGAAACACTCTTTTTGGAGTATCTGGAAGTGGACATTTGGAGCGCTTTCTGAACTATGGTGAAAAAGGAAATATCTTCCAATGAAAACAAGACAGAAGCATTCTGAGAAACTTATTTGTGATGTGTGTCCTCAACAAACGGACTTGAACCTTTCGTTTCATGCAGTACTTCTGGAACACTCTTTTTGAAGATTCTGCATGCGGATATTTGGATAGCTTTGAGGATTTCGTTGGAAACGGCCTTACATGTAAAAATTAGACAGCAGCATTCTCAGAAACTTCTTTGTGGTGTCTGCATTCAAGTCACAGAATTGAACTTCCCCTCACATAGAGCAGTTGTGCAGCACTCTATTTGTAGTATCTGGAAGTGGACATTTGGAGGGCTTTGTAGCCTATCTGGAAAAAGGAAATATCTTCCCATGAATGCGAGATAGAAGTAATCTCAGAAACATGTTTATGCTGTATCTACTCAACTAACTGTGCTGAACATTTCTATTGATAGAGCAGTTTTGAGACACTCTTCTTTTGGAATCTGCAAGTGGATATTTGGATAGATTTGAGGATTTCGTTGGAAACGGGATTATATATAAAAAGTAGACAGCAGCATTCTCAGAAACTTCTTTGTGATGTTTGCATCCAGCTCTCAGAGTTGAACATTCCCTTTCATAGAGTAGGTTTGAAACCCTCTTTTTATAGTGTCTAGAAGCGGGCATTTGGAGCGCTTTCAGGCCTATGCTTAAAATAGGAAATATCCACCTACAGAAACTAGACAGAAGCATTCTGAGAATCACGTTTGTGATGTGGGTACTCAACTAACAGTGTTGATCCATTCTTTTGATACAGCAGTTTTGAACCACACTTTTTGTAGAATCTGCAAGTGGATATTTGGATAGCTGTGAGGATTTCGTTGGAAACGGGAATGTCTTCATAGAAAATTTAGACAGAAGCATTCTCAGAACCTTGATTGTGATGTGTGTTCTCCACTAACAGAGTTGAACCTTTCTTTTGACAGAACTGTTCTGAAACATTCTTTTTATAGAATCTGGAAGTGGATATTTGGAAAGCTTTGAGGATTTCGTTGGAAACGGGAATATCTTCAAATCAAATCTAGCCAGAAGCATTCTAAGAAACATCTTAGGGATGTTTACATTCAAGTCACAGAGTTGAACATTCCCTTTCACAGAGCAGGTTTGAAACAATCTTCTCGTACTATCTGGCAGTGGACATTTTGAGCTCCTTGGGGCCTATGCTGAAAAAGGAAATATCTTCCGACAAAAACTAGACAGAAGCATTCGCAGAATCACGTTTGTGATGTGTGCACTCAACTGTCAGAATTGAACCTTGGTTTGGACAGAGCACTTTTGAAACACTCTTTTTGTAGAATCTGCAGGTGGATATTTGGCTAGCTTTGAGGATTTCGTTGGAAACGGTAATGTCTTCAAAGAAAATCTAGACAGAAGCATTCTCAGAAACACCTTCGTGATGTTTGCAATCAAGTCACAGAGTTGAACCTTCCGTTTCATAGAGCAGGTTGGAAACACACTTTTTGTAGTATCTAGAAGTGGACATTTGGAGCGCTTTCAGGCCTATGGTGAAAAAGGAAATATCTTCCCATAAAAACGACATAGAAGCTATCTCAGGAACTTGTTTATGATGCATCTAATCAACTAACAGTGTTGAACCTTTGTACTGACAGAGCAGTTTGAAACACTCTTTTTTTGGAATCTGCAAGTGGATATTTGGATCGCTTTGAGGATTTCGTTGGAAACGGGATGCAATATAAAACGTACACAGCAGCATACTCAGAAAATACTTTGCCATATTTCCATTCAAGTCACAGAGTGGAACATTCCCATTCATAGAGCAGGTTGGAAACACTCTTTTTGGAGTATCTGGAAGTGGACATTTGGAGCGCTTTCTGAACTATGGTGAAAAAGGAAATATCTTCCAATGAAAACAAGACAGAAGCATTCTGAGAAACTTATTTGTGATGTGTGTCCTCAACAAACGGACTTGAACCTTTCGTTTCATGCAGTACTTCTGGAACACTCTTTTTGAAGATTCTGCATGCGGATATTTGGATAGCTTTGAGGATTTCGTTGGAAACGGGCTTACATGTAAAAATTAGACAGCAGCATTCTCAGAAACTTCTTTGTGGTGTCTGCATTCAAGTCACAGAATTGAACTTCCCCTCACATAGAGCAGTTGTGCAGCACTCTATTTGTAGTATCTCGAAGTGGACATTTGGAGGGCTTTGTAGCCTATCCTGGAAAAAGGAAATATCTTCCCATGAATGCGAGATAGAAGTAATCTCAGAAACATGTTTATGCTGTATCTACTCAACTAACTGTGCTGAACATTTCTATTGATAGAGCAGTTTTGAGACACTCTTCTTTTGGAATCTGCAAGTGGATATTTGGATAGATTTGAGGATTTCGTTGGAAACGGGATTATATATCAAAAGTAGACAGCAGCATTCTCAGAAACTTCTTTGTGATGTTTGCATCCAGCTCTCAGAGTTGAACATTCCCTTTCATAGAGTAGGTTTGAAACCCTCTTTTTATAGTGTCTGGAAGCGGGCATTTGGAGCGCTTTCAGGCCTATGCTTAAAATAGGAAATATCTACCTACAGAAACTAGACAGAAGCATTCTGAGAATCACGTTTGTGATGTGGGTACTCAACTAACAGTGTTGATCCATTCTTTTGATACAGCAGTTTTGAACCACACTTTTTGTAGAATCTGCAAGAGGATATTTGGATAGCTGTGAGGATTTCGTTGGAAACGGGAATGTCTTCAAAGAAAATCTAGACAGAAGCATTCTCAGAAACACCTTCGTGATGTTTGCAATCAAGTCACAGAGTTGAACCTTCCGTTTCATAGAGCAGGTTGGAAACACTCTTATTGTAGTATCTGGAAGTGGACATTTGGAGCGCTTTCAGGCCTATGGTGAAAAAGGAAATATCTTCCCATAAAAACGACATAGAAGCTATCTCAGGAACTTGTTTATGATGCATCTAATCAACTAACAGTGTTGAACCTTTGTACTGACAGAGCAGTTTGAAACACTCTTTTTTTGGAATCTGCAAGTGGATATTTGGATCGCTTTGAGGATTTCGTTGGAAACGGGATGCAATATAAAACGTACACAGCAGCATACTCAGAAAATACTTTGCCATATTTCCATTCAAGTCACAGAGTGGAACATTCCCATTCATAGAGCAGGTTGGAAACACTCTTTTTGGAGTATCTGGAAGTGGACATTTGGAGCGCTTTCTGAACTATGGTGAAAAAGGAAATATCTTCCAATGAAAACAAGACAGAAGCATTCTGAGAAACTTATTTGTGATGTGTGTCCTCAACAAACGGACTTGAACCTTTCGTTTCATGCAGTACTTCTGGAACACTCTTTTTGAAGATTCTGCATGCGGATATTTGGATAGCTTTGAGGATTTCGTTGGAAACGGGCTTACATGTAAAAATTAGACAGCAGCATTCTCAGAAACTTCTTTGTGGTGTCTGCATTCAAGTCACAGAATTGAACTTCCCCTCACATAGAGCAGTTGTGCAGCACTCTATTTGTAGTATCTGGAAGTGGACATTTGGAGGGCTTTGTAGCCTATCTGGAAAAAGGAAATATCTTCCCATGAATGCGAGATAGAAGTAATCTCAGAAACATGTTTATGCTGTATCTACTCAACTAACTGTGCTGAACATTTCTATTGATAGAGCAGTTTTGAGACACTCTTCTTTTGGAATCTGCAAGTGGATATTTGGATAGATTTGAGGATTTCGTTGGAAACGGGATGATATATAAAAAGTAGACAGCAGCATTCTCAGAAACTTCTTTGTGATGTTTGCATCCAGCTCTCAGAGTTGAACATTCCCTTTCATAGAGTAGGTTTGAAACCCTCTTTTTATAGTGTCTGGAAGCGGGCATTTGGAGCGCTTTCAGGCCTATGCTGAAAAAGGAAATATCTACCTATAGAAACTAGACAGAAGCATTCTGAGAATCACGTTTGTGATGTGGGTACTCAACTAACAGTGTTGATCCATTCTTTTGATACACCAGTTTTGAACCACACTTTTTGTAGAATCTGCAAGTGGATATTTGGATAGCTGTGAGGATTTCGTTGGAAACGGGAATGTCTTCATAGAAAATTTAGACAGAAACATTCTCAGAACCTTGATTGTGATGTGTGTTCTCCACTAACAGAGTTGAACCTTTCTTTTGACAGAACTGTTCTGAAACATTCTTTTTATAGAATCTGGAAGTGGATATTTGGAAAGCTTTGAGGATTTCGTTGGAAACGGGAATATCTTCAAATCAAATCTAGCCAGAAGCATTCTAAGAAACATCTTAGGGATGTTTACATTCAAGTCACAGAGTTGAACATTCCCTTTCACAGAGCAGGTTTGAAACAATCTTCTCGTACTATCTGGCAGTGGACATTTTGAGCTCCTTGGGGCCTATGCTGAAAAAGGAAATATCTTCCGACAAAAACTAGACAGAAGCATTCGCAGAATCACGTTTGTGATGTGTGCACTCAACTGTCAGAATTGAACCTTGGTTTGGACAGAGCACTTTTGAAACACTCTCTTTGTAGAATCTGCAGGTGGATATTTGGCTAGCTTTGAGGATTTCGTTGGAAACGGTAATGTCTTCAAAGAAAATCTAGACAGAAGCATTCTCAGAAACACCTTCGTGATATTTGCAATCAAGTCACAGAGTTGAACCTTCCGTTTCATAGAGCAGGTTGGAAACACTCTTTTTGTAGTATCTGGAAGTGGACATTTGGAGGGCTTTGTAGCCTATGTGGAAAAAGGAAATATCTTCCCATGAATGCGAGATAGAAGTAATCTCAGAAACATGTTTATGCTGTATCTACTCAACTAACTGTGCTGAACATTTCTATTGATAGAGCAGTTTTGAGACACTCTTCTTTTGGAATCTGCAAGTGGATATTTGGATAGATTTGAGGATTTCGTTGGAAACGGGATTATATATAAAAAGTAGACAGCAGCATTCTCAGAAACTTCTTTGTGATGTTTGCATCCAGCTCTCAGAGTTGAACATTCCCTTTCATAGAGTAGGTTTGAAACCCTCTTTTTATAGTGTCTGGAAGCGGGCATTTGGAGCGCTTTCAGGCCTATGCTGAAAAAGGAAATATCTACCTATAGAAACTAGACAGAAGCATTCTGAGAATCACGTTTGTGATGTGGGTACTCAACTAACAGTGTTGATCCATTCTTTTGATACAGCAGTTTTGAACCACACTTTTTGTAGAATCTGCAAGTGGATATTTGGATAGCTGTGAGGATTTCGTTGGAAACGGGAATGTCTTCATAGAAAATTTAGACAGAAGCATTCTCAGAACCTTGATTGTGATGTGTGTTCTCCACTAACAGAGTTGAACCTTTCTTTTGACAGAACTGTTCTGAAACATTCTTTTTGTAGAATCTGGAAGTGGATATTTGGAAAGCTTTGAGGATTTCGTTGGAAACGGGAATATCTTCAAATAAAATCTAGCCAGAAGCATTCTAAGTAAACATCTTAGGGATGTTTACATTCAAGTCACAGAGTTGAACATTCCCTTTCACAGAGCAGGTTTGAAACAATCTTCTCGTACTATCTGGCAGTGGACATTTTGAGCTCCTTGGGGCCTATGGTGAAAAAGGAAATATCTTCCGACAAAAACTAGACAGAAGCATTCGCAGAATCACGTTTGTGATGTGTGCACTCAACTGTCAGAATTGAACCTTGGTTTGGACAGAGCACTTTTGAAACACTCTTTTTGTAGAATCTGCAGGTGGATATTTGGCTAGCTTTGAGGATTTCGTTGGAAACGGTAATGTCTTCAAAGAAAATCTAGACAGAAGCATTCTCAGAAACACCTTCGTGATGTTTGCAATCAAGTCACAGAGTTGAACCTTCCGTTTCATAGAGCAGGTTGGAAACACTCTTTTTGTAGTATCTGGAAGTGGACATTTGGAGGGCTTTGTAGCCTATGTGGAAAAAGGAAATATCTTCCCATGAATGCGAGATAGAAGTAATCTCAGAAACATGTTTATGCTGTATCTACTCAACTAACTGTGCTGAACATTTCTATTGATAGAGCAGTTTTGAGACACTCTTCTTTTGGAATCTGCAAGTGGATATTTGGAGAGATTTGAGGATTTCGTTGGAAACGGGATTATATATAAAAAGTAGACAGCAGCATTCTCAGAAACTTCTTTGTGATGTTTGCATCCAGCTCTCAGAGTTGAACATTCCCTTTCATAGAGTAGGTTTGAAACCCTCTTTTTATAGTGTCTGGAAGCGGGCATTTGGAGCGCTTTCAGGCCTATGCTTAAAATAGGAAATATCTACCTACAGAAACTAGACAGAAGCATTCTGAGAATCTCGTTTGTGATGTGGGTACTCAACTAACAGTGTTGATCCATTCTTTTGATACAGCAGTTTTGAACCACACTTTTTGTAGAATCTGCAAGAGGATATTTGGATAGCTGTGAGGATTTCGTTGGAAACGGGAATGTCTTCAAAGAAAATCTAGACAGAAGCATTCTCAGAAACACCTTCGTGATGTTTGCAATCAAGTCACAGAGTTGAACCTTCCGTTTCATAGAGCAGGTTGGAAACACTCTTATTGTAGTATCTGGAAGTGGACATTTGGAGCGCTTTCAGGCCTATGGTGAAAAAGGAAATATCTTCCCATAAAAACGACATAGAAGCTATCTCAGGAACTTGTTTATGATGCATCTAATCAACTAACAGTGTTGAACCTTTGTACTGACAGAGCAGTTTGAAACACTCTTTTTTTGGAATCTGCAAGTGGATATTTGGATCGCTTTGAGGATTTCGTTGGAAACGGGATGCAATATAAAACGTACACAGCAGCATACTCAGAAAATACTTTGCCATATTTCCATTCAAGTCACAGAGTGGAACATTCCCATTCATAGAGCAGGTTTGAAACACTCTTTTTGGAGTATCTGGAAGTGGACATTTGGAGCGCTTTCTGAACTATGGTGAAAAAGGAAATATCTTCCAATGAAAACAAGACAGAAGCATTCTGAGAAACTTATTTGTGATGTGTGTCCTCAACAAACGGACTTGAACCTTTCGTTTCATGCAGTACTTCTGGAACACTCTTTTTGAAGATTCTGCATGCGGATATTTGGATAGCTTTGAGGATTTCGTTGGAAACGGGCTTACATGTAAAAATTAGACAGCAGCATTCTCAGAAACTTCTTTGTGGTGTCTGCATTCAAGTCACAGAATTGAACTTCCCCTCACATAGAGCAGTTGTGCAGCACTCTATTTGTAGTATCTGGAAGTGGACATTTGGAGGGCTTTGTAGCCTATCTGGAAAAAGGAAATATCTTCCCATGAATGCGAGATAGAAGTAATCTCAGAAACATGTTTATGCTGTATCTACTCAACTAACTGTGCTGAACATTTCTATTGATAGAGCAGTTTTGAGACACTCTTCTTTTGGAATCTGCAAGTGGATATTTGGATAGATTTGAGGATTTCGTTGGAAACGGGATTATATATAAAAAGTAGACAGCAGCATTCTCAGAAACTTCTTTGTGATGTTTGCATCCAGCTCTCAGAGTTGAACATTCCCTTTCATAGAGTAGGTTTGAAACCCTCTTTTTATAGTGTCTGGAAGCGGGCATTTGGAGCGCTTTCAGGCCTATGCTGAAAAAGGAAATATCTACCTATAGAAACTAGACAGAAGCATTCTGAGAATCACGTTTGTGATGTGGGTACTCAACTAACAGTGTTGATCCATTCTTTTGATACAGCAGTTTTGAACCACACTTTTTGTAGAATCTGCAAGTGGATATTTGGATAGCTGTGAGGATTTCGTTGGAAACGGGAATGTCTTCATAGAAAATTTAGAGAGAAGCATTCTCAGAACCTTGATTGTGATGTGTGTTCTCCACTAACAGAGTTGAACCTTTCTTTTGACAGAACTGTTCTGAAACATTCTTTTTATAGAATCTGGAAGTGGATATTTGGAAAGCTTTGAGGATTTCGTTGGAAACGGGAATATCTTCAAATAAAATCTAGCCAGAAGCATTCTAAGAAACATCTTAGGGATGTTTACATTCAAGTCACAGAGTTGAACATTCCCTTTCACAGAGCAGGTTTGAAACAATCTTCTCGTACTATCTGGCAGTGGACATTTTGAGCTCTTTGGGGCCTATGCTGAAAAAGGAAATATCTTCCGACAAAAACTAGACAGAAGCATTCGCAGAATCACGTTTGTGATGTGTGCACTCAACTGTCAGAATTGAACCTTGGTTTGGAGAGAGCACTTTTGAAACACTCTTTTTGTAGAATCTGCAGGTGGATATTTGGCTAGCTTTGAGGATTTCGTTGGAAACGGTAATGTCTTCAAAGAAAATCTAGACAGAAGCATTCTCAGAAACACCTTCGTGATGTTTGCAATCAAGTCACAGAGTTGAACCTTCCGTTTCATAGAGCAGGTTGGAAACACACTTTTTGTAGTATCTGGAAGTGGACATTTGGAGGGCTTTGTAGCCTATCTGGAAAAAGGAAATATCTTCCCATGAATGCGAGATAGAAGTAATCTCAGAAACATGTTTATGCTGTATCTACTCAACTAACTGTGCTGAACATTTCTATTGATAGAGCAGTTTTGAGACACTCTTCTTTTGGAATCTGCAAGTGGATATTTGGATAGATTTGAGGATTTCGTTGGAAACGGGATTATATATAAAAAGTAGACAGCAGCATTCTCAGAAACTTCTTTGTGATGTTTGCATCCAGCTCCCAGAGTTGAACATTCCCTTTCATAGAGTACGTTTGAAACCCTCTTTTTATAGTGTCTGGAAGCGGGCATTTGGAGCGCTTTCAGGCCTATGCTGAAAAAGGAAATATCTACCTATAGAAACTAGACAGAAGCATTCTGAGAATCACGTTTGTGATGTGGGTACTCAACTAACAGTGTTGATCCATTCTTTTGATACAGCAGTTTTGAACCACACTTTTTGTAGAATCTGCAAGTGGATATTTGGATAGCTGTGAGGATTTCGTTGGAAACGGGAATGTGCTTCATAGAAAATTTAGACAGAAGCATTCTCAGAACCTTGATTGTGATGTGTGTTCTCCACTAACAGAGTTGAACCTTTCTTTTGACAGAACTGTTCTGAAACATTCTTTTTATAGAATCTGGAAGTGGATATTTGGAAAGCTTTGAGGATTTCGTTGGAAACGGGAATATCTTCAAATCAAATCTAGCCAGAAGCATTCTAAGAAACATCTTAGGGATGTTTACATTCAAGTCACAGAGTTGAACATTCCCTTTCACAGAGCAGGTTTGAAACAATCTTCTCGTACTATCTGGCAGTGGACATTTTGAGCTCCTTGGGGCCTATGCTGAAAAAGGAAATATCTTCCGACAAAAACTAGACAGAAGCATTCGCAGAATCACGTTTGTGATGTGTGCACTCAACTGTCAGAATTGAACCTTGGTTTGGACAGAGCACTTTTGAAACACTCTTTTTGTAGAATCTGCAGGTGGATATTTGGCTAGCTTTGAGGATTTCGTTGGAAACGGTAATGTCTTCAAAGAAAATCTAGACAGAAGCATTCTCAGAAACACCTTCGTGATGTTTGCAATCAAGTCACAGAGTTGAACCTTCCGTTTCATAGAGCAGGTTGGAAACACTCTTTTTGTAGTATCTGGAAGTGGACATTGGGAGGGCTTTGTAGCCTATGTGGAAAAAGGAAATATCTTCCCATGAATGCGAGATAGAAGTAATCTCAGAAACATGTTTATGCTGTATCTACTCAACTAACTGTGCTGAACATTTCTATTGATAGAGCAGTTTTGAGACACTCTTCTTTTGGAATCTGCAAGTGGATATTTGGATAGATTTGAGGATTTCGTTGGAAACGGGATTATATATAAAAAGTAGACAGCAGCATTCTCAGAAACTTCTTTGTGATGTTTGCATCCAGCTCTCAGAGTTGAACATTCCCTTTCATAGAGTAGGTTTGAAACCCTCTTTTTATAGTGTCTGGAAGCGGGCATTTGGAGCGCTTTCAGGCCTATGCTGAAAAAGGAAATATCTACCTATAGAAACTAGACAGAAGCATTCTGAGAATCACGTTTGTGATGTGGGTACTCAACTAACAGTGTTGATCCATTCTTTTGATACAGCAGTTTTGAACCACACTTTTTGTAGAATCTGCAAGTGGATATTTGGATAGCTGTGAGGATTTCGTTGGAAACGGGAATGTCTTCATAGAAAATTTAGACAGAAGCATTCTCAGAACCTTGATTGTGATGTGTGTTCTCCACTAACAGAGTTGAACCTTTCTTTTGACAGAACTGTTCTGAAACATTCTTTTTATAGAATCTGGAAGTGGATATTTGGAAAGCTTTGAGGATTTCGTTGGAAACGGGAATATCTTCAAATAAAATCTAGCCAGAAGCATTCCAAGAAACATCTTAGGGATGTTTACATTCAAGTCACAGAGTTGAACATTCCCTTTCACAGAGCAGGTTTGAAACAATCTTCTCGTACTATCTGGCAGTGGACATTTTGAGCTCCTTGGGGTCTATGCTGAAAAAGGAAATATCTTCCGACAAAAACTAGACAGAAGCATTCGCAGAATCACGTTTGTGATGTGTGCACTCAACTGTCAGAATTGAACCTTGGTTTGGACAGAGCACTTTTGAAACACTCTTTTTGTAGAATCTGCAGGTGGATATTTAGCTAGCTTTGAGGATTTCGTTGGAAACGGTAATGTCTTCAAAGAAAATCTAGACAGAAGCATTCTCAGAAACACCTTCGTGATGTTTGCAATCAAGTCACAGAGTTCAACCTTCCGTTTCATAGAGCAGGTTGGAAACACTCTTTTTGTAGTATCTGGAAGTGGACATTTGGAGGGCTTTGTAGCCTATCTGGAAAAAGGAAATATCTTCCCATGAATGCGAGATAGAAGTAATCTCAGAAACATGTTTATGCTGTATCTACTCAACTAACTGTGCTGAACATTTCTATTGATAGAGCAGTTTTGAGACACTCTTCTTTTGGAATCTGCAAGTGGATATTTGGATAGATTTGAGGATTTCGTTGGAAACGGGATTATATATCAAAAGTAGACAGCAGCATTCTCAGCAAACTTCTTTGTGATGTTTGCATCCAGCTCTCAGAGTTGAACATTCCCTTTCATAGAGTAGGTTTGAAACCCTCTTTTTATAGTGTCTGGAAGCGGGCATTTGGAGCGCTTTCAGGCCTATGCTGAAAAAGGAGATATCTACCTATAGAAACTAGACAGAAGCATTCTGAGAATCACGTTTGTGATGTGGGTACTCAACTAACAGTGTTGATCCATTCTTTTGATACAGCAGTTTTGAACCACACTTTTTGTAGAATCTGCAAGTGGATATTTGGATAGCTGTGAGGATTTCCTTGGAAACGGGAATGTCTTCATAGAAAATTTAGACAGAAGCATTCTCAGAACTTTGATTGTGATGTGTGTTCTCCACTAACAGATTTGAACCTTTCTTTTGACAGAACTGTTCTGAAACATTCTTTTTATAGAATCTGGAAGTGGATATTTGGAAAGCTTTGAGGATTTCGTTGGAAACGGGAATATCTTCAAATCAAATCTAGCCAGAAGCATTCTAAGAAACATCTTAGGGATGTTTACATTCAAGTCACAGAGTTGAACATTCCCTTTCACAGAGCAGGTTTGAAACAATCTTCTCGTACTATCTGGAAGTGGACATTTTGAGCTCCTTGGGGCCTATGCTGAAAAAGGAAATATCTTCCGACAAAAACTAGACAGAAGCATTCGCAGAATCACGTTTGTGATGTGTGCACTCAACTGTCAGAATTGAACCTTTGTTTGGACAGAGCACTTTTGAAACACTCTTTTTGTAGAATCTGCAGGTGGATATTTGGCTAGCTTTGAGGATTTCGTTGGAAACGGTAATGTCTTCAAAGAAAATCTAGACAGAAACATTCTCAGAAACACCTTCGTGATGTTTGCAATCAAGTCACAGAGTTGAACCTTCCGTTTCATAGAGCAGGTTGGAAACACTCTTTTTGTAGTATCTGGAAGTGGACATTTGGAGCGCTTTCAGGCCTATGGTGAGAAAGGAAATATCTTCCCATAAAAACGACATAGAAGCTATCTCAGGAACTTGTTTATGATGCATCCAATCAACTAACAGTGTTGAACCTTTGTACTGACAGAGCAGTGTGAAACACTCTTTTTTTTGGAATCTGCAAGTGGATATTTGGATCGCTTTGAGGATTTCGTTGGAAACGGGATGCAATATAAAACGTACACAGCAGCATACTCAGAAAATACTTTGCCATATTTCCATTCAAGTCACAGAGTGGAACATTCCCATTCATAGAGCAGGTTGGAAACACTCTTTTTGGAGTATCTGGAAGTGGACATTTGGAGCGCTTTCTGAACTATGGTGAAAAAGGAAATATCTTCCAATGAAAACAAGACAGAAGCATTCTGAGAAACTTATTTGTGATGTGTGTCCTCAACTAACGGACTTGAACCTTTCGTTTCATGCAGTATTTCTGGAACACACTTTTTTAAGATTCTGCATGCGGATATTTGGATAGCTTTGAAGATTTCGTTGGAAACGGGCTTACATATAAAAATTAGACAGCAGCATTCTCAGAAACTTCTTTGTGGTGTCTGCATTCAAGTCACAGAATTGAACATCCCCTCACATAGAGCAGCTGTGCAGCACTCTATTTGTAGTATCTCGAAGTGGACATTTGGAGGGCTTTGTAGCCTATCTGGAAAAAGGAAATATCTTCCCATGAATGCGAGATAGAAGTAATCTCAGAAACGTGTTTATGCTGTATCTACTCAACTAACTGTGCTGAACATTTCTATTGATAGAGCAGTTTTGAGACACTCTTCTTTTGGAATCTGCAAGTGGATATTTGGATAGATTTGAGGATTTCGGTTGGAAACGGGATTATATATAAAAAGTAGACAGCCAGCATTCTCAGAAACTTCTTTGTGATGTTTGCATCCAGCTCTCAGAGTTGAGCATTCCCTTTCATAGAGTAGGTTTGAAACCCTCTTTTTATAGTGTCTGGAAGCGGGCATTTGGAGCGCTTTCAGGCCTATGCTTAAAATAGGAAATATCTACCTACAGAAACTAGACAGAGCATTCTGAGAATCACGTTTGTGATGTGGGTACTCAACTAACAGTGTTGATCCATTCTTTTGATACAGCAGTTTTGAACCACACTTTTTGTAGAATCTGCAAGTGGATATTTGGATAGCTGTGAGGATTTCGTTGGAAACGGTAATGTCTTCAAAGAAAATCTAGACAGAAGCATTCTCAGAAACACCTTCGTGATGTTTGCAATCAAGTCACAGAGTTGAACCTTCCGTTTCATAGAGCAGGTTGGAAACACTCTTATTGTAGTATCTGGAAGTGGACATTTGGAGCGCTTTCAGGCCTATGGTGAAAAAGGAAATATCTTCCCATAAAAACGACATAGAAGCTATCTCAGGAACTTGTTTATGATGCATCTACTCAACTAACAGTGTTGAACCTTTGTACTGACAGAGCAGTTTGAAACACTCTTTTTTTGGAATCTGCAAGTGGATATTTGGATCGCTTTGAGGATTTCGTTGGAAACGGGATGCAATATAAAACGTACACAGCAGCATACTCAGAAAATACTTTGCCATATTTCCATTCAAGTCACAGAGTGGAACATTCCCATTCATAGAGCAGGTTGGAAACACTCTTTTTGGAGTATCTGGAAGTGGACATTTGGAGCGCTTTCTGAACTATGGTGAAAAAGGAAATATCTTCCAATGAAAACAAGACAGAAGCATTCTGAGAAACTTATTTGTGATGTGTGTCCTCAACAAACGGACTTGAACCTTTCGTTTCATGCAGTACTTCTGGAACACTCTTTTTGAAGATTCTGCATGCGGATATTTGGATAGCTTTGAGGATTTCGTTGGAAACGGTCTTACATGTAAAAATTAGACAGCAGCATTCTCAGAAACTTCTTTGTGGTGTCTGCATTCAAGTCACAGAATTGAACTTCCCCTCACATAGAGCAGTTGTGCAGCACTCTATTTGTAGTATCTGGAAGTGGACATTTGGAGGGCTTTGTAGCCTATCTGGAAAAAGGAAATATCTTCCCATGAATGCGAGATAGAAGTAATCTCAGAAACATGTTTATGCTGTATCTACTCAACTAACTGTGCTGAACATTTCTATTGATAGAGCAGTTTTGAGACACTCTTCTTTTGGAATCTGCAAGTGGATATTTGGATAGATTTGAGGATTTCGTTGGAAACGGGATTATATATAAAAAGTAGACAGCAGCATTCTCAGAAACTTCTTTGTGATGTTTGCATCCAGCTCTCAGAGTTGAACATTCCCTTTCATAGAGTAGGTTTGAAACCCTCTTTTTATAGTGTCTGGAAGCGGGCATTTGGAGCGCTTTCAGGCCTATGCTTAAAATAGGAAATATCTACCTACAGAAACTAGACAGAAGCATTCTGAGAATCACGTTTGTGATGTGGGTACTCAACTAACAGTGTTGATCCATTCTTTTGATACAGCAGTTTTGAACCACACTTTTTGTAGAATCTGCAAGAGGATATTTGGATAGCTGCGAGGATTTCGTTGGAAACGGGAATGTCTTCAAAGAAAATCTAGACAGAAGCATTCTCAGAAACACCTTCGTGATGTTTGCAATCAAGTCACAGAGTTGAACCTTCCGTTTCATAGAGCAGGTTGGAAACACTCTTATTGTAGTATCTGGAAGTGGACATTTGGAGCGCTTTCAGGCCTATGGTGAAAAAGGAAATATCTTCCCATAAAAACGACATAGAAGCTATCTCAGGAACTTGTTTATGATGCATCTAATCAACTAACAGTGTTGAACCTTTGTACTGACAGAGCAGTTTGAAACACTCTTTTTTTGGAATCTGCAAGTGGATATTTGGATCGCTTTGAGGATTTCGTTGGAAACGGGATGCAATATAAAACGTACACAGCAGCATACTCAGAAAATACTTTGCCATATTTCCATTCAAGTCACAGAGTGGAACATTCCCATTCATAGAGCAGGTTGGAAACACTCTTTTTGGAGTATCTGGAAGTGGACATTTGGAGCGCTTTCTGAACTATGGTGAAAAAGGAAATATCTTCCAATGAAAACAAGACAGAAGCATTCTGAGAAACTTATTTGTGATGTGTGTCCTCAACAAACGGACTTGAACCTTTCGTTTCATGCAGTACTTCTGGAACACTCTTTTTGAAGATTCTGCATGCGGATATTTGGATAGCTTTGAGGATTTCGTTGGAAACGGGCTTACATGTAAAAATTAGACAGCAGCATTCTCAGAAACTTCTTTGTGGTGTCTGCATTCAAGTCACAGAATTGAACATCCCCTCACATAGAGCAGTTGTGCAGCACTCTATTTGTAGTATCTGGAAGTGGACATTTGGAGGGCTTTGTAGCCTATGTGGAAAAAGGAAATATCTTCCCATGAATGCGAGATAGAAGTAATCTCAGAAACATGTTTATGCTGTATCTACTCAACTAACTGTGCTGAACATTTCTATTGATAGAGCAGTTTTCAGACACTCTTCTTTTGGAATCTGCAAGTGGATATTTGGATAGATTTGAGGATTTCGTTGGAAACGGGATTATATATAAAAAGTAGACAGCAGCATTCTCAGAAACTTCTTTGTGATGTTTGCATCCAGCTCTCAGAGTTGAACATTCCCTTTCATAGAGTAGGTTTGAAACCCTCTTTTTATAGTGTCTGGAAGCGGGCATTTGGAGCGCTTTCAGGCCTATGCTGAAAAAGGAAATATCTACCTATAGAAACTAGACAGAAGCATTCTGAGAATCACGTTTGTGATGTGGGTACTCAACTAACAGTGTTGATCCATTCTTTTGATACAGCAGTTTTGAACCACACTTTTTGTAGAATCTGCAAGTGGATATTTGGATAGCTGTGAGGATTTCGTTGGAAACGGGAATGTCTTCATAGAAAATTTAGACGGAAGCATTCTCAGAACCTTGATTGTGATGTGTGTTCTCCACTAACAGAGTTGAACCTTTCTTTTGACAGAACTGTTCTGAAACATTCTTTTTATAGAATCTGGAAGTGGATATTTGGAAAGCTTTGAGGATTTCGTTGGAAACGGGAATATCTTCAAATCAAATCTAGCCAGAAGCATTCTAAGAAACATCTTAGGGATGTTTACATTCAAGTCACAGAGTTGAACATTCCCTTTCACAGAGCAGGTTTGAAACAATCTTCTCGTACTATCTGGCAGTGGACATTTTGAGCTCCTTGGGGCCTATGCTGAAAAAGGAAATATCTTCCGACAAAAACTAGACAGAAGCATTCGCAGAATCACGTTTGTGATGTGTGCACTCAACTGTCAGAATTGAACCTTGGTTTGGACAGAGCACTTTTGAAACACTCTTTTTGTAGAATCTGCAGGTGGATATTTGGCTAGCTTTGAGGATTTCGTTGGAAACGGTAATGTCTTCAAAGAAAATCTAGACAGAAGCATTCTCAGAAACACCTTCGTGATGTTTGCAATCAAGTCACAGAGTTGAACCTTCCGTTTCATAGAGCAGGTTGGAAACACTCTTTTTGTAGTATCTGGAAGTGGACATTTGGAGGGCTTTGTAGCCTATGTGGAAAAAGGAAATATCTTCCCATGAATGCGAGATAGAAGTAATCTCAGAAACATGTTTATGCTGTATCTACTCAACTAACTGTGCTGAACATTTCTATTGATAGAGCAGTTTTGAGACACTCTTCTTTTGGAATCTGCAAGTGGATATTTGGAGAGATTTGAGGATTTCGTTGGAAACGGGATTATATATAAAAAGTAGACAGCAGCATTCTCAGAAACTTCTTTGTGATGTTTGCATCCAGCTCTCAGAGTTGAACATTCCCTTTCATAGAGTAGGTTTGAAACCCTCTTTTTATAGTGTCTGGAAGCGGGCATTTGGAGCGCTTTCAGACCTATGCTTAAAATAGGAAATATCTACCTACAGAAACTAGACAGAAGCATTCTGAGAATCACGTTTGTGATGTGGGTACTCAACTAACAGTGTTGATCCATTCTTTTGATACAGCAGTTTTGAACCACCCTTTTTGTAGAATCTGCAAGTGGATATTTGGATAGCTGTGAGGATTTCGTTGGAAACGGGAATGTCTTCATAGAAAAATTTAGACAGAAGCATTCTCAGAACCTTGATTGTGATGTGTGTTCTCCACTAACAGAGTTGAACCTTTCTTTTGACAGAACTGTTCTGAAACATTCTTGTTATAGAATCTGGAAGTGGATATTTGGAAAGCTTTGAGGATTTCGTTGGAAACGGGAATATCTTCAAATCACATCTAGCCAGAAGCATTCTAAGAAACATCTTAGGGATGTTTACATTCAAGTCACAGAGTTGAACATTCCCTTTCACAGAGCAGGTTTGAAACAATCTTCTCGTACTATCTGGCAGTGGACATTTTGAGCTCCTTGGGGCCTATGCTGAAAAAGGAAATATCTTCCGACAAAAACTAGACAGAAGCATTCGCAGAATCACGTTTGTGATGTGTGCACTCAACTGTCAGAATTGAACCTTGGTTTGGACAGAGCACTTTTGAAACACTCTTTTTGTAGAATCTGCAGGTGGATATTTGGCTAGCTTTGAGGATTTCATTGGAAACGGTAATGTCTTCAAAGAAAATCTAGACAGAAGCATTCTCAGAAACACCTTCGTGATGTTTGCAATCAAGTCACAGAGTTGAACCTTCCGTTTCATAGAGCAGGTTGGAAACACTCTTTTTGTAGTATCTGGAAGTGGACATTTGGAGCGCTTTCAGGCCTATGGTGAAAAAGGAAATATCTTCCCATAAAAACGACATAGAAGCTATCTCAGGAACTTGTTTATGATGCATCTAATCAACTAACAGTGTTGAACCTTTGTACTGACAGAGCAGTTTGAAACACTCTTTTTTTGGAATCTGCAAGTGGATATTTGGATCACTTGAGGATTTCGTTGGAAACGGGATGCAATATAAAACGTACACAGCAGCATACTCAGAAAATTCTTTGCCATATTTCCATTCAAGTCACAGAGTGGAACATTCCCATTCATAGAGCAGGTTGGAAACACTCTTTTTGGAGTATCTGGAAGTGGACATTTGGAGGGCTTTCTGAACTATGGTGAAAAAGGAAATATCTTCCAATGAAAACAAGACAGAAGCATTCTGAGAAACTTATTTGTGATGTGTGTCCTCAACTAACGGACTTGAACCTTTCGTTTCATGCAGTACTTCTGGAACACTCTTTTTGAAGATTCTGCATGCGGATATTTGGATAGCTTTGAGGATTTCGATGGAAACGGGCTTACATATAAAAATTAGACAGCAGCATTCTCAGAAACTTCTCTGTGGTGTCTGAATCCAAGTCACAGAATTGAACATCCCCACACATAGAGCAGTTGTGCAGCACTCTATTTGTAGTATCTCGAAGTGGACATTTGGAGGGCTTTGTAGCCTATCTGGAAAAAGGAAATATCTTCCCATGAATGTGAGATAGAAGTAATCTCAGAAACATGTTTATGCTGTATCTACTCAACTAACTGTGCTGAACATTTCCATTGATAGAGCAGTTTTGAGACACTCTTCTTTTGGAATCTGCAAGTGGATATTTGGATAGATTTGAGGATTTCGTTGGCAACGGGATTATATATAAAAAGTAGACAGCCGCATTCTCAGAAACTTCTTTGTGATGTTTGCATCCAGCTCTCAGAGTTGAACATTCCCTTTCGTAGAGTAGGTTTGAAACCCTCTTTTTATAGTGTCTGGAAGCGGGCATTTGGAGCGCTTTCAGGCCTATGCTGAAAAAGGAAATATCTACCTATAGAAACTAGACAGAAGCATTCTGAGAATCACGTTTGTGATGTGGGTACTCAACTAACAGTGTTGATCCATTCTTTTGATACAGCAGTTTTGAACCACACTTTTTGTAGAATCTGCAAGTGGATATTTGGATAGCTGTGAGGATTTCCTTGGAAACGGGAATGTCTTCATAGAAAATTTAGACAGAAGCATTCTCAGAACCTTGATTGTGATGTGTGTTCTCCACTAACAGGGTTGAACCTTTCTTTTGACAGAACTGTTCTGAAACATTCTTTGTATAGAATCTGGAAGTGGATATTTGGAAAGCTTTGAGTATTTCGTTTGAAACGGGAATATCTTCAAATCAAATCTAGCCAGAAGCATTCTATGAAACATTTTAGGGATGTTTACATTCAAGTCACAGAGTTGAACATTCCCTTTCACAGAGCAGGTTTGAAGCAATCTTCTCGTACTATCTGGAAGTGGACATTTTGAGCTCCTTGGGGCCTATGCTGAAAAAGGAAATATCTTCCGACAAAAACTAGACAGAAGCATTCGCAGAATCACGTTTGTGATGTGTGCACTCAACTGTCGGAATTGAACCTTTGTTTGGACAGAGCACTTTTGAAACACTCTTTTTGTAGAATCTGCAGGTGGATATTTGGCTAGCTTTGAGGATTTCGTTGGAAACGGTAATGTCTTCAAAGAAAATCTAGACAGAAACATTCTCAGAAACACCTTCGTGATGTTTGCAATCAAGTCACAGAGTTGAACCTTCCGTTTCATAGAGCAGGTTGGAAACACTCTTTTTGTAGTATCTGGAAGTGGACATTTGGAGCGCTTTCAGGCCTATGGTGAAAAAGGAAATATCTTCCCATAAAAACGACATAGAAGCTATCTCAGGAACTTGTTTATGATGCATCCAATCAACTAACAGTGTTGAACCTTTGTACTGACAGAGCAGTGTGAAACACTCTTTTTTTTGGAATCTGCAAGTGGATATTTGGATCGCTTTGAGGATTTCGTTGGAAACGGGATGCAATATAAAACGTACACAGCAGCATACTCAGAAAATACTTTGCCATATTTCCATTCAAGTCACAGAGTGGAACATTCCCATTCATAGAGCAGGTTTGACACACCCTTTTTGTAGTATCTGGAAGTGGACATTTGGAGCGCTTTCTGAACTATGGTGAAAAAGGAAATATCTTCCAATGAAAACAAGACAGAAGCATTCTGAGAAACTTATTTGTGATGTGTGTCCTCAACTAACGGACTTGAACCTTTCGTTTCATGCAGTACTTCTGGAACACTCTTTTTGAAGATTCTGCATGCGGATATTTGGATAGCTTTGAGGATTTCGTTGGAAACGGGCTTACATATAAAAATTAGACAGCAGCATTCTCAGAAACTTCTTTGTGGTGTCTGCATTCAAGTCACAGAATTGAACATCCCGTCACATAGAGCAGTTGTGCAGCACTCTATTTGTAGTATCTCGAAGTGGACATTTGGAGGGCTTTGTAGCCTATCTGGAAAAAGGAAATATCTTCCCATGAATGCGAGATAGAAGTAATCTCAGAAACATGTTTATGCTGTATCTACTCAACTAACTGTGCTGAATATTTCTATTGATAGAGCAGTTTTGAGACACTCTTCTTTTGGAATCTGCAAGTGGATATTTGGATAGATTTGAGGATTTCCATGGAAACGGGATTATATATAAAAAGTAGACAGCAGCATTCTCAGAAACTTCTTTGTGATGTTTGCATCCAGCTCTCAGAGTTGAACATTCCCTTTCGTAGAGTAGGTTTGAAACCCTCTTTTTATAGTGTCTGGAAGCGGGCATTTGGAGCGCTTTCAGGCCTATGCTGAAAAAGGAAATATCTACCTATAGAAAGTAGACAGAAGCATTCTGAGAATCACGTTTGTGATGTGGGTACTCAACTAACAGTGTTGATCCATTCTTTTGATACAGCAGTTTTGAACCACACTTTTTGTAGAATCTGCAAGTGGATATTTGGATAGCTGTGAGGATTTCGTTGGAAACGGGAATGTCTTCATAGAAAATTTAGACAGAAGCATTCTCAGAACCTTGATTGTGATGTGTGTTCTCCACTAACAGGGTTGAACCTTTCTTTTGACAGAACTGTTTTGAAACATTCTTTTTATAGAATCTGGAAGTGGATATTTGGAAAGCTTTGAGGATTTCATTGTAAACGGGAATATCTTCAAATCAAATCTAGCCAGAAGCATTCTAAGAAACATCTTAGGGATGTTTACATTCAAGTCACAGGGTTGAACATTCCCTTTCACAGAGCAGGTTTGAAACAATCTTCTCGTACTATCTGGAAGTGGACATTTTGAGCTCCTTGGGGCCTATGCTGAAAAAGGAAATATCTTCCGACAAAAACTAGACAGAAGCATTCGCAGAATCACGTTTGTGATGTGTGCACTCAACTGTCAGAATTGAACCTTTGTTTGGACAGAGCACTTTTGAAACACTCTTTTTGTAGAATCTGCAGGTGGATATTTGGCTAGCTTTGAGGATTTCGTTGGAAACGGTAATGTCTTCAAAGAAAATCTAGACAGAAACATTCTCAGAAACACCTTCGTGATGTTTGCAATCAAGTCACAGAGTTGAACCTTCCGTTTCATAGAGCAGGTTGGAAACACTCTTTTTGTAGTATCTGGAAGTGGACATTTGGAGCGCTTTCAGGCCTATGGTGAAAAAGGAAATATCTTCCCATAAAAACGACATAGAAGCTATCTCAGGAACTTGTTTATGATGCATCTAATCAACTAACAGTGTTGAACCTTTGTACTGACAGAGCACTTTGAAACACTCTTTTTTTGGAATCTGCAAGTGGATATTTGGATCGCTTTGAGGATTTCGTTGGAAACGGGATGCAATATAAAACGTACACAGCAGCATACTCAGAAAATACTTTGCCATATTTCCATTCAAGTCACAGAGTGGAACATTCCCATTCATAGAGCAGGTTGGAAACACTCTTTTTGGAGTATCTGGAAGTGGACATTTGGAGCGCTTTCTGAACTATGGTGAAAAAGGAAATATCTTCCAATGAAAACAAGACAGAAGCATTCTGAGAAACTTATTTGTGATGTGTGTCCTCAACAAACGGACTTGAACCTTTCGTTTCATGCAGTACTTCTGGAACACTCTTTTTGAAGATTCTGCATGCGGATATTTGGATAGCTTTGAGGATTTCGTTGGAAACGGGCTTACATGTAAAAATTAGACAGCAGCATTCTCAGAAACTTCTTTGTGGTGTCTGCATTCAAGTCACAGAATTGAACTTCCCCTCACATAGAGCAGTTGTGCAGCACTCTATTTGTAGTATCTGGAAATGGACATTTGGAGGGCTTTGTAGCCTATGTGGAAAAAGGAAATATCTTCCCATGAATGCGAGATAGAAGTAATCTCAGAAACATGTTTATGCTGTATCTACTCAACTAACTGTGCTGAACATTTCTATTGATAGAGCAGTTTTGAGACACTCTTCTTTTGGAATCTGCAAGTGGATATTTGGATAGATTTGAGGATTTCGTTGGAAACGGGATGATATATAAAAAGTAGACAGCAGCATTCTCAGAAACTTCTTTGTGATGTTTGCATCCAGCTCCCAGAGTTGAACATTCCCTTTCATAGAGTAGGTTTGAAACCCTCTTTTTATAGTGTCTGGAAGCGGGCATTTGGAGCGCTTTCAGGCCTATGCTGAAAAAGGAAATATCTACCTATAGAAACTAGACAGAAGCATTCTGAGAATCACGTTTGTGATGTGGGTACTCAACTAACAGTGTTGATCCATTCTTTTGATACAGCAGTTTTGAACCACACTTTTTGTAGAATCTGCAAGTGGATATTTGGATAGCTGTGAGGATTTCGTTGGAAACGGGAATGTCTTCATAGAAAATTTAGACAGAAGCATTCTCAGAACCTTGATTGTGATGTGTGTTCTCCACTAACAGAGTTGAACCTTTCTTTTGACAGAACTGTTCTGAAACATTCTTTTTATAGAATCTGGAAGTGGATATTTGGAAAGCTTTGAGGATTTTGTTGGAAACGGGAATATCTTCAAATCAAATCTAGCCAGAAACATTCTAAGAAACATCTTAGGGATGTTTACATTCAAGTCACAGAGTTGAACATTCCCTTTCACAGAGCAGGTTTGAAACAATCTTCTCGTACTATCTGGAAGTGGACATTTTGAGCTCCTTGGGGCCTATGCTGAGAAAGGAAATATCTTCCGACAAAAACAAGACAGAAGCATTCGCAGAATCACGTTTGTGATGTGTGCACTCAACTGTCACAATTGAACCTTGGTTTGGACAGAGCACTTTTGAAACACTCTTTTTGTAGAATCTGCAGGTGGATATTTGACTAGCTTTGAGGATTTCGTTGGAAACGGTAATGTCTTCAAAGAAAATCTAGACAGAAACATTCTCAGAACACCTTCGTGATGTTTGCAATCAAGTCACAGAGTTGAACCTTCCGTTTCATAGAGCAGGTTGGAAACACTCTTTTTGTAGTATCTGGAAGTGGACATTTGGAGCGCTTTCAGGCCTATGGTGAAAAAGGAAATATCTTCCCATAAAAACGACATAGAAGCTATCTCAGGAACTTGTTTATGATGCATCCAATCAACTAACAGTGTTGAACCTTTGTACTGAGAGAGCAGTGTGAAACACTCTTTTTTTTTGGAATCTGCAAGTGGATATTTGGATCGCTTTGAGGATTTCGTTGGAAACGGGCTTACATATAAAAATTAGACAGCAGCATTCTCAGAAACTTCTTTGTGGTGTCTGCATTCAAGTCACAGAATTGAACATCCCCTCACATAGAGCAGTTGTGCAGCACTCTATTTGTTGTATCTCGAAGTGGACATTTGGAGGGCTTTGTAGCCTATCTGGAAAAAGGAAATATCTTCCCATGAATGCGAGATAGAAGTAATCTCAGAAACATGTTTATGCTGTATCTACTCAACTAACTGTGCTGAACATTTCTATTGATAGAGCAGTTTTGAGACACTCTTCTTTTGGAATCTGCAAGTGGATATTTGGAAAGATTTGAGGATTTCGTTGACAACGGGATTATATATAAAATGTAGACAGCCGCATTCTCAGAAACTTCTTTGTGATGTTTGCATCCAGCTCTCAGAGTTGAACATTCCCTTTCGTAGAGTCGGTTTGAAACCCTCTTTTTATAGTGTCTGGAAGCGGGCATTTGGAGCGCTTTCAGGCCTATGCTGAAAAAGGAAATATCTACCTAAAGAAACTAGACAGAAGCATTCTGAGAATCACGTTTGTGATGTGGGTACTCAACTAACAGTGTTGATCCATTCTTTTGATACAGCAGTTTTGAACCACACTTTTTGTAGAATCTGCAAGTGGATATTTGGATAGCTGTGAGGATTTCGTTGGAAACGGGAATGTCTTCATAGAAAATTTAGACAGAAGCATTCTCAGAACCTTGATTGTGATGTGTGTTCTCCACTAACAGAGTTGAACCTTTCTTTTGACAGAACTGTTCTGAAACATTCTTTTTATAGAATCTGGAAGTGGATATTTGGAAAGCTTTGAGGATTTCGTTGGAAACGGGAATATCTTCAAATCAAATCTAGCCAGAAGCATTCTAAGAAACATCTTAGGGATGTTTACATTCAAGTCACAGAGTTGAACATTCCCTTTCACAGAGCAGGTTTGAAACAATCTTCTCGTACTATCTGGCAGTGGACATTTTGAGCTCCTTGGGGCCTATGCTGAAAAAGGAAATATCTTCCGACAAAAACTAGACAGAAGCATTCGCAGAATCACGTTTGTGATGTGTGCACTCAACTGTCAGAATTGAACCTTGGTTTGGACAGAGCACTTTTGAAACACTCTTTTTGTAGAATCTGCAGGTGGATATTTGGCTAGCTTTGAGGATTTCGTTGGAAACGGTAATGTCTTCAAAGAAAATCTAGACAGAAGCATTCTCAGAAACACCTTCGTGATGTTTGCAATCAAGTCACAGAGTTGAACCTTCCGTTTCATAGAGCAGGTTGGAAACACTCTTTTTGTAGTATCTGGAAGTGGACATTTGGAGGGCTTTGTAGCCTATGTGGAAAAAGGAAATATCTTCCCATGAATGCGAGATAGAAGTAATCTCAGAAACATGTTTATGCTGTATCTACTCAACTAACTGTGCTGAACATTTCTATTGATAGAGCAGTTTTGAGACACTCTTCTTTTGGAATCTGCAAGTGGATATTTGGATAGATTTGAGGATTTCGTTGGAAACGGGATTATATATCAAAAGTAGACAGCAGCATTCTCAGAAACTTCTTTGTGATGTTTGCATCCAGCTCTCAGAGTTGAACATTCCCTTTCATAGAGTAGGTTTGAAACCCTCTTTTTATAGTGTCTGGAAGCGGGCATTTGGAGCGCTTTCAGGCCTATGCTTAAAATAGGAAATATCTACCTACAGAAACTAGACAGAAGCATTCTGAGAATCACGTTTGTGATGTGGGTACTCAACTAACAGTGTTGATCCATTCTTTTGATACAGCAGTTTTGAACCACACTTTTTGTAGAATCTGCAAGAGGATATTTGGATAGCTGTGAGGATTTCGTTGGAAACGGGAATGTCTTCAAAGAAAATCTAGACAGAAGCATTCTCAGAAACACCTTCGTGATGTTTGCAATCAAGTCACAGAGTTGAACCTTCCGTTTCATAGAGCAGGTTGGAAACACTCTTATTGTAGTATCTGGAAGTGGACATTTGGAGCGCTTTCAGGCCTATGGTGAAAAAGGAAATATCTTCCCATAAAAACGACATAGAAGCTATCTCAGGAACTTGTTTATGATGCATCTAATCAACTAACAGTGTTGAACCTTTGTACTGACAGAGCAGTTTGAAACACTCTTTTTTTGGAATCTGCAAGTGGATATTTGGATCGCTTTGAGGATTTCGTTGGAAACGGGATGCAATATAAAACGTACACAGCAGCATACTCAGAAAATACTTTGCCATATTTCCATTCAAGTCACAGAGTGGAACATTCCCATTCATAGAGCAGGTTGGAAACACTCTTTTTGGAGTATCTGGAAGTGGACATTTGGAGCGCTTTCTGAACTATGGTGAAAAAGGAAATATCTTCCAATGAAAACAAGACAGAAGCATTCTGAGAAACTTATTTGTGATGTGTGTCCTCAACAAACGGACTTGAACCTTTCGTTTCATGCAGTACTTCTGGAACACTCTTTTTGAAGATTCTGCATGCGGATATTTGGATAGCTTTGAGGATTTCGTTGGAAACGGGCTTACATGTAAAAATTAGACAGCAGCATTCTCAGAAACTTCTTTGTGGTGTCTGCATTCAAGTCACAGAATTGAACTTCCCCTCACATAGAGCAGTTGTGCAGCACTCTATTTGTAGTATCTGGAAGTGGACATTTGGAGGGCTTTGTAGCCTATCTGGAAAAAGGAAATATCTTCCCATGAATGCGAGATAGAAGTAATCTCAGAAACATGTTTATGCTGTATCTACTCAACTAACTGTGCTGAACATTTCTATTGATAGAGCAGTTTTGAGACACTCTTCTTTTGGAATCTGCAAGTGGATATTTGGATAGATTTGAGGATTTCGTTGGAAACGGGATTATATATAAAAAGTAGACAGCAGCATTCTCAGAAACTTCTTTGTGATGTTTGCATCCAGCTCTCAGAGTTGAACATTCCCTTTCATAGAGTAGGTTTGAAACCCTCTTTTTATAGTGTCTGGAAGCGGGCATTTGGAGCGCTTTCAGGCCTATGCTTAAAATAGGAAATATCTACCTACAGAAACTAGACAGAAGCATTCTGAGAATCACGTTTGTGATGTGGGTACTCAACTAACAGTGTTGATCCATTCTTTTGATACAGCAGTTTTGAACCACACTTTTTGTAGAATCTGCAAGAGGATATTTGGATAGCTGTGAGGATTTCGTTGGAAACGGGAATGTCTTCAAAGAAAATCTAGACAGAAGCATTCTCAGAAACACCTTCGTGATGTTTGCAATCAAGTCACAGAGTTGAACCTTCCGTTTCATAGAGCAGGTTGGAAACACTCTTATTGTAGTATCTGGAAGGGGACATTTGGAGCGCTTTCAGGCCTATGGTGAAAAAGGAAATATCTTCCCATAAAAACGACATAGAAGCTGTCTCAGGAACTTGTTTATGATGCATCTAATCAACTAACAGTGTTGAACCTTTGTACTGACAGAGCAGTTTGAAACACTCTTTTTTTGGAATCTGCAAGTGGATATTTGGATCGCTTTGAGGATTTCGTTGGAAACGGGATGCAATATAAAACGTACACAGCAGCATACTCAGAAAATACTTTGCCATATTTCCATTCAAGTCACAGAGTGGAACATTCCCATTCATAGAGCAGGTTGGAAACACTCTTTTTGGAGTATCTGGAAGTGGACATTTGGAGCGCTTTCTGAACTATGGTGAAAAAGGAAATATCTTCCAATGAAAACAAGACAGAAGCATTCTGAGAAACTTATTTGTGATGTGTGTCCTCAACAAACGGACTTGAACCTTTCGTTTCATGCAGTACTTCTGGAACACTCTTTTTGAAGATTCTGCATGCGGATATTTGGATAGCTTTGAGGATTTCGTTGGAAACGGGCTTACATGTAAAAATTAGACAGCAGCATTCTCAGAAACTTCTTTGTGGTGTCTGCATTCAAGTCACAGAATTGAACTTCCCCTCACATAGAGCAGTTGTGCAGCACTCTATTTGTAGTATCTGGAAGTGGACATTTGGAGGGCTTTGTAGCCTATCTGGAAAAAGGAAATATCTTCCCATGAATGCGAGATAGAAGTAATCTCAGAAACATGTTTATGCTGTATCTACTCAACTAACTGTGCTGAACATTTCTATTGATAGAGCAGTTTTGAGACACTCTTCTTTTGGAATCTGCAAGTGGATATTTGGATAGATTTGAGGATTTCGTTGGAAACGGGATTATATATAAAAAGTAGACAGCAGCATTCTCAGAAACTTCTTTGTGATGTTTGCATCCAGCTCTCAGAGTTGAACATTCCCTTTCATAGAGTAGGTTTGAAACCCTCTTTTTATAGTGTCTGGAAGCGGGCATTTGGAGCGCTTTCAGGCCTATGCTGAAAAAGGAAATATCTACCTATAGAAACTAGACAGAAGCATTCTGAGAATCACGTTTGTGATGTGGGTACTCAACTAACAGTGTTGATCCATTCTTTTGATACAGCAGTTTTGAACCACACTTTTTGTAGAATCTGCAAGTGGATATTTGGATAGCTGTGAGGATTTCGTTGGAAACGGGAATGTCTTCATAGAAAATTTAGACAGAAGCATTCTCAGAACCTTGATTGTGATGTGTGTTCTCCACTAACAGAGTTGAACCTTTCTTTTGACAGAACTGTTCTGAAACATTCTTTTTATAGAATCTGGAAGTGGATATTTGGAAAGCTTTGAGGATTTCGTTGGAAACGGGAATATCTTCAAATCAAATCTAGCCAGAAGCATTCTAAGAAACATCTTAGGGATGTTTACATTCAAGTCACAGAGTTGAACATTCCCTTTCACAGAGCAGGTTTGAAACAATCTTCTCGTACTATCTGGCAGTGGACATTTTGAGCTCCTTGGGGCCTATGCTGAAAAAGGAAATATCTTCCGACAAAAACTAGACAGAAGCATTCGCAGAATCACGTTTGTGATGTGTGCACTCAACTGTCAGAATTGAACCTTGGTTTGGACAGAGCACTTTTGAAACACTCTTTTTGTAGAATCTGCAGGTGGATATTTGGCTAGCTTTGAGGATTTCGTTGGAAACGGTAATGTCTTCAAAGAAAATCTAGACAGAAGCATTCTCAGAAACACCTTCGTGATGTTTGCAATCAAGTCACAGAGTTGAACCTTCCGTTTCATAGAGCAGGTTGGAAACACTCTTTTTGTAGTATCTGGAAGTGGACATTTGGAGGGCTTTGTAGCCTATGTGGAAAAAGGAAATATCTTCCCATGAATGCGAGATAGAAGTAATCTCAGAAACATGTTTATGCTGTATCTACTCAACTAACTGTGCTGAACATTTCTATTGATAGAGCAGTTTTGAGACACTCTTCTTTTGGAATCTGCAAGTGGATATTTGGATAGATTTGAGGATTTCGTTGGAAACGGGATTATATATCAAAAGTAGACAGCAGCATTCTCAGAAACTTCTTTGTGATGTTTGCATCCAGCTCTCAGAGTTGAACATTCCCTTTCATAGAGTAGGTTTGAAACCCTCTTTTTATAGTGTCTGGAAGCGGGCATTTGGAGCGCTTTCAGGCCTATGCTGAAAAAGGAAATATCTACCTATAGAAACTAGACAGAAGCATTCTGAGAATCACGTTTGTGATGTGGGTACTCAACTAACAGTGTTGATCCATTCTTTTGATACAGCAGTTTTGAACCACACTTTTTGTAGAATCTGCAAGTGGATATTTGGATAGCTGTGAGGATTTCGTTGGAAACGGGAATGTCTTCATAGAAAATTTAGACAGAAGCATTCTCAGAACCTTGATTGTGATGTGTGTTCTCCACTAACAGAGTTGAACCTTTCTTTTGACAGAACTGTTCTGAAACATTCTTTTTATAGAATCTGGAAGTGGATATTTGGAAAGCTTTGAGGATTTCGTTGGAAACGGGAATATCTTCAAATAAAATCTAGCCAGAAGCATTCTAAGAAACATCTTAGGGATGTTTACATTCAAGTCACAGAGTTGAACATTCCCTTTCACAGAGCAGGTTTGAAACAATCTTCTCGTACTATCTGGCAGTGGACATTTTGAGCTCCTTGGGGCCTATGCTGAAAAAGGAAATATCTTCCGACAAAAACTAGACAGAAGCATTCGCAGAATCACGTTTGTGATGTGTGCACTCAACTGTCAGAATTGAACCTTGGTTTGGACAGAGCACTTTTGAAACACTCTTTTTGTAGAATCTGCAGGTGGATATTTGGCTAGCTTTGAGGATTTCGTTGGAAACGGTAATGTCTTCAAAGAAAATGCTAGACAGAAGCATTCTCAGAAACACCTTCGTGATGTTTGCAATCAAGTCACAGAGTTGAACCTTCCGTTTCATAGAGCAGGTTGGAAACACTCTTTTTGTAGTATCTGGAAGTGGACATTTGGAGGGCTTTGTAGCCTATCTGGAAAAAGGAAATATCTTCCCATGAATGCGAGATAGAAGTAATCTCAGAAACATGTTTATGCTGTATCTACTCAACTAACTGTGCTGAACATTTCTATTGATAGAGCAGTTTTGAGACACTCTTCTTTTGGAATCTGCAAGTGGATATTTGGATAGATTTGAGGATTTCGTTGGAAACGGGATTATATATAAAAAGTAGACAGCAGCATTCTCAGAAACTTCTTTGTGATGTTTGCATCCAGCTCTCAGAGTTGAACATTCCCTTTCATAGAGTAGGTTTGAAACCCTCTTTTTATAGTGTCTGGAAGCGGGCATTTGGAGCGCTTTCAGGGCTATGCTTAAAATAGGAAATATCTACCTACAGAAACTAGACAGAAGCATTCTGAGAATCACGTTTGTGATGTGGGTACTCAACTAACAGTGTTGATCCATTCTTTTGATACAGCAGTTTTGAACCACACTTTTTGTAGAATCTGCAAGAGGATATTTGGATACCTGTGAGGATTTCGTTGGAAACGGGAATGTCTTCAAAGAAAATCTAGACAGAAGCATTCTCAGAACCTTGATTGTGATGTGTGTTCTCCACTAACAGAGTTGAACCTTTCTTTTGACAGAACTGTTCTGAAACATTCTTTTTATAGAATCTGGAAGTGGATATTTGGAAAGCTTTGAGGATTTCGTTGGAAACGGGAATATCTTCAAATCAAATCTAGCCAGAAGCATTATAAGAAACATCTTAGGGATGTTTACATTCAAGTCACAGAGTTGAACATTCCCTTTCACAGAGCAGGTTGGAAACAATCTTCTCGTACTATCTGGCAGTGGACATTTTGAGCTCCTTGGGGCCTATGCTGAAAAAGGAAATATCTTCCGACAAAAACTAGACAGAAGCATTCGCAGAATCACGTTTGTGATGTGTGCACTCAACTGTCAGAATTGAACCTTGGTTTGGACAGAGCACTTTTGAAACACTCTTTTTGTAGAATCTGCAGGTGGATATTTGGCTAGCTTTGAGGATTTCGTTGGAAACGGTAATGTCTTCAAAGAAAATCTAGACAGAAGCATTCTCAGAAACACCTTCGTGATGTTTGCAATCAAGTCACAGAGTTGAACCTTCCGTTTCATAGAGCAGGTTGGAAACACTCTTTTTGTAGTATCTGGAAGTGGACATTTGGAGGGCTTTGTAGCCTATCTGGAAAAAGGAAATATCTTCCCATGAATGCGAGATAGAAGTAATCTCAGAAACATGTTTATGCTGTATCTACTCAACTAACTGTGCTGAACATTTCTATTGATAGAGCAGTTTTGAGACACTCTTCTTTTGGAATCTGCAAGTGGATATTTGGATAGATTTGAGGATTTCGTTGGAAACGGGATTATATATCAAAAGTAGACAGCAGCATTCTCAGAAACTTCTTTGTGATGTTTGCATCCAGCTCTCAGAGTTGAACATTCCCTTTCATAGAGTAGGTTTGAAACCCTCTTTTTATAGTGTCTGGAAGCGGGCATTTGGAGCGCTTTCAGGCCTATGCTGAAAAAGGAAATATCTACCTATAGAAACTAGACAGAAGCATTCTGAGAATCACGTTTGTGATGTGGGTACTCAACTAACAGTGTTGATCCATTCTTTTGATACAGCAGTTTTGAACCACACTTTTTGTAGAATCTGCAAGTGGATATTTGGATAGCTGTGAGGATTTCGTTGGAAACGGGAATGTCTTCATAGAAAATTTAGACAGAAGCATTCTCAGAACCTTGATTGTGATGTGTGTTCTCCACTAACAGAGTTGAACCTTTCTTTTGACAGAACTGTTCTGAAACATTCTTTTTATAGAATCTGGAAGTGGATATTTGGAAAGCTTTGAGGATTTCGTTGGAAACGGGAATATCTTCAAATAAAATCTAGCCAGAAGCATTCTAAGAAACAACTTAGGGATGTTTACATTCAAGTCACAGAGTTGAACATTCCCTTTCACAGAGCAGGTTTGAAACAATCTTCTCGTACTATCTGGAAGTGGACATTTTGAGCTCCTTGGGGCCTATGCTGAAAAAGGAAATATCTTCCGACAAAAACTAGACAGAAGCATTCGCAGAATCACGTTTGTGATGTGTGCACTCAACTCTCAGAATTGAACCTTGGTTTGGACAGAGCACTTTTGAAACACTCTTTTTGTAGAATCTGCAGGTGGATATTTGGCTAGCTTTGAGGATTTCGTTGGAAACGGTAATGTCTTCAAAGAAAATCTAGACAGAAGCATTCTCAGAAACACCTTCGTGATGTTTGCAATCAAGTCACAGAGTTGAACCTTCCGTTTCATAGAGCAGGTTGGAAACACTCTTTTTGTAGTATCTGGAAGTGGACATTTGGAGCGCTTTCAGGCCTATGGTGAAAAAGGAAATATCTTCCCATAAAAACGACATAGAAGCTATCTCAGGAACTTGTTTATGATGCATCTAATCAACTAACAGTGTTGAACCTTTGTACTGACAGAGCAGTTTGAAACACTCTTTTTTTGGAATCTGCAAGTGGATATTTGGATCGCTTTGAGGATTTCGTTGGAAACGGGATGCAATATAAAACGTACACAGCAGCATACTCAGAAAATACTTTGCCATATTTCCATTCAAGTCACAGAGTGGAACATTCCCATTCATAGAGCAGGTTTGAAACACTCTTTTTGGAGTATCTGGAAGTGGACATTTGGAGCGCTTTCTGAACTATGGTGAAAAAGGAAATATCTTCCAATGAAAACAAGACAGAAGCATTCTGAGAAACTTATTTGTGATGTGTGTCCTCAACAAACGGACTTGAACCTTTCGTTTCATGCAGTACTTCTGGAACACTCTTTTTGAAGATTCTGCATGCGGATATTTGGATAGCTTTGAGGATTTCGTTGGAAACGGGCTTACATGTAAAAATTAGACAGCAGCATTCTCAGAAACTTCTTTGTGGTGTCTGCATTCAAGTCACAGAATTGAACATCCCCTCACATAGAGCAGTTGTGCAGCACTCTATTTGTAGTATCTGGAAGTGGACATTTGGAGGGCTTTGTAGCCTATCTGGAAAAAGGAAATATCTTCCCATGAATGCGAGATAGAAGTAATCTCAGAAACATGTTTATGCTGTATCTACTCAACTAACTGTGCTGAACATTTCTATTGATAGAGCAGTTTTGAGACACTCTTCTTTTGGAATCTGCAAGTGGATATTTGGATAGATTTGAGGATTTCGTTGGAAACGGGATTATATATAAAAAGTAGACAGCAGCATTCTCAGAAACTTCTTTGTGATGTTTGCATCCAGCTCTCAGAGTTGAACATTCCCTTTCATAGAGTAGGTTTGAAACCCTCTTTTTATAGTGTCTGGAAGCGGGCATTTGGAGCGCTTTCAGGCCTATGCTTAAAATAGGAAATATCTACCTACAGAAACTAGACAGAAGCATTCTGAGAATCACGTTTGTGATGTGGGTACTCAACTAACAGTGTTGATCCATTCTTTTGATACAGCAGTTTTGAACCACACTTTTTGTAGAATCTGCCAGAGGATATTTGGATAGCTGTGAGGATTTCGTTGGAAACGGGAATGTCTTCAAAGAAAATCTAGACAGAAGCATTCTCAGAAACACCTTCGTGATGTTTGCAATCAAGTCACAGAGTTGAACCTTCCGTTTCATAGAGCAGGTTGGAAACACTCTTATTGTAGTATCTGGAAGTGGACATTTGGAGCGCTTTCAGGCCTATGGTGAAAAAGGAAATATCTTCCCATAAAAACGACATAGAAGCTATCTCAGGAACTTGTTTATGATGCATCTAATCAACTAACAGTGTTGAACCTTTGTACTGACAGAGCAGTTTGAAACACTCTTTTTTTGGAATCTGCAAGTGGATATTTGGATCGCTTTGAGGATTTCGTTGGAAACGGGATGCAATATAAAACGTACACAGCAGCATACTCAGAAAATACTTTGCCATATTTCCATTCAAGTCACAGAGTGGAACATTCCCATTCATAGAGCAGGTTTGAAACACTCTTTTTGGAGTATCTGGAAGTGGACATTTGGAGCGCTTTCTGAACTATGGTGAAAAAGGAAATATCTTCCAATGAAAACAAGACAGAAGCATTCTGAGAAACTTATTTGTGATGTGTGTCCTCAACAAACGGACTTGAACCTTTCGTTTCATGCAGTACTTCTGGAACACTCTTTTTGAAGATTCTGCATGCGGATATTTGGATAGCTTTGAGGATTTCGTTGGAAACGGGCTTACATGTAAAAATTAGACAGCAGCATTCTCAGAAACTTCTTTGTGGTGTCTGCATTCAAGTCACAGAATTGAACATCCCCTCACATAGAGCAGTTGTGCAGCACTCTATTTGTAGTATCTGGAAGTGGACATTTGGAGGGCTTTGTAGCCTATCTGGAAAAAGGAAATATCTTCCCATGAATGCGAGATAGAAGTAATCTCAGAAACATGTTTATGCTGTATCTACTCAACTAACTGTGCTGAACATTTCTATTGATAGAGCAGTTTTGAGACACTCTTCTTTTGGAATCTGCAAGTGGATATTTGGATAGATTTGAGGATTTCGTTGGAAACGGGATTATATATAAAAAGTAGACAGCAGCATTCTCAGAAACTTCTTTGTGATGTTTGCATCCAGCTCTCAGAGTTGAACATTCCCTTTCATAGAGTAGGTTTGAAACCCTCTTTTTATAGTGTCTGGAAGCGGGCATTTGGAGCGCTTTCAGGCCTATGCTGAAAAAGGAAATATCTACCTATAGAAACTAGACAGAAGCATTCTGAGAATCACGTTTGTGATGTGGGTACTCAACTAACAGTGTTGATCCATTCTTTTGATACAGCAGTTTTGAACCACACTTTTTGTAGAATCTGCAAGAGGATATTTGGATAGCTGTGAGGATTTCGTTGGAAACGGGAATGTCTTCAAAGAAAATCTAGACAGAAGCATTCTCAGAAACACCTTCGTGATGTTTGCAATCAAGTCACAGAGTTGAACCTTCCGTTTCATAGAGCAGGTTGGAAACACTCTTATTGTAGTATCTGGAAGTGGACATTTGGAGCGCTTTCAGGCCTATGGTGAAAAAGGAAATATCTTCCCATAAAAACGACATAGAAGCTATCTCAGGAACTTGTTTATGATGCATCTAATCAACTAACAGTGTTGAACCTTTGTACTGACAGAGCAGTTTGAAACACTCTTTTTTTGGAATCTGCAAGTGGATATTTGGATCACTTTGAGGATTTCGTTGGAAACGGGATGCAATATAAAACGTACACAGCAGCATACTCAGAAAATACTTTGCCATGTTTCCATTCAAGTCACAGAGTGGAACATTCCCATTCATAGAGCAGGTTGGAAACACTCTTTTTGGAGTATCTGGAAGTGGACATTTGGAGCGCTTTTTGAACTATGGTGAAAAAGGAAATATCTTCCAATGAAAACAAGACAGAAGCATTCTGAGAAACTTATTTGTGATGTGTGTCCTCAACAAACGGACTTGAACCTTTCGTTTCATGCAGTACTTCTGGAACACTCTTTTTGAAGATTCTGCATGCGGATATTTGGATAGCTTTGAGGATTTCGTTGGAAACGGGCTTACATGTAAAAATTAGACAGCAGCATTCTCAGAAACTTCTTTGTGGTGTCTGCATTCAAGTCACAGAATTGAACTTCCCCTCACATAGAGCAGTTGTGCAGCACTCTATTTGTAGTATCTGGAAGTGGACATTTGGAGGGCTTTGTAGCCTATCTGGAAAAAGGAAATATCTTCCCATGAATGCGAGATAGAAGTAATCTCAGAAACATGTTTATGCTGTATCTACTCAACTAACTGTGCTGAACATTTCTATTGATAGAGCAGTTTTGAGACACTCTTCTTTTGGAATCTGCAAGTGGATATTTGGATAGATTTGAGGATTTCGTTGGAAACGGGATTATATATCAAAAGTAGACAGCAGCATTCTCAGAAACTTCTTTGTGATGTTTGCATCCAGCTCTCAGAGTTGAACATTCCCTTTCATAGAGTAGGTTTGAAACCCTCTTTTTATAGTGTCTGGAAGCGGGCATTTGGAGCGCTTTCAGGCCTATGCTTAAAATAGGAAATATCTACCTACAGAAACTAGACAGAAGCATTCTGAGAATCACGTTTGTGATGTGGGTACTCAACTAACAGTGTTGATCCATTCTTTTGATACAGCAGTTTTGAACCACACTTTTTGTAGAATCTGCAAGTGGATATTTGGATAGCTGTGAGGATTTCGTTGGAAACGGGAATGTCTTCATAGAAAATTTAGACAGAAGCATTCTCAGAACCTTGATTGTGATGTGTGTTCTCCACTAACAGAGTTGAACCTTTCTTTTGACAGAACTGTTCTGAAACATTCTTTTTATAGAATCTGGAAGTGGATATTTGGAAAGCTTTGAGGATTTCGTTGGAAACGGGAATATCTTCAAATCAAATCTAGCCAGAAGCATTCTAAGAAACATCTTAGGGATGTTTACATTCAAGTCACAGAGTTGAACATTCCCTTTCACAGAGCAGGTTTGAAACAATCTTCTCGTACTATCTGGCAGTGGACATTTTGAGCTCCTTGGGGCCTATGCTGAAAAAGGAAATATCTTCCGACAAAAACTAGACAGAAGCATTCGCAGAATCACGTTTGTGATGTGTGCACTCAACTGTCAGAATTGAACCTTGGTTTGGACAGAGCACTTTTGAAACACTCTTTTTGTAGAATCTGCAGGTGGATATTTGGCTAGCTTTGAGGATTTCGTTGGAAACGGTAATGTCTTCAAAGAAAATCTAGACAGAAGCATTCTCAGAAACACCTTCGTGATGTTTGCAATCAAGTCACAGAGTTGAACCTTCCGTTTCATAGAGCAGGTTGGAAACACTCTTTTTGTAGTATCTGGAAGTGGACATTTGGAGGGCTTTGTAGCCTATGTGGAAAAAGGAAATATCTTCCCATGAATGCGAGATAGAAGTAATCTCAGAAACATGTTTATGCTGTATCTACTCAACTAACTGTGCTGAACATTTCTATTGATAGAGCAGTTTTGAGACACTCTTCTTTTGGAATCTGCAAGTGGATATTTGGAGAGATTTGAGGATTTCGTTGGAAACGGGATTATATATAAAAAGTAGACAGCAGCATTCTCAGAAACTTCTTTGTGATGTTTGCATCCAGCTCTCAGAGTTGAACATTCCCTTTCATAGAGTAGGTTTGAAACCCTCTTTTTATAGTGTCTGGAAGCGGGCATTTGGAGCGCTTTCAGGCCTATGCTTAAAATAGGAAATATCTACCTACAGAAACTAGACAGAAGCATTCTGAGAATCTCGTTTGTGATGTGGGTACTCAACTAACAGTGTTGATCCATTCTTTTGATACAGCAGTTTTGAACCACACTTTTTGTAGAATCTGCAAGAGGATATTTGGATAGCTGTGAGGATTTCGTTGGAAACGGGAATGTCTTCAAAGAAAATCTAGACAGAATCATTCTGAGGAACACCTTCGTGATGTTTGCAATCAAGTCACAGAGTTGAACCTTCCGTTTCATAGAGCAGGTTGGAAACACTCTTATTGTAGTATCTGGAAGTGGACATTTGGAGCGCTTTCAGGCCTATGGTGAAAAAGGAAATATCTTCCCATAAAAACGACATAGAAGCTGTCTCAGGAACTTGTTTATGATGCATCTAATCAACTAACAGTGTTGAACCTTTGTACTGACAGAGCAGTTTGAAACACTCTTTTTTTGGAATCTGCAAGTGGATATTTGGATCGCTTTGAGGATTTCGTTGGAAACGGGATGCAATATAAAACGTACACAGCAGCATACTCAGAAAATACTTTGCCATATTTCCATTCAAGTCACAGAGTGGAACATTCCCATTCATAGAGCAGGTTGGAAACACTCTTTTTGGAGTATCTGGAAGTGGACATTTGGAGCGCTTTCTGAACTATGGTGAAAAAGGAAATATCTTCCAATGAAAACAAGACAGAAGCATTCTGAGAAACTTATTTGTGATGTGTGTCCTCAACAAACGGACTTGAACCTTTCGTTTCATGCAGTACTTCTGGAACACTCTTTTTGAAGATTCTGCATGCGGATATTTGGATAGCTTTGAGGATTTCGTTGGAAACGGGCTTACATGTAAAAATTAGACAGCAGCATTCTCAGAAACTTCTTTGTGGTGTCTGCATTCAAGTCACAGAATTGAACATCCCCTCACATAGAGCAGTTGTGCAGCACTCTATTTGTAGTATCTGGAAGTGGACATTTGGAGGGCTTTGTAGCCTATCTGGAAAAAGGAAATATCTTCCCATGAATGCGAGATAGAAGTAATCTCAGAAACATGTTTATGCTGTATCTACTCAACTAACTGTGCTGAACATTTCTATTGATAGAGCAGTTTTGAGACACTCTTCTTTTGGAATCTGCAAGTGGATATTTGGATAGATTTGAGGATTTCGTTGGAAACGGGATTATATATAAAAAGTAGACAGCAGCATTCTCAGAAACTTCTTTGTGATGTTTGCATCCAGCTCTCAGAGTTGAACATTCCCTTTCATAGAGTAGGTTTGAAACCCTCTTTTTATAGTGTCTGGAAGCGGGCATTTGGAGCGCTTTCAGGCCTGTGCTGAAAAAGGAAATATCTACCTATAGAAACTAGACAGAAGCATTCTGAGAATCACGTTTGTGATGTGGGTACTCAACTAACAGTGTTGATCCATTCTTTTGATACAGCAGTTTTGAACCACACTTTTTGTAGAATCTGCAAGTGGATATTTGGATAGCTGTGAGGATTTCGTTGGAAACGGGAATGTCTTCATAGAAAATTTAGACAGAAGCATTCTCAGAACCTTGATTGTGATGTGTGTTCTCCACTAACAGAGTTGAACCTTTCTTTTGACAGAACTGTTCTGAAACATTCTTGTTATAGAATCTGGAAGTGGATATTTGGAAAGCTTTGAGGATTTCGTTGGAAACGGGAATATCTTCAAATCAAATCTAGCCAGAAGCATTCTAAGAAACATCTTAGGGATGTTTACATTCAAGTCACAGAGTTGAACATTCCCTTTCACAGAGCAGGTTTGAAACAATCTTCTCGTACTATCTGGCAGTGGACATTTTGAGCTCCTTGGGGCCTATGCTGAAAAAGGAAATATCTTCCGACAAAAACTAGACAGAAGCATTCGCAGAATCACGTTTGTGATGTGTGCACTCAACTGTCAGAATTGAACCTTGGTTTGGACAGAGCACTTTTGAAACACTCTTTTTGTAGAATCTGCAGGTGGATATTTGGCTAGCTTTGAGGATTTCGTTGGAAACGGTAATGTCTTCAAAGAAAATCTAGACAGAAACATTCTCAGAAACACCTTCGTGATGTTTGCAATCAAGTCACAGAGTTGAACCTTCCGTTTCATAGAGCAGGTTGGAAACACTCTTTTTGTAGTATCTGGAAGTGGACATTTGGAGCGCTTTCAGGCCTATGGTGAAAAAGGAAATATCTTCCCATAAAAACGACATAGAAGCCATCTCAGGAACTTGTTTATGATGCATCCAATCAACTAACAGTGTTGAACCTTTGTACTGACAGAGCAGTGTGAAACACTCTTTTTTTTTGGAATCTGCAAGTGGATATTTGGATCGCTTTGAGGATTTCGTTGGAAACGGGATGCAATATAAAACGTACACAGCAGCATACTCAGAAAATACTTTGCCATATTTCCATTCAAGTCACAGAGAGGAACATTCCCATTCATAGAGCAGGTTGGAAGCACTCCTTTTGTAGTATCTCGAAGTGGACATTTGGAGCGCTTTCTGAACTATGGTGAAAAAGGAAATATCTTCCAATGAAAACAAGACAGAAGCATTCTGAGAAACTTATTTGTGATGTGTGTCCTCAACTAACGGACTTGAACCTTTCGTTTCATGCAGTACTTCTGGAACACTCTTTTTGAAGATTCTGCATGCGGATATTTGGATAGCTTTGAGGATTTCGTTGGAAACGGGCTTACATATAAAAATTAGACAGCAGCATTCTCAGAAACTTCTTTGTGGTGTCTGCATTCAAGTCACAGAATTGAACATCCCCTCACATAGAGCAGCTGTGCAGCACTCTATTTGTAGTATCTCGAAGTGGACATTCGGAGGGCTTTGTAGCCTATCTGGAAAAAGGAAATATCTTCCCATGAATGCGAGATAGAAGTAATCTCAGAAACATGTTTATGCTGTATCTACTCAACTAACTGTGCTGAACATTTCTATTGATAGAGCAGTTTTGAGACACTCTTCTTTTGGAATCTGCAAGTGGATATTTGGATAGATTTGAGGATTTCCTTGGAAACGGGATTCTATATCAAAAGTAGACAGCAGCATTCTCAGAAACTTCTTTGTGAGGTTTGCATCCAGCTCTCAGAGTTGAACATTCCCTTTCGTGGAGTAGGTTTGAAACCCTCTTTTTATAGTGTCTGGAAGCGGGCATTAGGAGCGCTTTCAGACCTATGCTGAAAAAGGAAATATCTACCTATAGAAACTAGACAGAAGCATTCTGAGAATCACGTTTGTGATGTGGGTACTCAACTAACAGTGTTGATCCATTCTTTTGATACAGCAGTTTTGAACCACACTTTTTGTAGAATCTGCAAGTGGATATTTGGATAGCTGTGAGGATTTCGTTGGAAACGGGAATGTCTTCATAGAAAATTTAGACAGAAGCATTCTCAGAACCTTGATTGTGATGTGTGTTCTCCACTAACAGGGTTGAACCTTTCTTTTGACAGAACTGTTTTGAAACATTCTTTTTATAGAATCTGGAAGTGGATATTTGGAAAGCTTTGAGGATTTCATTGTAAACGGGAATATCTTCAAATCAAATCTAGCCAGAAGCATTCTAAGAAACATCTTAGGGATGTTTACATTCAAGTCACAGGGTTGAACATTCCCTTTCACAGAGCAGGTTTGAAACAATCTTCTCGTACTATCTGGAAGTGGACATTTTGAGCTCCTTGGGGCCTATGCTGAAAAAGGAAATATCTTCCGACAAAAACTAGACAGAAGCATTCGCAGAATCACGTTTGTGATGTGTGCACTCAACTGTCAGAATTGAACCTTTGTTTGGACAGAGCACTTTTGAAACACTCTTTTTGTAGAATCTGCAGGTGGATATTTGGCTAGCTTTGAGGATTTCGTTGGAAACGGTAATGTCTTCAAAGAAAATCTAGACAGAAACATTCTCAGAAACACCTTCGTGATGTTTGCAATCAAGTCACAGAGTTGAACCTTCCGTTTCATAGAGCAGGTTGGAAACACTCTTTTTGTAGTATCTGGAAGTGGACATTTGGAGCGCTTTCAGGCCTATGGTGAAAAAGGAAATATCTTCCCATAAAAACGACATAGAATCTATCTCAGGAACTTGTTTATGATGCATCCAATCAACTAACAGTGTTGAACCTTTGTACTGACAGAGCAGTGTGAAACACTCTTTTTTTTGGATTCTGCAAGTGGATATTTGGATCGCATTGAGGATTTCGTTGGAAACGGGATGCAATATAAAACGTACACAGCAGCATACTCAGAAAATACTTTGCCATATTTCCATTCAAGTCACAGAGGGGAACATTCCCATTCATGGAGCAGGTTGGAAACACTCCTTTTGTAGTATCTGGAAGTGGTCATTTGGAGCGCTTTCTGAACTATGATGAAAAAGGAAATATCTTCCAATGAAAACAAGACAGAAGCATTCTGAGAAACTTAATTGTGATGTGTGTCCTCAATTAACGGAGTTGAACCTTTCGTTTCATGCAGTACTTCTGGAACACTCTTTTTGAAAATTCTGCATGCGGATATTTGGATAGCTTTGAGGATTTCGTTGGAAACGGGCTTACATATAAAAATTAGACAGCAGCATTCTCAGAAACTTCTTTGTGGTGTCTGCATTCAAGTCACAGAATTGAACATCCCCTCACATAGAGCAGTTGTGAAGCACTCTATTTGTAGTATCTCGAAGTGGACATTTGGAGGGCTTTGTAGCCTATCTGGAAAAAGGAAATATCTTTCCATGAATGCGAGATAGAAGTAATCTCAGAAACATGTTTATGCTGTATCTACTCAACTAACTGTGCTGAACATTTCTATTGATAGAGCAGTTTTGAGACACTCTTCTTTTGGAATCTGCAAGTGGATATTTGGCTAGATTTGAGGATTTCGTTGGAAACGGGATTATATATCAAAGGTAGACAGCAGCATTCTCAGAAACTTCTTTGTGATGTTTGCATCCAGCTCTCAGAGTTGAACATTCCCTTTCATAGAGTAGGTTTGAAACCCTCTTTTTATAGTGTCTGGAAGCGGGCATTTGGAGCGCTTTCAGGCCTATGCTGAAAAAGGAAATATCTACCTACAGAAACTAGACAGAAGCATTCTGAGAATCACGTTTGTGATGTGGGTACTCAACTAACAGTGTTGATCCATTCTTTTGATACAGCAGTTTTGAACCACCCTTTTTGTAGAATCTGCAAGTGGATATTTGGATAGCTGTGAGGATTTCGTTGGAAACGGGAATGTCTTCATAGAAAATTTAGACAGAAGCATTCTCAGAACCTGGATTGTGATGTGTGTTCTCCACTAACAGAGTTGAACCTTTCTTTCGACAGAACTGTTTTGAAACATTCTTTTTATAGAATCTGGAAGTGGATATTTGGAAAGCTTTGAGGATTTCGTTGGAAACGGGAATATCTTCAAATAAAATCTAGCCAGAAGCATTCTAAGAAACATCTTAGGGATGTTTACATTCAAGTCACAGAGTTGAACATTCCCCTTTCTCAGAGCAGGTTTGAAACAATCTTCTCGTACTATCTGGCAGTGGACATTTTGAGCTCCTTGGGGCCTATGCTGAAAAAGGAAATATCTTCCGACAAAAACTAGACAGAAGCATTCGCAGAATCACGTTTGTGATGTGTGCACTCAACTGTCAGAATTGAACCTTGGTTTGGACAGAGCACTTTTGAAACACTCTTTTTGTAGAATCTGCAGGTGGATATTTGGCTAGCTTTGAGGATTTCGTTGGAAACGGTAATGTCTTCAAAGAAAATCTAGACAGAAACATCCTCAGAAACACCTTCGTGATGTTTGCAATCAAGTCACAGAGTTGAACCTTCCGTTTCATAGAGCAGGTTGGAAACACTCATTTTGTAGTATCTGGAATTGGACATTTGGAGCGATTTCAGGCCTATGGTGTAAAAGGAAATATCTTCCCATAAAAGCGACATAGAAGCTGTCTCAGGAACTTGTTTATGATGCATCTAATCAACTAACAGTGTTGAACCTTTGTACTGACAGAGCAGTTTGAAACACTCTTTTTTTGGAATCTGCAAGTGGATATTTGGATCGCTTTGAGGATTTCGTTGGAAACGGGATGCAATATAAAACGTACACAGCAGCATACTCAGAAAATACTTTGCCATATTTCCATTCAAGTCACAGAGTGGAACATTCCCATTCATAGAGCAGGTTTGAAACACTCTTTTTGGAGTATCTGGAAGTGGACATTTGGAGCGCTTTCTGAACTATGGTGAAAAAGGAAATATCTTCCAATGAAAACAAGACAGAAGCATTCTGAGAAACTTATTTGTGATGTGTGTCCTCAACAAACGGACTTGAACCTTTCGTTTCATGCAGTACTTCTGGAACACTCTTTTTGAAGATTCTGCATGCGGATATTTGGATAGCTTTGAGGATTTCGTTGGAAACGGGCTTACATGTAAAAATTAGACAGCAGCATTCTCAGAAACTTCTTTGTGGTGTCTGCATTCAAGTCACAGAATTGAACTTCCCCTCACATACAGCAGTTGTGCAGCACTCTATTTGTAGTATCTGGAAGTGGACATTTGGAGGGCTTTGTAGCCTATCTGGAAAAAGGAAATATCTTCCCATGAATGCGAGATAGAAGTAATCTCAGAAACATGTTTATGCTGTATCTACTCAACTAACTGTGCTGAACATTTCTATTGATAGAGCAGTTTTGAGACACTCTTCTTTTGGAATCTGCAAGTGGATATTTGGCTAGATTTGAGGATTTCGTTGGAAACGGGATTATATATCAAAAGTAGACAGCAGCATTCTCAGACACTTCTTTGTGATGTTTGCATCCAGCTCTCAGAGTTGAACATTCCCTTTCATAGAGTAGGTTTGAAACACCCTTTTTATAGTGTCTGGAAGCGGGCATTTGGAGCGCTTTCAGGCCTATGCTGAAAAAGGAAATATCTACCTACAGAAACTAGACAGAAGCATTCTGAGAATCACGTTTGTGATGTGGGTACTCAACTAACAGTGTTGATCCATTCTTTTGATACAGCAGTTTTGAACCACACTTTTTGTAGAATCTGCAAGTGGATATTTGGATAGCTGTGAGGATTTCGTTGGAAACGGGAATGTCTTCATAGAAAATTTAGACAGAAGCATTCTCAGAACCTTGATTGTGATGTGTGTTCTCCACTAACAGAGTTGAACCTTTCTTTTGACAGAACTGTTCTGAAACATTCTTTTTATAGAATCTGGAAGTGGATATTTGGAAAGCTTTGAGGATTTCGTTGGAAACGGGAATATCTTCAAATAAAATCTAGCCAGAAGCATTCTAAGAAACATCTTAGGGATGTTTACATTCAAGTCACAGAGTTGAACATTCCCTTTCACAGAGCAGGTTTGACACAATCTTCTCGTACTATCTGGCAGTGGACATTTTGAGCTCCTTGGGGCCTATGCTGAAAAAGGAAATATCTTCCGACAAAAACTAGACAGAAAGCATTCGCAGAATCACGTTTGTGATGTGTGCACTCAACTGTCAGAATTGAACCTTGGTTTAGACAGAGCACTTTTGAAACACTCTTTTTGTAGAATCTGCAGGTGGATATTTGGCTAGCTTTGAGGATTTCGTTGGAAACGGTAATGTCTTCAAAGAAAATCTAGACAGAAGCATTCTCAGAAACACCTTCGTGATGTTTGCAATCAAGTCACAGAGTTGAACCTTCCGTTTCATAGAGCAGGTTGGAAACACTCTTTTTGTAGTATCTGGAAGTGGACATTTGGAGGGCTTTGTAGCCTATCTGGAAAAAGGAAATATCTTCCCATGAATGCGAGATAGAAGTAATCTCAGAAACATGTTTATGCTGTATCTACTCAACTAACTGTGCTGAACATTTCTATTGATAGAGCAGTTTTGAGACACTCTTCTTTTGGAATCTGCAAGTGGATATTTGGATAGATTTGAGGATTTTCGTTGGAAACGGGATTATATATCAAAAGTAGACAGCAGCATTCTCAGAAACTTCTTTGTGATGTTTGCATCCAGCTCTCAGAGTTGAACATTCCCTTTCATAGAGTAGGTTTGAAACCCTCTTTTTATAGTGTCTGGAAGCGGGCATTTGGAGCGCTTTCAGACCTATGCTTAAAATAGGAAATATCTACCTACAGAAACTAGACAGAAGCATTCTGAGAATCTCGTTTGTGATGTGGGTACTCAACTAACAGTGTTGATCCATTCTTTTGATACAGCAGTTTTGAACCACACTTTTTGTAGAATCTGCAAGAGGATATTTGGATAGCTGTGAGGATTTCGTTGGAAACGGGAATGTCTTCAAAGAAAATCTAGACAGAAGCATTCTCAGAAACACCTTTCGTGATGTTTGCAATCAAGTCACAGAGTTGAACCTTCCGTTTCATAGAGCAGGTTGGAAACACTCTTATTGTAGTATCTGGAAGTGGACATTTGGAGCGCTTTCAGGCCTATGGTGAAAAAGGAAATATCTTCCCATAAAAACGACATAGAAGCTATCTCAGGAACTTGTTTATGATGCATCTAATCAACTAACAGTGTTGAACCTTTGTACTGACAGAGCAGTTTGAAACACTCTTTTTTTGGAATCTGCAAGTGGATATTTGGATCGCTTTGAGGATTTCGTTGGAAACGGGATGCAATATAAAACGTACACAGCAGCATACTCAGTAAAATACTTTGCCATATTTCCATTCAAGTCACAGAGTGGAACATTCCCATTCATAGAGCAGGTTTGAAACACTCTTTTTGGAGTATCTGGAAGTGGACATTTGGAGCGCTTTCTGAACTATGGTGAAAAAGGAAATATCTTCCAATGAAAACAAGACAGAAGCATTCTGAGAAACTTATTTGTGATGTGTGTCCTCAACAAACGGACTTGAACCTTTCGTTTCATGCAGTACTTCTGGAACACTCTTTTTGAAGATTCTGCATGCGGATATTTGGATAGCTTTGAGGATTTCGTTGGAAACGGGCTTACATGTAAAAATTAGACAGCAGCATTCTCAGAAACTTCTTTGTGGTGTCTGCATTCAAGTCACAGAATTGAACTTCCCCTCACATAGAGCAGTTGTGCAGCACTCTATTTGTAGTATCTGGAAGTGGACATTTGGAGGGCTTTGTAGCCTATCTGGAAAAAGGAAATATCTTCCCATGAATGCGAGATAGAAGTAATCTCAGAAACATGTTTATGCTGTATCTACTCAACTAACTGTGCTGAACATTTCTATTGATAGAGCAGTTTTGAGACACTCTTCTTTTGGAATCTGCAAGTGGATATTTGGATAGATTTGAGGATTTCGTTGGAAACGGGATTATATATAAAAAGTAGACAGCAGCATTCTCAGAAACTTCTTTGTGATGTTTGCATCCAGCTCTCAGAGTTGAACATTCCCTTTCATAGAGTAGGTTTGAAACCCTCTTTTTATAGTGTCTGGAAGCGGGCATTTGGAGCGCTTTCAGGCCTATGCTTAAAATAGGAAATATCTACCTACAGAAACTAGACAGAAGCATTCTGAGAATCACGTTTGTGATGTGGGTACTCAACTAACAAGTGTTGATCCATTCTTTTGATACAGCAGTTTTGAACCACACTTTTTGTAGAATCTGCAAGAGGATATTTGGATAGCTGTGAGGATTTCGTTGGAAACGGGAATGTCTTCAAAGAAAATCTAGACAGAAGCATTCTCAGAAACACCTTCGTGATGTTTGCAATCAAGTCACAGAGTTGAACCTTCCGTTTCATAGAGCAGGTTGGAAACACTCTTATTGTAGTATCTGGAAGTGGACATTTGGAGCGCTTTCAGGCCTATGGTGAAAAAGGAAATATCTTCCCATAAAAACGACATAGAAGCTATCTCAGGAACTTGTTTATGATGCATCTAATCAACTAACAGTGTTGAACCTTTGTACTGACAGAGCAGTTTGAAACACTCTTTTTTTGGAATCTGCAAGTGGATATTTGGATCGCTTTGAGGATTTCGTTGGAAACGGGATGCAATAAAAAACGTACACAGCAGCATACTCAGAAAATACTTTGCCATATTTCCATTCAAGTCACAGAGTGGAACATTCCCATTCATAGAGCAGGTTTGAAACACTCTTTTTGGAGTATCTGGAAGTGGACATTTGGAGCGCTTTCTGAACTATGGTGAAAAAGGAAATATCTTCCAATGAAAACAAGACAGAAGCATTCTGAGAAACTTATTTGTGATGTGTGTCCTCAACAAACGGACTTGAACCTTTCGTTTCATGCAGTACTTCTGGAACACTCTTTTTGAAGATTCTGCATGCGGATATTTGGATAGCTTTGAGGATTTCGTTGGAAACGGGCTTACATGTAAAAATTAGACAGCAGCATTCTCAGAAACTTCTTTGTGGTGTCTGCATTCAAGTCACAGAATTGAACTTCCCCTCACATAGAGCAGTTGTGCAGCACTCTATTTGTAGTATCTCGAAGTGGACATTTGGAGGGCTTTGTAGCCTATCTGGAAAAAGGAAATATCTTCCCATGAATGCGAGATAGAAGTAATCTCAGAAACATGTTTATGCAGTATCTACTCAACTAACTGTGCTGAACATTTCTATTGATAGAGCAGTTTTGAGACACTCTTCTTTTGAAATCTGCAAGTGGATATTTGGAAAGATTTGAGGATTTCGTTGGAAACGGGATTATATATAAAAAGTAGACAGCAGCATTCTCAGAAACTTCTTTGTGATGTTTGCATCCAGCTCTCAGAGTTGAACATTCCCTTTCATAGAGTAGGTTTGAAACCCTCTTTTTATAGTGTCTGGAAGCGGGCATTTGGAGCGCTTTCAGGCCTATGCTTAAAATAGGAAATATCTACCTACAGAAACTAGACAGAAGCATTCTGAGAATCTCGTTTGTGATGTGGGTACTCAACTAACAGTGTTGATCCATTCTTTTGATACAGCAGTTTTGAACCACACTTTTTGTAGAATCTGCAAGAGGATATTTGGATAGCTGTGAGGATTTCGTTGGAAACGGGAATGTCTTCAAAGAAAATCTAGACAGAAACATTCTCAGAAACACCTTCGTGATGTTTGCAATCAAGTCACAGAGTTGAACCTTCCGTTTCATAGAGCAGGTTGGAAACACTCTTATTGTAGTATCTGGAAGTGCACATTTGGAGCGCTTTCAGGCCTATGGTGAAAAAGGAAATATCTTCCCATAAAAACGACATAGAAGCTATCTCAGGAACTTGTTTATGATGCATCCAATCAACTAACAGTGTTGAACCTTTGTACTGACAGAGCAGTGTGAAACACTCTTTTTTTTAGAATCTGCAAGTGGATATTTGGATCGCTTTGAGGATTTCGTTGGAAACGGGATGCAATATAAAACGTACACAGCAGCATACTCAGAAAATACTTTGCCATATTTCCATTCAAGTCACAGAGTGGAACATTCCCATTCATAGAGCAGGTTTGACACACTCTTTTTGTAGTATCTGGAAGTGGACATTTGGAGCGCTTTCTGAACTATGGTGAAAAAGGAAATATCTTCCAATGAAAACAAGACAGAAGCATTCTGAGAAACTTATTTGTGATGTGTGTCCTCAACTAACGGACTTGAACCTTTCGTTTCATGCAGTACTTCTGGAACACTCTTTTTGAAGATTCTGCATGCGGATATTTGGATAGCTTTGAGGATTTCGTTGGAAACGGGCTTACATATAAAAATTAGACAGCAGCATTCTTAGAAACTTCTCTGTGGTGTCTGCATCCAAGTCACAGAATTGAACATCCCCTCACATAGAGCAGTTGTGCAGCACTCTATTTGTAGTATCTCGAAGTGGACATTTGGAGGGCTTTGTAGCCTATCTGGAAAAAGGAAATATCTTCCCATGAATGCGAGATAGAAGTAATCTCAGAAACATGTTTATGCTGTATCTACTCAACTAACTGTGCTGAACATTTCTATTGATAGAGCAGTTTTGAGACACTCTTCTTTTGGAATCTGCAAGTGGATATTTGGAAAGATTTGAGGATTTCGATGGCAACGGGATTATATATAAAAAGTAGACAGCCGCATTCTCAGAAACTCCTTTGTGATGTTTGCATCCAGCTCTCAGAGTTGAACATTCCCTTTCGTAGAGTAGGTTTGAAACCCTCTTTTTATAGTGTCTGGAAGCGGGCATTTGGAGCGCTTTCAGGCCTATGCTGAAAAAGGAAATATCTACCTATAGAAACTAGACAGAAGCATTCTGAGAATCACGTTTGTGATGTGGGTACTCAACTAACAGTGTTGATCCATTCTTTTGATACAGCAGTTTTGAACCACACTTTTTGTAGAATCTGCAAGTGGATATTTGGATAGCTGTGAGGATTTCCTTGGAAACGGGAATGTCTTCATAGAAAATTTAGACAGAAGCATTCTCAGAACCTTGATTGTGATGTGTGTTCTCCACTAACAGGGTTGAACCTTTCTTTTGACAGAACTGTTTTGAAACATTCTTTTTATAGAATCTGGAAGTGGATATTTGGAAAGCTTTGAGGATTTCATTGGAAACGGGAATATCTTCAAATCAAATCTAGCCAGAAGCATTCTAAGAAACATCTTAGGGATGTTTACATTCAAGTCACAGGGTTGAACATTCCCTTTCACAGAGCAGGTTTGAAACAATCTTCTCGTACTATCTGGAAGTGGACATTTTGAGCTCCTTGGGGCCTATGCTGAAAAAGGAAATATCTTCCGACAAAAACTAGACAGAAGCATTCGCAGAATCACGTTTGTGATGTGTGCACTCAACTGTCAGAATTGAACCTTTGTTTGGACAGAGCACTTTTGAAACACTCTTTTTGTAGAATCTGCAGGTGGATATTTGGCTAGCTTTGAGGATTTCGTTGGAAACGGTAATGTCTTCAAAGAAAATCTAGACAGAAACATTCTCAGAAACACCTTCGTGATGTTTGCAATCAAGTCACAGAGTTGAACCTTCCGTTTCATAGAGCAGGTTGGAAACACTCTTTTTGTAGTATCTGGAAGTGGACATTTGGAGCGCTTTCAGGCCTATGGTGAAAAAGGAAATATCTTCCCATAAAAACGACATAGAATCTATATCAGGAACTTGTTTATGATGCATCTAATCAACTAACAGTGTTGAACCTTTGTACTGACAGAGCAGTTTGAAACACTCTTTTTTTGGAATCTGCAAGTGGATATTTGGATCGCTTTGAGGATTTCGTTGGAAACGGGATGCAATATAAAACGTACACAGCAGCATACTCAGAAAATACTTTGCCATATTTCCATTCAAGTCACAGAGTGGAACATTCCCATTCATAGAGCAGGTTTGAAACACTCTTTTTGGAGTATCTGGAAGTGGACATTTGGAGCGCTTTCTGAACTATGGTGAAAAAGGAAATATCTTCCAATGAAAACAAGACAGAAGCATTCTGAGAAACTTATTTGTGATGTGTGTCCTCAACAAACGGACTTGAACCTTTCGTTTCATGCAGTACTTCTGGAACACTCTTTTTGAAGATTCTGCATGCGGATATTTGGATAGCTTTGAGGATTTCGTTGGAAACGGGCTTACATGTAAAAATTAGACAGCAGCATTCTCAGAAACTTCTTTGTGGTGTCTGCATTCAAGTCACAGAATTGAACTTCCCCTCACATAGAGCAGTTGTGCAGCACTCTATTTGTAGTATCTCGAAGTGCACATTTGGAGGGCTTTGTAGCCTATCTGGAAAAAGGAAATATCTTCCCATGAATGCGAGATAGAAGTAATCTCAGAAACATGTTTATGCTGTATCTACTCAACTAACTGTGCTGAACATTTCTATTGATAGAGCAGTTTTGAGACACTCTTCTTTTGGAATCTGCAAGTGGATATTTGGATAGATTTGAGGATTTCGTTGGAAACGGGATTATATATCAAAAGTAGACAGCAGCATTCTCAGAAACTTCTTTGTGATGTTTGCATCCAGCTCTCAGAGTTGAACATTCCCTTTCATAGAGTAGGTTTGAAACCCTCTTTTTATAGTGTCTGGAAGCGGGCATTTGGAGCGCTTTCAGGCCTATGCTGAAAAAGGAAATATCTACCTATGGAAACTAGACAGAAGCATTCTGAGAATCACGTTTGTGATGTGGGTACTCAACTAACAGTGTTGATCCATTCTTTTGATACAGCAGTTTTGAACCACACTTTTTGTAGAATCTGCAAGTGGATATTTGGATAGCTGTGAGGATTTCGTTGGAAACGGGAATGTCTTCATAGAAAATTTAGACAGAAGCATTCTCAGAACCTTGATTGTGATGTGTGTTCTCCACTAACAGAGTTGAACCTTTCTTTTGACAGAACTGTTCTGAAACATTCTTTTTATAGAATCTGGAAGTGGATATTTGGAAAGCTTTGAGGATTTCGTTGGAAACGGGAATATCTTCAAATAAAATCTAGCCAGAAGCATTCTAAGAAACATCTTAGGGATGTTTACATTCAAGTCACAGAGTTGAACATTCCCTTTCACAGAGCAGGTTTGAAACAATCTTCTCGTACTATCTGGCAGTGGACATTTTGAGCTCCTTGGGGCCTATGCTGAAAAAGGAAATATCTTCCGACAAAAACTAGACAGAAGCATTCGCAGAATCACGTTTGTGATGTGTGCACTCAACTGTCAGAATTGAACCTTGGTTTGGACAGAGCACTTTTGAAACACTCTTTTTGTAGAATCTGCAGGTGGATATTTGGCTAGCTTTGAGGATTTCGTTGGAAACGGTAATGTCTTCAAAGAAAATCTAGACAGAAGCATTCTCAGAAACACCTTCGTGATGTTTGCAATCAAGTCACAGAGTTGAACCTTCCGTTTCATAGAGCAGGTTGGAAACACTCTTTTTGTAGTATCTGGAAGTGGACATTTGGAGGGCTTTGTAGCCTATGTGGAAAAAGGAAATATCTTCCCATGAATGCGAGATAGAAGTAATCTCAGAAACATGTTTATGCTGTATCTACTCAACTAACTGTGCTGAACATTTCTATTGATAGAGCAGTTTTGAGACACTCTTCTTTTGGAATCTGCAAGTGGATATTTGGATAGATTTGAGGATTTCGTTGGAAACGGGATTATATATCAAAAGTAGACAGCAGCATTCTCAGAAACTTCTTTGTGATGTTTGCATCCAGCTCTCAGAGTTGAACATTCCCTTTCATAGAGTAGGTTTGAAACCCTCTTTTTATAGTGTCTGGAAGCGGGCATTTAGAGCGCTTTCAGGCCTATGCTGAAAAAGGAAATATCTACCTATAGAAACTAGACAGAAGCATTCTGAGAATCACGTTTGTGATGTGGGTACTCAACTAACAGTGTTGATCCATTCTTTTGATACAGCAGTTTTGAACCACACTTTTTGTAGAATCTGCAAGTGGATATTTGGATAGCTGTGAGGATTTCGTTGGAAACGGGAATGTCTTCATAGAAAATTTAGACAGAAGCATTCTCAGAACCTTGATTGTGATGTGTGTTCTCCACTAACAGAGTTGAACCTTTCTTTTGACAGAACTGTTCTGAAACATTCTTGTTATAGAATCTGGAAGTGGATATTTGGAAAGCTTTGAGGATTTCGTTGGAAACGGGAATATCTTCAAATCAAATCTAGCCAGAAAGCATTCTAAGAAACATCTTAGGGATGTTTACATTCAAGTCACAGAGTTGAACATTCCCTTTCACAGAGCAGGTTTGAAACAATCTTCTCGTACTATCTGGCAGTGGACATTTTGAGCTCTTTGGGGCCTATGCTGAAAAAGGAAATATCTTCCGACAAAAACTAGACAGAGCATTCGCAGAATCACGTTTGTGATGTGTGCACTCAACTGTCAGAATTGAACCTTGGTTTGGACAGAGCACTTTTGAAACACTCTTTTTGTAGAATCTGCAGGTGGATATTTGGCTAGCTTTGAGGATTTCGTTGGAAACGGTAATGTCTTCAAAGAAAATCTAGACAGAAGCATTCTCAGAAACACCTTCGTGATGTTTGCAATCAAGTCACAGAGTTGAACCTTCCGTTTCATAGAGCAGGTTGGAAACACTCTTTTTGTAGTATCTGGAAGTGGACATTTGGAGGGCTTTGTAGCCTATCTGGAAAAAGGAAATATCTTCCCATGAATGCGAGATAGAAGTAATCTCAGAAACATGTTTATGCTGTATCTACTCAACTAACTGTGCTGAACATTTCTATTGATAGAGCAGTTTTGAGACACTCTTCTTTTGGAATCTGCAAGTGGATATTTGGATAGATTTGAGGATTTCGTTGGAAACGGGATTATATATAAAAAGTAGACAGCAGCATTCTCAGAAACTTCTTTGTGATGTTTGCATCCAGCTCTCAGAGTTGAACATTCCCTTTCATAGAGTAGGTTTGAAACCCTCTTTTTATAGTGTCTAGAAGCGGGCATTTGGAGCGCTTACAGGCCTATGCTTAAAATAGGAAATATCCACCTACAGAAACTAGACAGAAGCATTCTGAGAATCACGTTTGTGATGTGGGTACTCAACTAACAGTGTTGATCCATTCTTTTGATACAGCAGTTTTGAACCACACTTTTTGTAGAATCTGCAAGTGGATATTTGGATAGCTGTGAGGATTTCGTTGGAAACGGGAATGTCTTCTTAGAAAACTTAGACAGAAGCATTCTCAGAACCTTGATTGTGATGTGTGTTCTCCACTAACAGAGTTGAACCTTTCTTTTGACAGAACTGTTCTGAAACATTCTTTTTATAGAATCTGAAAGTGGATATTTGGAAAGCTTTGAGGATTTCGTTGGAAACGGGAATATCTTCAAATCAAATCTAGCCAGAAGCATTCTAAGAAACATCTTAGGGATGTTTACATTCAAGTCACAGAGTTGAACATTCCCTTTCACAGAGCAGGTTTGAAACAATCTTCTCGTACTATCTGGCAGTGGACATTTTGAGCTCCTTGGGGCCTATGCTGAAAATTGAAATATCTTCCGACAAAAACTAGACAGAAGCATTCGCAGAATCACGTTTGTGATGTGTGCACTCAACTGTCAGAATTGAACCTTGGTTTGGACAGAGCACTTTTGAAACACTCTTTTTGTAGAATCTGCAGGTGGATATTTGGCTAGCTTTGAGGATTTCGTTGGAAACGGTAATGTCTTCAAAGAAAATCTAGACAGAAGCATTCTCAGAAACACCTTCGTGATGTTTGCAATCAAGTCACAGAGTTGAACCTTCCGTTTCATAGAGCAGGTTGGAAACACTCTTTTTGTAGTATCTGGAAGTGGACATTTGGAGGGCTTTGTAGCCTATCTGGAAAAAGGAAATATCTTCCCATGAATGCGAGATAGAAGTAATCTCAGAAACATGTTTATGCTGTATCTACTCAACTAACTGTGCTGAACATTTCTATTGATAGAGCAGTTTTGAGACACTCTTCTTTTGGAATCTGCAAGTGGATATTTGGATAGATTTGAGGATTTCGTTGGAAACGGGATTATATATAAAAAGTAGACAGCAGCATTCTCAGAAACTTCTTTGTGATGTTTGCATCCAGCTCTCAGAGTTGAACATTCCCTTTCATAGAGTAGGTTTGAAACCCTCTTTTTATAGTGTCTGGAAGCGGGCATTTGGAGCGCTTTCAGGCCTATGCTTAAAATAGGAAATATCTACCTACAGAAACTAGACAGAAGCATTCTGAGAATCACGTTTGTGATGTGGGTACTCAACTAACAGTGTTGATCCATTCTTTTGATACAGCAGTTTTGAACCACAGTTTTTGTAGAATCTGCAAGAGGATATTTGGATAGCTGTGAGGATTTCGTTGGAAACGGGAATGTCTTCAAAGAAAATCTAGACAGAAGCATTCTCAGAAACACCTTCGTGATGTTTGCAATCAAGTCACAGAGTTGAACCTTCCGTTTCATAGAGCAGGTTGGAAACACTCTTATTGTAGTATCTGGAAGTGGACATTTGGAGCGCTTTCAGGCCTATGGTGAAAAAGGAAATATCTTCCCATAAAAACGACATAGAAGCTATCTCAGGAACTTGTTTATGATGCATCTAATCAACTAACAGTGTTGAACCTTTGTACTGACAGAGCAGTTTGAAACACTCTTTTTTTGGAATCTGCAAGTGGATATTTGGATCGCTTTGAGGATTTCGTTGGAAACGGGATGCAATATAAAACGTACACAGCAGCATACTCAGAAAATACTTTGCCATATTTCCATTCAAGTCACAGAGTGGAACATTCCCATTCATAGAGCAGGTTTGAAACACTCTTTTTGGAGTATCTGGAAGTGGACATTTGGAGCGCTTTCTGAACTATGGTGAAAAAGGAAATATCTTCCAATGAAAACAAGACAGAAGCATTCTGAGAAACTTATTTGTGATGTGTGTCCTCAACTAACGGACTTGAACCTTTCGTTTCATGCAGTACTTCTGGAACACTCTTTTTGAAGATTCTGCATGCGGATATTTGGATTGCTTTGAGGATTTCGTTGGAAACGGGCTTACATGTAAAAATTAGACAGCAGCATTCTCAGAAACTTCTTTGTGGTGTCTGCATTCAAGTCACAGAATTGAACTTCCCCTCACATAGAGCAGTTGTGCAGCACTCTATTTGTAGTATCTGGAAGTGGACATTTGGAGGGCTTTGTAGCCTATCTGGAAAAAGGAAATATCTTCCCATGAATGCGAGATAGAAGTAATCTCAGAAACATGTTTATGCTGTATCTACTCAACTAACTGTGCTGAACATTTCTATTGATAGAGCAGTTTTGAGACACTCTTCTTTTGGAATCTGCAAGTGGATATTTGGATAGATTTGAGGATTTCGTTGGAAACGGGATTATATATCAAAAGTAGACAGCAGCATTCTCAGAAACTTCTTTGTGATGTTTGCATCCAGCTCTCAGAGTTGAACATTCCCTTTCATAGAGTAGGTTTGAAACCCTCTTTTTATAGTGTCTGGAAGCGGGCATTTGGAGCGCTTTCAGGCCTATGCTGAAAAAGGAAATATCTACCTACAGAAACTAGACAGAAGCATTCTGAGAATCACGTTTGTGATGTGGGTCCTCAACTAACAGTGTTGATCCATTCTTTTGATACAGCAGTTTTGAACCACCCTTTTTGTAGAATCTGCAAGTGGATATTTGGATAGCTGTGAGGATTTCGTTGGAAACGGGAATGTCTTCATAGAAAATTTAGACAGAAGCATTCTCAGAACCTGGATTGTGATGTGAGTTCTCCACTAACAGAGTTGAACCTTTCTTTGGACAGAACTGTTTTGAAACATTCTTTTTATAGAATCTGGAAGTGGATATTTGGAAAGCTTTGAGGATTTCGTTGGAAACGGGAATATCTTCAAATAAAATCTAGCCAGAAGCATTCTAAGAAACATCTTAGGGATGTTTACATTCAAGTCACAGAGTTGAACATTCCCCTTTCTCAGAGCAGGTTTGAAACAATCTTCTCGTACTATCTGGCAGTGGACATTTTGAGCTCCTTGGGGCCTATGCTGAAAAAGGAAATATCTTCCGACAAAAACTATACAGAAGCATTCGCAGAATCACGTTTGTGATGTGTGCACTCAACTGTCAGAATTGAACCTTGGTTTGGACAGAGCACTTTTGAAACACTCTTTTTGTAGAATCTGCAGGTGGATATTTGGCTAGCTTTGAGGATTTCGTTGGAAACGGTAATGTCTTCAAAGAAAATCTAGACAGAAACATCCTCAGAAACACCTTCGTGATGTTTGCAATCAAGTCACAGAGTTGAACCTTCCGTTTCATAGAGCAGGTTGGAAACACTCATTTTGTAGTATCTGGAAGTGGACATTTGGAGCGCTTTCAGGCCTATGGTGTAAAAGGAAATATCTTCCCATAAAAGCGACATAGAAGCTATCTCAGGAACTTGTTTATGATGCATCTAATCAACTAACAGTGTTGAACCTTTGTACTGACAGAGCAGTTTGAAACACTCTTTTTTTGGAATCTGCAAGTGGATATTTGGATCGCTTTGAGGATTTCGTTGGAAACGGGATGCAATATAAAACGTACACAGCAGCATACTCAGAAAATACTTTGCCATATTTCCATTCAAGTCACAGAGTGGAACATTCCCATTCATAGAGCAGGTTTGAAACACTCTTTTTGGAGTATCTGGAAGTGGACATTTGGAGCGCTTTCTGAACTATGGTGAAAAAGGAAATATCTTCCAATGAAAACAAGACAGAAGCATTCTGAGAAACTTATTTGTGATGTGTGTCCTCAACAAACGGACTTGAACCTTTCGTTTCATGCAGTACTTCTGGAACACTCTTTTTGAAGATTCTGCATGCGGATATTTGGATAGCTTTGAGGATTTCGTTGGAAACGGGCTTACATGTAAAAATTAGACAGCAGCATTCTCAGAAACTTCTTTGTGGTGTCTGCATTCAAGTCACAGAATTGAACTTCCCCTCACATAGAGCAGTTGTGCAGCACTCTATTTGTAGTATCTGGAAGTGGACATTTGGAGGGCTTTGTAGCCTATCTGGAAAAAGGAAATATCTTCCCATGAATGCGAGATAGAAGTAATCTCAGAAACATGTTTATGCTGTATCTACTCAACTAACTGTGCTGAACATTTCTATTGATAGAGCAGTTTTGAGACACTCTTCTTTTGGAATCTGCAAGTGGATATTTGGATAGATTTGAGGATTTCGTTGGAAACGGGATTATATATCAAAAGTAGACAGCAGCATTCTCAGAAACTTCTTTGTGATGTTTGCATCCAGCTCTCAGAGTTGAACATTCCCTTTCATAGAGTAGGTTTGAAACCCTCTTTTTATAGTGTCTGGAAGCGGGCATTTGGAGCGCTTTCAGGCCTATGCTGAAAAAGGAATTATCTACCTATAGAAACTAGACAGAAGCATTCTGAGAATCACGTTTGTGATGTGGGTACTCAACTAACAGTGTTGATCCATTCTTTTGATACAGCAGTTTTGAACCACACTTTTTGTAGAATCTGCAAGTGGATATTTGGATAGCTGTGAGGATTTCGTTGGAAACGGGAATGTCTTCATAGAAAATTTAGACAGAAGCATTCTCAGAACCTTGATTGTGATGTGTGTTCTCCACTAACAGAGTTGAACCTTTCTTTTGACAGAACTGTTCTGAAACATTCTTTTTATAGAATCTGGAAGTGGATATTTGGAAAGCTTTGAGGATTTCGTTGGAAACGGGAATATCTTCAAATAAAATCTAGCCAGAAGCATTCTAAGAAACATCTTAGGGATGTTTACATTCAAGTCACAGAGTTGAACATTCCCTTTCACAGAGCAGGTTTGAAACAATCTTCTCGTACTATCTGGCAGTGGACATTTTGAGCTCTTTGGGGCCTATGCTGAAAAAGGAAATATCTTCCGACAAAAACTAGTCAGAAGCATTCGCAGAATCACGTTTGTGATGTGTGCACTCAACTGTCAGAATTGAACCTTGGTTTGGAGAGAGCACTTTTGAAACACTCTTTTTGTAGAATCTGCAGGTGGATATTTGGCTAGCTTTGAGGATTTCGTTGGAAACGGTAATGTCTTCAAAGAAAATCTAGACAGAAGCATTCTCAGAAACACCTTCGTGATGTTTGCAATCAAGTCACAGAGTTGAACCTTCCGTTTCATAGAGCAGGTTGGAAACACTCTTTTTGTAGTATCTGGAAGTGGACATTTGGAGGGCTTTGTAGCCTATCTGGAAAAAGGAAATATCTTCCCATGAATGCGAGATAGAAGTAATCTCAGAAACATGTTTATGCTGTATCTACTCAACTAACTGTGCTGAACATTTCTATTGATAGAGCAGTTTTGAGACACTCTTCTTTTGGAATCTGCAAGTGGATATTTGGATAGATTTGAGGATTTCGTTGGAAACGGGATTATATATAAAAAGTAGACAGCAGCATTCTCAGAAACTTCTTTGTGATGTTTGCATCCAGCTCTCAGAGTTGAACATTCCCTTTCATAGAGTAGGTTTGAAACCCTCTTTTTATAGTGTCTGGAAGCGGGCATTTGGAGCGCTTTCGGGCCTATGCTGAAAAAGGAAATATCTACCTATAGAAACTAGACAGAAGCATTCTGAGAATCACGTTTGTGATGTGGGTACTCAACTAACAGTGTTGATCCATTCTTTTGATACAGCAGTTTTGAACCACACTTTTTGTAGAATCTGCAAGTGGATATTTGGATAGCTGTGAGGATTTCGTTGGAAACGGGAATGTCTTCATAGAAAATTTAGACAGAAGCATTCTCAGAACCTTGATTGTGATGTGTGTTCTCCACTAACAGAGTTGAACCTTTCTTTTGACAGAACTGTTCTGAAACATTCTTGTTATAGAATCTGGAAGTGGATATTTGGAAAGCTTTGAGGATTTCGTTGGAAACGGGAATATCTTCAAATCAAATCTAGCCAGAAGCATTCTAAGAAACATCTTAGGGATGTTTACATTCAAGTCACAGAGTTGAACATTCCCTTTCACAGAGCAGGTTTGAAACAATCTTCTCGTACTATCTGGCAGTGGACATTTTGAGCTCCTTGGGGCCTATGCTGAAAAAGGAAATATCTTCCGACAAAAACTAGACAGAAGCATTCGCAGAATCACGTTTGTGATGTGTGCACTCAACTGTCAGAATTGAACCTTGGTTTGGACAGAGCACTTTTGAAACACTCTTTTTGTAGAATCTGCAGGTGGATATTTGGCTAGCTTTGAGGATTTCGTTGGAAACGGTAATGTCTTCAAAGAAAATCTAGACAGAAGCATTCTCAGAAACACCTTCGTGATGTTTGCAATCAAGTCACAGAGTTGAACCTTCCGTTTCATAGAGCAGGTTGGAAACACTCTTTTTGTAGTATCTGGAAGTGGACATTTGGAGGGCTTTTTAGCCTATCTGGAAAAAGGAAATATCTTCCCATGAATGCGAGATAGAAGTAATCTCAGAAACATGTTTATGCTGTATCTACTCAACTAACTGTGCTGAGCATTTCTATTGATAGAGCAGTTTTGAGACCCTCTTCTTTTGGAATCTGCAAGTGGATATTTGGATAGATTTGAGGATTTCGTTGGAAACGGGATTATATATAAAAAGTAGACAGCAGCATTCTCAGAAACTTCTTTGTGATGTTTGCATCCAGCTCTCAGAGTTGAACATTCCCTTTCATAGAGTAGGTTTGAAACCCTCTTTTTATAGTGTCTGGAAGCGGGCATTTGGAGCGCTTTCAGGCCTATGCTTAAAATAGGAAATATCTACCTACAGAAACTAGACAGAAGCATTCTGAGAATCACGTTTGTGATGTGGGTACTCAACTAACAGTGTTGATCCATTCTTTTGATACAGCAGTTTTGAACCACACTTTTTGTAGAATCTGCAAGAGGATATTTGGATAGCTGTGAGGATTTCGTTGGAAACGGGAATGTCTTTAAAGAAAATCTAGACAGAAACATTCTCAGAAACACCTTCGTGATGTTTGCAATCAAGTCACAGAGTTGAACCTTCCGTTTCATAGAGCAGGTTGGAAACACTCTTTTTGTAGTATCTGGAAGTGGACATTTGGAGCGCTTTCAGGCCTATGGTGAAAAAGGAAATATCTTCCCATAAAAACGACATAGAAGCTATCTCAGGAACTTGTTTATGATGCATCTAATCAACTAACAGTGTTGAACCTTTGTACTGACAGAGCACTTTGAAACACTCTTTTTTTGGAATCTGCAAGTGGATATTTGGATCGCTTTGAGGATTTCGTTGGAAACGGGATGCAATATAAAACGTACACAGCAGCATACTCAGAAAATACTTTGCCATATTTCCATTCAAGTCACAGAGTGGAACATTCCCATTCATAGAGCAGGTTTGAAACACTCTTTTTGGAGTATCTGGAAGTGGACATTTGGAGCGCTTTCTGAACTATGGTGAAAAAGGAAATATCTTCCAATGAAAACAAGACAGAAGCATTCTGAGAAACTTATTTGTGATGTGTGTCCTCAACAAACGGGACTTGAACCTTTCGTTTCATGCAGTACTTCTGGAACACTCTTTTTGAAGATTCTGCATGCGGATATTTGGATAGCTTTGAGGATTTCGTTGGAAACGGGCTTACATGTAAAAATTAGACAGCAGCATTCTCAGAAACTTCTTTGTGGTGTCTGCATTCAAGTCACAGAATTGAACTTCCCCTCACATAGAGCAGTTGTGCAGCACTCTATTTGTAGTATCTGGAAGTGGACATTTGGAGGGCTTTGTAGCCTATCTGGAAAAAGGAAATATCTTCCCATGAATGCGAGATAGAAGTAATCTCAGAAACATGTTTATGCTGTATCTACTCAACTAACTGTGCTGAACATTTCTATTGATAGAGCAGTTTTGAGACACTCTTCTTTTGGAATCTGCAAGTGGATATTTGGATAGATTTGAGGATTTCGTTGGAAACGGGATTATATATAAAAAGTAGACAGCAGCATTCTCAGAAACTTCTTTGTGATGTTTGCATCCAGCTCTCAGAGTTGAACATTCCCTTTCATAGAGTAGGTTTGAAACCCTCTTTTTATAGTGTCTGGAAGCGGGCATTTGGAGCGCTTTCAGGCCTATGCTGAAAAAGGAAATATCTACCTATAGAAACTAGACAGAAGCATTCTGAGAATCACGTTTGTGATGTGGGTACTCAACTAACAGTGTTGATCCATTCTTTTGATACAGCAGTTTTGAACCACACTTTTTGTAGAATCTGCAAGTGGATATTTGGATAGCTGTGAGGATTTCGTTGGAAACGGGAATGTCTTCATAGAAAATTTAGACAGAAGCATTCTCAGAACCTTGATTGTGATGTGTGTTCTCCACTAACAGAGTTGAACCTTTCTTTTGACAGAACTGTTCTGAAACATTCTTTTTATAGAATCTGGAAGTGGATATTTGGAAAGCTTTGAGGATTTCGTTGGAAACGGGAATATCTTCAAATAAAATCTAGCCAGAAGCATTCTAAGAAACATCTTAGGGATGTTTACATTCAAGTCACAGAGTTGAACATTCCCTTTCACAGAGCAGGTTTGAAACAATCTTCTCGTACTATCTGGCAGTGGACATTTTGAGCTCCTTGGGGCCTATGCTGAAAAAGGAAATATCTTCCGACAAAAACTAGACAGAAGCATTCGCAGAATCCCGTTTGTGATGTGTGCACTCAACTGTCAGAATTGAACCTTGGTTTGGAGAGAGCACTTTTGAAACACAGTTTTTGTAGAATCTGCAGGTGGATATTTGGCTAGCTTTGAGGATTTCGTTGGAAACGGTAATGTCTTCAAAGAAAATCTAGACAGAAGCATTCTCAGAAACACCTTCGTGATGTTTGCAATCAAGTCACAGAGTTGAACCTTCCGTTTCATAGAGCAGGTTGGAAACACTCTTTTTGTAGTATCTGGAAGTGGACATTTGGAGGGCTTTGTAGCCTATCTGGAAAAAGGAAATATCTTCCCATGAATGCGAGATAGAAGTAATCTCAGAAACATGTTTATGCTGTATCTACTCAACTAACTGTGCTGAACATTTCTATTGATAGAGCAGTTTTGAGACACTCTTCTTTTGGAATCTGCAAGTGGATATTTGGATAGATTTGAGGATTTCGTTGGAAACAGGATTATATATAAAAAGTAGACAGCAGCATTCTCAGAAACTTCTTTGTGATGTTTGCATCCAGCTCTCAGAGTTGAACATTCCCTTTCATAGAGTAGGTTTGAAACCCTCTTTTTATAGTGTCTGGAAGCGGGCATTTGGAGCGCTTTCAGGCCTATGCTGAAAAAGGAAATATCTACCTATAGAAACTAGACAGAAGCATTCTGAGAATCACGTTTGTGATGTGGGTACTCAACTAACAGTGTTGATCCATTCTTTTGATACAGCAGTTTTGAACCACACTTTTTGTAGAATCTGCAAGTGGATATTTGGATAGCTGTGAGGATTTCGTTGGAAACGGGAATGTCTTCATAGAAAATTTAGACAGAAGCATTCACAGAACCTTGATTGTGATGTGTGTTCTCCACTAACAGAGTTGAACCTTTCTTTTGACAGAACTGTTTTGAAACATTCTTTTTATAGAATCTGGAAGTGGATATTTGGAAAGCTTTGAGGATTTCGTTGGAAACGGGAATATCTTCAAATAAAATCTAGCCAGAAGCATTCTAAGAAACATCTTAGGGATGTTTACATTCAAGTCACAGAGTTGAACATTCCCTTTCACAGAGCACGTTTGAAACAATCTTCTCGTACTATCTGGAAGTGGACATTTTGAGCTCCTTGGGGCCTATGCTGAAAAAGGAAATATCTTCCGACAAAAACTAGACAGAAGCATTCGCAGAATCACGTTTGTGATGTGTGCACTCAACTGTCAGAATTGAACCTTGGTTTGGACAGAGCACTTTTGAAACACTCTTTTTGTAGAATCTGCAGGTGGATATTTGGCTAGCTTTGAGGATTTCGTTGGAAACGGTAATGTCTTCAAAGAAAATCTAGACAGAAGCATTCTCAGAAACACCTTCGTGATGTTTGCAATCAAGTCACAGAGTTGAACCTTCCGTTTCATAGAGCAGGTTGGAAACACTCTTTTTGTAGTATCTGGAAGTGGACATTTGGAGCGCTTTCAGGCCTATGGTGAAAAAGGAAATATCTTCCCATAAAAACGACATAGAAGCTATCTCAGGAACTTGTTTATGATGCATCTAATCAACTAACAGTGTTGAACCTTTGTACTGACAGAGCACTTTGAAACACTCTTTTTTTGGAATCTGCAAGTGGATATTTGGATCGCTTTGAGGATTTCGTTGGAAACGGGATGCAATATAAAACGTACACAGCAGCATACTCAGAAAATACTTTGCCATATTTCCATTCAAGTCACAGAGTGGAACATTCCCATTCATAGAGCAGGTTTGAAACACTCTTTTTGGAGTATCTGGAAGTGGACATTTGGAGCGCTTTCTGAACTATGGTGAAAAAGGAAATATCTTCCAATGAAAACAAGACAGAAGCATTCTGAGAAACTTATTTGTGATGTGTGTCCTCAACAAACGGACTTGAACCTTTCGTTTCATGCAGTACTTCTGGAACACTCTTTTTGAAGATTCTGCATGCGGATATTTGGATAGCTTTGAGGATTTCGTTGGAAACGGGCTTACATGTAAAAATTAGACAGCAGCATTCTCAGAAACTTCTTTGTGGTGTCTGCATTCAAGTCACAGAATTGAACATCCCCTCACATAGAGCAGTTGTGCAGCACTCTATTTGTAGTATCTGGAAGTGGACATTTGGAGGGCTTTGTAGCCTATCTGGAAAAAGGAAATATCTTCCCATGAATGCGAGATAGAAGTAATCTCAGAAACATGTTTATGCTGTATCTACTCAACTAACTGTGCTGAACATTTCTATTGATAGAGCAGTTTTGAGACACTCTTCTTTTGGAATCTGCAAGTGGATATTTGGATAGATTTGAGGATTTCGTTGGAAACGGGATTATATATAAAAAGTAGACAGCAGCATTCTCAGAAACTTCTTTGTGATGTTTGCATCCAGCTCTCAGAGTTGAACATTCCCTTTCATAGAGTAGGTTTGAAACCCTCTTTTTATAGTTTCTGGAAGCGGGCATTTGGAGCGCTTTCAGGCCTATGCTGAAAAAGGAAATATCTACCTATAGAAACTAGACAGAAGCATTCTGAGAATCACGTTTGTGATGTGGGTACTCAACTAACAGTGTTGATCCATTCTTTTGATACAGCAGTTTTGAACCACACTTTTTGTAGAATCTGCAAGTGGATATTTGGATAGCTGTGAGGATTTCGTTGGAAACGGGAATGTCTTCATAGAAAATGTAGACAGAAGCATTCTCAGAACCTTGAATAGTGATGTGTGTTCTCCACTAACAGAGTTGAACCTTTCTTTTGACAGAACTGTTCTGAAACATTCTTTTTATAGAATCTGGAAGTGGATATTTGGAAAGCTTTGAGGATTTCGTTGGAAACGGGAATATCTTCAAATAAAATCTAGCCAGAAGCATTCTAAGAAACATCTTAGGGATGTTTACATTCAAGTCACAGAGTTGAACATTCCCTTTCACAGAGCAGGTTTGAAACAATCTTCTCGTACTATCTGGCAGTGGACATTTTGAGCTCCTTGGGGCCTATGCTGAAAAAGGAAATATCTTCCGACAAAAACTAGACAGAAGCATTCGCAGAATCACGTTTGTGATGTGTGCACTCAACTGTCAGAATTGAACCTTGGTTTGGACAGAGCACTTTTGAAACACTCTTTTTGTAGAATCTGCAGGTGGATATTTGGCTAGCTTTGAGGATTTCGTTGGAAACGGTAATGTCTTCAAAGAAAATCTAGACAGAAGCATTCTCAGAAACACCTTCGTGATGTTTGCAATCAAGTCACAGAGTTGAACCTTCCGTTTCATAGAGCAGGTTGGAAACACTCTTTTTGTAGTATCTGGAAGTGGACATTTGGAGCGCTTTCAGGCCTATGGTGAAAAAGGAAATATCTTCCCATAAAAACGACATAGAAGCTATCTCAGGAACTTGTTTATGATGCATCTAATCAACTAACAGTGTTGAACCTTTGTACTGACAGAGCAGTTTGAAACACTCTTTTTTTGGAATCTGCAAGTGGATATTTGGATCGCTTTGAGGATTTCGTTGGAAACGGGATGCAATATAAAACGTACACAGCAGCATACTCAGAAAATACTTTGCCATATTTCCATTCAAGTCACAGAGTGGAACATTCCCATTCATAGAGCAGGTTGGAAACACTCTTTTTGGAATATCTGGAAGTGGACATTTGGAGCGCTTTCTGAACTATGGTGAAAAAGGAAATATCTTCCAATGAAAACAAGACAGAAGCATTCTGAGAAACTTATTTGTGATGTGTGTCCTCACCAAACGGACTTGAACCTTTCGTTTCATGCAGTACTTCTGGAACACTCTTTTTGAAGATTCTGCATGCGGATATTTGGATAGCTTTGAGGATTTCGTTGGAAACGGGCTTACATGTAAAAATTAGACAGCAGCATTCTCAGAAACTTCTTTGTGGTGTCTGCATTCAAGTCACAGAATTGAACTTCCCCTCACATAGAGCAGTTGTGCAGCACTCTATTTGTAGTATCTGGAAGTGGACATTTGGAGGGCTTTGTAGCCTATGTGGAAAAAGGAAATATCTTCCCATGAATGCGAGATAGAAGTAATCTCAGAAACATGTTTATGCTGTATCTACTCAACTAACTGTGCTGAACATTTCTATTGATAGAGCAGTTTTCAGACACTCTTCTTTTGGAATCTGCAAGTGGATATTTGGATAGATTTGAGGATTTCGTTGGAAACGGGATTATATATAAAAAGTAGACAGCAGCATTCTCAGAAACTTCTTTGTGATGTTTGCATCCAGCTCTCAGAGTTGAACATTCCCTTTCATAGAGTAGGTTTGAAACCCTCTTTTTATAGTGTCTGGAAGCGGGCATTTGGAGCGCTTTCAGGCCTATGCTGAAAAAGGAAATATCTACCTATAGAAACTAGACAGAAGCATTCTGAGAATCACGTTTGTGATGTGGGTACTCAACTAACAGTGTTGATCCATTCTTTTGATACAGCAGTTTTGAACCACACTTTTTGTAGAACCTGCAAGTGGATATTTGGATAGCTGTGAGGATTTCGTTGGAAACGGGAATGGTCTTCATAGAAAATTTAGACAGAAGCATTCTCAGAACCTTGATTGTGATGTGTGTTCTCCACTAACAGAGTTGAACCTTTCTTTTGACAGAACTGTTATGAAACATTCTTTTTATAGAATCTGGAAGTGGATATTTGGAAAGCTTTGAGGATTTCGTTGGAAACGGGAATATCTTCAAATCAAATCTAGCCAGAAGCATTCTAAGAAACAGCTTAGGGATGTTTACATTCAAGTCACAGAGTTGAACATTCCCTTTCACAGAGCAGGTTTGAAACAATCTTCTCGTACTATCTGGCAGTGGACATTTTGAGCTCCTTGGGGCCTATGCTGAAAAAGGAAATATCTTCCGACAAAAACTAGACAGAAGCATTCGCAGAATCACGTTTGTGATGTGTGCACTCAACTGTCAGAATTGAACCTTGGTTTGGACAGAGCACTTTTGAAACACTCTTTTTGTAGAATCTGCAGGTGGATATTTGGCTAGCTTTGAGGATTTCGTTGGAAACGGTAATGTCTTCAAAGAAAATCTAGACAGAAGCATTCTCAGAAACACCTTCGTGATGTTTGCAATCAAGTCACAGAGTTGAACCTTCCGTTTCATAGAGCAGGTTGGAAACACTCTTTTTGTAGTATCTGGAAGTGGACATTTGGAGGGCTTTGTAGCCTATCTGGAAAAAGGAAATATCTTCCCATGAATGCGAGATAGAAGTAATCTCAGAAACATGTTTATGCTGTATCTACTCAACTAACTGTGCTGAACATTTCTATTGATAGAGCAGTTTTGAGACACTCTTCTTTTGGAATCTGCAAGTGGATATTTGGATAGATTTGAGGATTTCGTTGGAAACGGGATTATATATCAAAAGTAGACAGCAGCATTCTCAGAAACTTCTTTGTGATGTTTGCATCCAGCTCTCAGAGTTGAACATTCCCTTTCATAGAGTAGGTTTGAAACCCTCTTTTTATAGTGTCTGGAAGCGGGCATTTGGAGCGCTTTCAGGCCTATGCTGAAAAAGGAAATATCTACCTATAGAAACTAGACAGAAGCATTCTGAGAATCACGTTTGTGATGTGGGTACTCAACTAACAGTGTTGATCCATTCTTTTGATACAGCAGTTTTGAACCACACTTTTTGTAGAATCTGCAAGTGGATATTTGGATAGCTGTGAGGATTTCGTTGGAAACGGGAATGTCTTCATAGAAAATTTAGACAGAAGCATTCTCAGAACCTTGATTGTGATGTGTGTTCTCCACTAACAGAGTTGAACCTTTCTTTTGACAGAACTGTTCTGAAACATTCTTTTTATAGAATCTGGAAGTGGATATTTGGAAAGCTTTGAGGATTTCGTTGGAAACGGGAATATCTTCAAATAAAATCTAGCCAGAAGCATTCTAAGAAACATCTTAGGGATGTTTACATTCAAGTCACAGAGTTGAACATTCCCTTTCACAGAGCAGGTTTGAAACAATCTTCTCGTACTATCTGGCAGTGGACATTTTGAGCTCCTTGGGGCCTATGCTGAAAAAGGAAATATCTTCCGACAAAAACTAGACAGAAGCATTCGCAGAATCACGTTTGTGATGTGTGCACTCAACTGTCAGAATTGAACCTTGGTTTGGACAGAGCACTCTTGAAACACTCTTTTTGTAGAATCTGCAGGTGGATATTTGGCTAGCTTTGAGGATTTCGTTGGAAACGGTAATGTCTTCAAAGAAAATGTAGACAGAAGCATTCTCAGAAACACCTTCGTGATGTTTGCAATCAAGTCACAGAGTTGAACCTTCCATTTCATAGAGCAGGTTGGAAACACTCTTTTTGTAGTATCTGGAAGTGGACATTTGCAGGGCTTTGTAGCCTATGTGGAAAAAGGAAATATCTTCCCATGAATGCGAGATAGAAGCTATCTAAGGAACTTGTTTATGATGCATCTAATCAACTAACAGTGTTGAACCTTTGTACTGACAGAGCAGTTTGAAACACTCTTTTTTTGGAATCTGCAAGTGGATATTTGGATCGCTTTGAGGATTTCGTTGGAAACGGGATGCAATATAAAACGTACACAGCAGCATACTCAGAAAATACTTTGCCATATTTCCATTCAAGTCACAGAGTGGAACATTCCCATTCATAGAGCAGGTTTGAAACACTCTTTTTGGAGTCTCTGGAAGTGGACATTTGGAGCGCTTTCTGAACTATGGTGAAAAAGGAAATATCTTCCAATGAAAACAAGACAGAAGCATTCTGAGAAAATTATTTGTGATGCGTGTCCTCAACTAACGGACTCAAACCTTTCGTTTCATGCAGTACTTCTGGAACACTCTTTTTGAAGATTCTGCATGCGGATATTTGGTTAGCTTTGAGGATTTCGTTGGAAACGGGCTTACATATAAAAATTAGACAGCAGCATTCTCAGTAAACTTCTCTGTGGTGTCTGCATCCAAGTCACAGAATTGAACATCCCCTCACATAGAGCAGTTGTGCAGCACTCTATTTGTAGTATCTCGAAGTGGACATTTGGAGGGCTTTGTAGCCTATCTGGAAAAAGGAAATATCTTCCCATGAATGCGAGATAGAAGTAATCTCAGAAACATGTTTATGCTGTATCTACTCAACTAACTGTGCTGAACATTTCTATTGATAGAGCAGTTTTGAGACACTCTTCTTTTGGAATCTGCAAGTGGATATTTGGAGAGATTTGAGGATTTCGTTGGAAACGGGATTATATATAAAAAGTAGACAGCAGCATTCTCAGAAACTTCTTTGTGATGTTTGCATCCAGCTCTCAGAGTTGAACATTCCCTTTCATAGAGTAGGTTTGAAACCCTCTTTTTATAGTGTCTGGAAGCGGGCATTTGGAGCGCTTTCAGACCTATGCTTAAAATAGGAAATATCTACCTACAGAAACTAGACAGAAGCATTCTGAGAATCTCGTTTGTGATGTGGGTACTCAACTAACAGTGTTGATCCATTCGTTTGATACAGCAGTTTTGAACCACACTTTTTGTAGAATCTGCAAGAGGATATTTGGATAGCTGTGAGGATTTCGTTGGAAACGGGAATGTCTTCAAAGAAAATCTAGACAGAAACATTCTCAGAAACACCTTCGTGATGTTTGCAATCAAGTCACAGAGTTGAACCTTCCGTTTCATAGAGCAGGTTGGAAACACTCTTATTGTAGTATCTGGAAGTGGACATTTGGAGCGCTTTCAGGCCTATGGTGAAAAAGGAAATATCTTCCCATAAAAACAACATAGAAGCTATCTCAGGAACTTGTTTATGAGGCATCTAATCAACTAACAGTGTTGAACCTTTGTACTGACAGAGCAGTTTGAAACACTCTTTTTTTGGAATCTGCAAGTGGATATTTGGATCGCTTTGAGGATTTCGTTGGAAACGGGATGCAATATAAAACGTACACAGCAGCATACTCAGAAAATTCTTTGCCATATTTCCATTCAAGTCACAGAGTGGAACATTCCCATTCATAGAGCAGGTTGGAAACACTCTTTTTGGAGTATCTGGAAGTGGACATTTGGAGCGCTTTCTGAACTATGGTGAAAAAGGAAATATCTTCCAATGAAAACAAGACAGAAGCATTCTGAGAAACTTATTTGTGATGTGTGTCCTCAACAAACGGACTTGAACCTTTCGTTTCATGCAGTACTTCTGGAACACTCTTTTTGAAGATTCTGCATGCGGATATTTGGATAGCTTTGAGGATTTCGTTGGAAACGGGCTTACATGTAAAAATTAGACAGCAGCATTCTCAGAAACTTCTTTGTGGTGTCTGCATTCAAGTCACAGAATTGAACATCCCCTCACATAGAGCAGTTGTGCAGCACTCTATTTGTAGTATCTGGAAGTGGACATTTGGAGGGCTTTGTAGCCTATGTGGAAAAAGGAAATATCTTCCCATGAATGCGAGATAGAAGTAATCTCAGAAACATGTTTATGCTGTATCTACTCAACTAACTGTGCTGAACATTTCTATTGATAGAGCAGTTTTGAGACACTCTTCTTTTGGAATCTGCAAGTGGATATTTGGATAGATTTGAGGATTTCGTTGGAAACGGGATTATATATAAAAAGTAGACAGCAGCATTCTCAGAAACTTCTTTGTGATGTTTGCATCCAGCTCTCAGAGTTGAACATTCCCTTTCATAGAGTAGGTTTGAAACCCTCTTTTTATAGTGTCTGGAAGCGGGCATTTGGAGCGCTTTCAGGCCTATGCTGAAAAAGGAAATATCTACCTATAGAAACTAGACAGAAGCATTCTGAGAATCACGTTTGTGATGTGGGTACTCAACTAACAGTGTTGATCCATTCTTTTGATACAGCAGTTTTGAACCACACTTTTTGTAGAATCTGCAAGTGGATATTTGGATAGCTGTGAGGATTTCGTTGGAAACGGGAATGTCTTCATAGAAAATTTAGACAGAAGCATTCTCAGAACCTTGATTGTGATGTGTGTTCTCCACTAACAGAGTTGAACCTTTCTTTTGACAGAACTGTTCTGAAACATTCTTTTTATAGAATCTGGAAGTGGATATTTGGAAAGCTTTGAGGATTTCGTTGGAAACGGGAATATCTTCAAATCAAATCTAGCCAGAAGCATTCTAAGAAACATCTTAGGGATGTTTACATTCAAGTCACAGAGTTGAACATTCCCTTTCACAGAGCAGGTTTGAAACAATCTTCTCGTACTATCTGGCAGTGGACATTTTGAGCTCCTTGGGGCCTATGCTGAAAAAGGAAATATCTTCCGACAAAAACTAGACAGAAGCATTCGCAGAATCACGTTTGTGATGTGTGCACTCAACTGTCAGAATTGAACCTTGGTTTGGACAGAGCACTTTTGAAACACTCTTTTTGTAGAATCTGCAGGTGGATATTTGGCTAGCTTTGAGGATTTCGTTGGAAACGGTAATGTCTTCAAAGAAAATCTAGACAGAAGCATTCTCAGAAACACCTTCGTGATGTTTGCAATCAAGTCACAGAGTTGAACCTTCCGTTTCATAGAGCAGGTTGGAAACACTCTTTTTGTAGTATCTGGAAGTGGACATTTGGAGGGCTTTGTAGCCTATCTGGAAAAAGGAAATATCTTCCCATGAATGCGAGATAGAAGTAATCTCAGAAACATGTTTATGCTGTATCTACTCAACTAACTGTGCTGAACATTTCTATTGATAGAGCAGTTTTGAGACACTCTTCTTTTGGAATCTGCAAGTGGATATTTGGATAGATTTGAGGATTTCGTTGGAAACGGGATTATATATAAAAAGTAGACAGCAGCATTCTCAGAAACTTCTTTGTGATGTTTGCATCCAGCTCTCAGAGTTGAACATTCCCTTTCATAGAGTAGGTTTGAAACCCTCTTTTTATAGTGTCTGGAAGCGGGCATTTGGAGCGCTTTCAGGCCTATGCTGAAAAAGGAAATATCTACCTATAGAAACTAGACAGAAGCATTCTGAGAATCACGTTTGTGATGTGGGTACTCAACTAACAGTGTTGATCCATTCTTTTGATACAGCAGTTTTGAACCACACTTTTTGTAGAATCTGCAAGTGGATATTTGGATAGCTGTGAGGATTTCGTTGGAAACGGGAATGTCTTCATAGAAAATTTAGACAGAAGCATTCTCAGAACCTTGATTGTGATGTGTGTTCTCCACTAACAGAGTTGAACCTTTCTTTTGACAGAACTGTTCTGAAACATTCTTGTTATAGAATCTGGAAGTGGATATTTGGAAAGCTTTGAGGATTTCGTTGGAAACGGGAATATCTTCAAATCAAATCTAGCCAGAAGCATTCTAAGAAACATCTTAGGGATGTTTACATTCAAGTCACAGAGTTGAACATTCCCTTTCACAGCAGCAGGTTTGAAACAATCTTCTCGTACTATCTGGCAGTGGACATTTTGAGCTCCTTGGGGCCTATGCTGAAAAAGGAAATATCTTCCGACAAAAACTAGACAGAAGCATTCGCAGAATCACGTTTGTGATGTGTGCACTCAACTCTCAGAATTGAACCTTGGTTTGGACAGAGCACTTTTGAAACACTCTTTTTGTAGAATCTGTAGGTGGATATTTGGCTAGCTTTGAGGATTTCGTTGGAAACGGTAATGTCTTCAAAGAAAATCTAGACAGAAGCATTCTCAGAAACACCTTCGTGATGTTTGCAATCAAGTCACAGAGTTGAACCTTCCGTTTCATAGAGCAGGTTGGAAACACACTTTTTGTAGTATCTGGAAGTGGACATTTGGAGGGCTTTGTAGCCCTATCTGGAAAAAGGAAATATCTTCCCATGAATGCGAGATAGAAGTAATCTCAGAAACATGTTTATGCTGTATCTACTCAACTAACTGTGCTGAACATTTCTATTGATAGAGCAGTTTTGAGACACTCTTCTTTTGGAATCTGCAAGTGGATATTTGGATAGATTTGAGGATTTCGTTGGAAACGGTATTATATATAAAAAGAAGACAGCAGCATTCTCAGAAACTTCTTTGTGATGTTTGCATCCAGCTCCCAGAGTTGAACATTCCCTTTCATAGAGTAGGTTTGAAACCCTCTTTTTATAGTGTCTGGAAGCGGGCATTTGGAGCGCTTTCAGGCCTATGCTGAAAAAGGAAATATCTACCTATAGAAACTAGACAGAAGCATTCTGAGAATCACGTTTGTGATGTGGGTACTCAACTAACAGTGTTGATCCATTCTTTTGATACAGCAGTTTTGAACCACACTTTTTGTAGAATCTGCAAGTGGATATTTGGATAGCTGTGAGGATTTCGTTGGAAACGGGAATGTCTTCATAGAAAATTTAGACAGAAGCATTCTCAGAACCTTGATTGTGATGTGTGTTCTCCACTAACAGAGTTGAACCTTTCTTTTGACAGAACTGTTCTGAAACATTCTTTTTATAGAATCTGAAAGTGGATATTTGGAAAGCTTTGAGGATTTCGTTGGAAACGGGAATATCTTCAAATCAAATCTAGCCAGAAGCATTCTAAGAAACATCTTAGGGATGTTTACATTCAAGTCACAGAGTTGAACATTCCCTTTCACAGAGCAGGTTTGAAACAATCTTCTCGTACTATCTGGCAGTGGACATTTTGAGCTCCTTGGGGCCTATGCTGAAAAAGGAAATATCTTCCGACAAAAACTAGACAGAAGCATTCGCAGAATCACGTTTGTGATGTGTGCACTCAACTGTCAGAATTGAACCTTGGTTTGGACAGAGCACTTTTGAAACACTCTTTTTGTAGAATCTGCAGGTGGATATTTGGCTAGCTTTGAGGATTTCGTTGGAAACGGTAATGTCTTCAAAGAAAATCTAGACAGAAGCATTCTCAGAAACAACTTCGTGATGTTTGCAATCAAGTCACAGAGTTGAACCTTCCGTTTCATAGAGCAGGTTGGAAACACTCTTTTTGTAGTATCTGGAAGTGGACATTTGGAGGGCTTTGTAGCCTATCTGGAAAAAGGAAATATCTTCCCATGAATGCGAGATAGAAGTAATCTCAGAAACATGTTTATGCTGTATCTACTCAACTAACTGTGCTGAACATTTCTATTGATAGAGCAGTTTTGAGACACTCTTCTTTTGGAATCTGCAAGTGGATATTTGGATAGATTTGAGGATTTCGTTGGAAACGCGATTATATATAAAAAGTAGACAGCAGCATTCTCAGAAACTTCTTTGTGATGTTTACATCCAGCTCTCAGAGTTGAGCATTCCCTTTCATAGAGTAGGTTTGAAACCCTCTTTTTATAGTGTCTGGAAGCGGGCATTTGGAGCGCTTTCAGGCCTATGCTTAAAATAGGAAATATCTACCTACAGAAACTAGACAGAAGCATTCTGAGAATCACGTTTGTGATGTGGGTACTCAACTAACAGTGTTGATCCATTCTTTTGATACAGCAGTTTTGAACCACACTTTTTGTAGAATCTGCAAGTGGATATTTGGATAGCTGTGAGGATTTCGTTGGAAACGGTAATGTCTTCAAAGAAAATCTAGACAGAAGCATTCTCAGAAACACCTTCGTGATGTTTGCAATCAAGTCACAGAGTTGAACCTTCCGTTTCATAGAGCAGGTTGGAAACACTCTTATTGTAGTATCTGGAAGTGGACATTTGGAGCGCTTTCAGGCCTATGGTGAAAAAGGAAATATCTTCTCATAAAAACGACATAGAAGCTATCTCAGGAACTTGTTTATGATGCATCTAATCAACTAACAGTGTTGAACCTTTGTACTGACAGAGCAGTTTGAAACACTCTTTTTTTGGAATCTGCAAGTGGATATTTGGATCGCTTTGAGGATTTCGTTGGAAACGGGATGCAATATAAAACGTACACAGCAGCATACTCAGAAAATACTTTGCCATATTTCCATTCAAGTCACAGAGTGGAACATTCCCATTCATAGAGCAGGTTTGAAACACTCTTTTTGGAGTATCTGGAAGTGGACATTTGGAGCGCTTTCTGAACTATGGTGAAAAAGGAAATATCTTCCAATGAAAACAAGACAGAAGCATTCTGAGAAACTTATTTGTGATGTGTGTCCTCAACAAACGGACTTGAACCTTTCGTTTCATGCAGTACTTCTGGAACACTCTTTTTGAAGATTCTGCATGCGGATATTTGGATAGCTTTGAGGATTTCGTTGGAAACGGGCTTACATGTAAAAATTAGACAGCAGCATTCTCAGAAACTTCTTTGTGGTGTCTGCATTCAAGTCACAGAGTTGAACTTCCCCTCACATAGAGCAGTTGTGCAGCACTCTATTTGTAGTATCTGGAAGGGGACATTTGGAGGGCTTTGTAGCCTATCTGGAAAAAGGAAATATCTTCCCATGAATGCGAGATAGAAGTAATCTCAGAAACATGTTTATGCTGTATCTACTCAACTAACTGTGCTGAACATTTCTATTGATAGAGCAGTTTTGAGACACTCTTCTTTTGGAATCTGCAAGTGGATATTTGGATAGATTTGAGGATTTCGTTGGAAACGGGATTATATATAAAAAGTAGACAGCAGCATTCTCAGAAACTTCTTTGTGATGTTTGCATCCAGCTCTCAGAGTTGAACATTCCCTTTCATAGAGTAGGTTTGAAACCCTCTTTTTATAGTGTCTGGAAGCGGGCATTTGGAGCGCTTTCAGGCCTATGCTGAAAAAGGAAATATCTACATATAGAAACTAGACAGAAGCATTCTGAGAATCAAGTTTGTGATGTGGGTACTCAACTAACAGTGTTGATCCATTCTTTTGATACAGCAGTTTTGAACCACACTTTTTGTAGAATCTGCAAGTGGATATTTGGATAGCTGTGAGGATTTCGTTGGAAACGGGAATGTCTTCATAGAAAATTTAGACAGAAGCATTCTCAGAACCTTGATTGTGATGTGTGTTCTCCACTAACAGAGTTGAACCTTTCTTTTGACAGAACTGTTCTGAAACATTCTTTTTATAGAATCTGGAAGTGGATATTTGGAAAGCTTTGAGGATTTCGTTGGAAACGGGAATATCTTCAAATCAAATCTACGCCAGAGCATTATAAGAAACATCTTAGGGATGTTTACATTCAAGTCACAGAGTTGAACATTCCCTTTCACAGAGCAGGTTTGAAACAATCTTCTCGTACTATCTGGCAGTGGACATTTTGAGCTCCTTGGGGCCTATGCTGAAAAAGGAAATATCTTCCGACAAAAACTAGACAGAAGCATTCGCAGAATCACGTTTGTGATGTGTGCACTCAACTGTCAGAATTGAACCTTGGTTTGGACAGAGCACTTTTGAAACACTCTTTTTGTAGAATCTGCAGGTGGATATTTGGCTAGCTTTGAGGATTTCGTTGGAAACGGTAATGTCTTCAAAGAAAATCTAGACAGAAGCATTCTCAGAAACACCTTCGTGATGTTTGCAATCAAGTCACAGAGTTGAACCTTCCGTTTCATAGAGCAGGTTGGAAACACTCTTTTTGTAGTATCTGGAAGTGGACATTTGGAGGGCTTTGTAGCCTATCTGGAAAAAGGAAATATCTTCCCATGAATGCGAGATAGAAGTAATCTCAGAAACATGTTTATGCTGTATCTACTCAACTAACTGTGCTGAACATTTCTATTGATAGAGCAGTTTTGAGACACTCTTCTTTTGGAATCTGCAAGTGGATATTTGGATAGATTTGAGGATTTCGTTGGAAACGGGATTATATATCAAAAGTAGACAGCAGCATTCTCAGAAACTTCTTTGTTATGTTTGCATCCAGCTCTCAGAGTTGAACATTCCCTTTCATAGAGTAGGTTTGAAACCCTCTTTTTATAGTGTCTGGAAGCGGGCATTTGGAGCGCTTTCAGGCCTATGCTGAAAAAGGAAATATCTACCTATAGAAACTAGACAGAAGCATTCTGAGAATCACGTTTGTGATGTGGGTACTCAACTAACAGTGTTGATCCATTCTTTTGATACAGCAGTTTTGAACCACACTTTTTGTAGAATCTGCAAGTGGATATTTGGATAGCTGTGAGGATTTCGTTGGAAACGGGAATGTCTTCATAGAAAATTTAGACAGAAGCATTCTCAGAACCTTGATTGTGATGTGTGTTCTCCACTAACAGAGTTGAACCTTTCTTTTGACAGAACTGTTCTGAAACATTCTTTTTATAGAATCTGGAAGTGGATATTTGGAAAGCTTTGAGGATTTCGTTGGAAACGGGAATATCTTCAAATAAAATCTAGCCAGAAGCATTCTAAGAAACATCTTAGGGATGTTTACATTCAAGTCACAGAGTTGAACATTCCCTTTCACAGAGCAGGTTTGAAACAATCTTCTCGTACTATCTGGCAGTGGACATTTTGAGCTCCTTGGGGCCTATGCTGAAAAAGGAAATATCTTCCGACAAAAACTAGACAGAAGCATTCGCAGAATCACGTTTGTGATGTGTGCACTCAACTGTCAGAATTGAACCTTGGTTTGGACAGAGCACTTTTGAAACACTCTTTTTGTAGAATCTGCAGGTGGATATTTGGCTAGCTTTGAGGATTTCGTTGGAAACGGTAATGTCTTCAAAGAAAATCTAGACAGAAGCATTCTCAGAAACACCTTCGTGATGTTTGCAATCAAGTCACAGAGTTGAACCTTCCGTTTCATAGAGCAGGTTGGAAACACTCTTTTTGTAGTATCTGGAAGTGGACATTTGGAGGGCTTTGTAGCCTATGTGGAAAAAGGAAATATCTTCCCATGAATGCGAGATAGAAGTAATCTCAGAAACATGTTTATGCTGTATCTACTCAACTAACTGTGCTGAACATTTCTATTGATAGAGCAGTTTTGAGACACTCTTCTTTTGGAATCTGCAAGTGGATATTTGGAGAGATTTGAGGATTTCGTTGGAAACGGGATTATATATAAAAAGTAGACAGCAGCATTCTCAGAAACTTCTTTGTGATGTTTGCATCCAGCTCTCAGAGTTGAACATTCCCTTTCATAGAGTAGGTTTGAAACCCTCTTTTTATAGTGTCTGGAAGCGGGCATTTGGAGCGCTTTCAGGCCTATGCTTAAAATAGGAAATATCTACCTACAGAAACTAGACAGAAGCATTCTGAGAATCTCGTTTGTGATGTGGGTACTCAACTAACAGTGTTGATCCATTCTTTTGATACAGCAGTTTTGAACCACACTTTTTGTAGAATCTGCAAGAGGATATTTGGATAGCTGTGAGGATTTCGTTGGAAACGGGAATGTCTTCAAAGAAAATCTAGACAGAATCATTCTGAGGAACACCTTCGTGATGTTTGCAATCAAGTCACAGAGTTGAACCTTCCGTTTCATAGAGCAGGTTGGAAACACTCTTATTGTAGTATCTGGAAGTGGACATTTGGAGCGCTTTCAGGCCTATGGTGAAAAAGGAAATATCTTCCCATAAAAACGACATAGAAGCTGTCTCAGGAACTTGTTTATGATGCATCTAATCAACTAACAGTGTTGAACCTTTGTACTGACAGAGCAGTTTGAAACACTCTTTTTTTGGAATCTGCAAGTGGATATTTGGATCGCTTTGAGGATTTCGTTGGAAACGGGATGCAATATAAAACGTACACAGCAGCATACTCAGAAAATACTTTGCCATATTTCCATTCAAGTCACAGAGTGGAACATTCCCATTCATAGAGCAGGTTTGAAACACTCTTTTTGGAGTATCTGGAAGTGGACATTTGGAGCGCTTTCTGAACTATGGTGAAAAAGGAAATATCTTCCAATGAAAACAAGACAGAAGCATTCTGAGAAACTTATTTGTGATGTGTGTCCTCAACAAACGGACTTGAACCTTTCGTTTCATGCAGTACTTCTGGAACACTCTTTTTGAAGATTCTGCATGCGGATATTTGGATAGCTTTGAGGATTTCGTTGGAAACGGGCTTACATGTAAAAATTAGACAGCAGCATTCTCAGAAACTTCTTTGTGGTGTCTGCATTCAAGTCACAGAATTGAACTTCCCCTCACATAGAGCAGTTGTGCAGCACTCTATTTGTAGTATCTGGAAGTGGACATTTGGAGGGCTTTGTAGCCTATCTGGAAAAAGGAAATATCTTCCCATGAATGCGAGATAGAAGTAATCTCAGAAACATGTTTATGCTGTATCTACTCAACTAACTGTGCTGAACATTTCTATTGATAGAGCAGTTTTGAGACACTCTTCTTTTGGAATCTGCAAGTGGATATTTGGATAGATTTGAGGATTTCGTTGGAAACGGGATTATATATAAAAAGTAGACAGCAGCATTCTCAGAAACTTCTTTGTGATGTTTGCATCTAGCTCCCAGAGTTGAACATTCCCTTTCATAGAGTAGTTTTGAAACCCTCTTTTTATAGTGTCTGGAAGCGGGCATTTGGAGCGCTTTCAGGCCTATGCTGAAAAAGGAAATATCTACCTATAGAAACTAGACAGAAGCATTCTGAGAATCACGTTTGTGATGTGGGTACTCAACTAACAGTGTTGATCCATTCTTTTGATACAGCAGTTTTGAACCACACTTTTTGTAGAATCTGCAAGTGGATATTTGGATAGCTGTGAGGATTTCGTTGGAAACGGGAATGTCTTCATAGAAAATTTAGACAGAAGCATTCTCAGAACCTTGATTGTGATGTGTGTTCTCCACTAACAGAGTTGAACCTTTCTTTTGACAGAACTGTTCTGAAACATTCTTTTTATAGAATCTGGAAGTGGATATTTGGAAAGCTTTGAGGATTTCGTTGGAAACGGGAATATCTTCAAATCAAATCTAGCCAGAAGCATTCTAAGAAACATCTTAGGGATGTTTACATTCAAGTCACAGAGTTGAACATTCCCCTTTCTCAGAGCAGGTTTGAAACAATCTTCTCGTACTATCTGGCAGTGGACATTTTGAGCTCCTTGGGGCCTATGCTGAAAAAGGAAATATTCTTCCGACAAAAACTAGACAGAAGCATTCGCAGAATCACGTTTGTGATGTGTGCACTCAACTGTCAGAATTGAACCTTTGTTTGGACAGAGCACTTTTGAAACTCTCTTTGTAGAATCTGCAGGTGGATATTTGGCTAGCTTTGAGGATTTCTTTGGAAACGGTAATGTCTTCGAAGAAAATCTAGACAGAAACATCCTCAGAAACACCTTCGTGATGTTTGCAATCAAGTCACAGAGTTGAACCTTCCGTTTCATAGAGCAGGTTGGAAACACTCTTATTGTAGTATCTGGAAGTGGACATTTGGAGCGCTTTCAGGCCTATGGTGTAAAAGGAAATATCTTCCCATAAAAGCGACATAGAAGCTATCTCAGGAACTTGTTTATGATGCATCTAATCAACTAACAGTGTTGAACCTTTGTACTGACAGAGCAGTATGAAACACTCTTTTTTTGGAATCTGCAAGTGGATATTTGGATCGCTTTGAGGATTTCGTTGGAAACGGGATGCAATATAAAACGTACACAGCAGCATACTCAGAAAATACTTTGCCATATTTCCATTCAAGTCACAGAGTGGAACATTCCCATTCATAGAGCAGGTTTGAAACACTCTTTTTGGAGTATCTGGAAGTGGACATTTGGAGCGCTTTCTGAACTATGGTGAAAAAGGAAATATCTTCCAATGAAAACAAGACAGAAGCATTCTGAGAAACTTATTTGTGATGTGTGTCCTCAACAAACGGACTTGAACCTTTCGTTTCATGCAGTACTTCTGGAACACTCTTTTTGAAGATTCTGCATGCGGATATTTGGATAGCTTTGAGGATTTCGTTGGAAACGGGCTTACATGTAAAAATTAGACAGCAGCATTCTCAGAAACTTCTTTGTGGTGTCTGCATTCAAGTCACAGAATTGAACTTCCCCTCACATAGAGCAGTTGTGCAGCACTCTATTTGTAGTATCTGGAAGTGGACATTTGGAGGGCTTTGTAGCCTATCTGGAAAAAGGAAATATCTTCCCATGAATGCGAGATAGAAGTAATCTCAGAAACATGTTTATGCTGTATCTACTCAACTAACTGTGCTGAACATTTCTATTGATAGAGCAGTTTTGAGACACTCTTCTTTTGGAATCTGCAAGTGGATATTTGGATAGATTTGAGGATTTCGTTGGAAACGGGATTATATATAAAAAGTAGACAGCAGCATTCTCAGAAACTTCTTTGTGATGTTTGCATCCAGCTCTCAGAGTTGAACATTCCCTTTCATAGAGTAGGTTTGAAACCCTCTTTTTATAGTGTCTGGAAGCGGGCATTTGGAGCGCTTTCAGGCCTATGCTGAAAAAGGAAATATCTACCTATAGAAACTAGACAGAAGCATTCTGAGAATCACGTTTGTGATGTGGGTACTCAACTAACAGTGTTGATCCATTCTTTTGATACAGCAGTTTTGAACCACACTTTTTGTAGAATCTGCAAGTGGATATTTGGATAGCTGTGAGGATTTCGTTGGAAACGGGAATGTCTTCATAGAAAATTTAGACAGAAGCATTCTCAGAACCTTGATTGTGATGTGTGTTCTCCACTAACAGAGTTGAACCTTTCTTTTGACAGAACTGTTCTGAAACATTCTTTTTATAGAATCTGGAAGTGGATATTTGGAAAGCTTTGAGGATTTCGTTGGAAACGGGAATATCTTCAAATAAAATCTAGCCAGAAGCATTCTAAGAAACATCTTAGGGATGTTTACATTCAAGTCACAGAGTTGAACATTCCCTTTCACAGAGCAGGTTTGAAACAATCTTCTCGTACTATCTGGCAGTGGACATTTTGAGCTCTTTGGGGCCTATGCTGAAAAAGGAAATATCTTCCGACAAAAACTAGACAGAAGCATTCGCAGAATCACGTTTGTGATGTGTGCACTCAACTGTCAGAATTGAACCTTGGTTTGGAGAGAGCACTTTTGAAACACTCTTTTTGTAGAATCTGCAGGTGGATATTTGGCTAGCTTTGAGGATTTCGTTGGAAACGGTAATGTCTTCAAAGAAAATCTAGACAGAAGCATTCTCAGAAACACCTTCGTGATGTTTGCAATCAAGTCACAGAGTTGAACCTTCCGTTTCATAGAGCAGGTTGGAAACACACTTTTTGTAGTATCTGGAAGTGGACATTTGGAGGGCTTTGTAGCCTATCTGGAAAAAGGAAATATCTTCCCATGAATGCGAGATAGAAGTAATCTCAGAAACATGTTTATGCTGTATCTACTCAACTAACTGTGCTGAACATTTCTATTGATAGAGCAGTTTTGAGACACTCTTCTTTTGGAATCTGCAAGTGGATATTTGGATAGATTTGAGGATTTCGTTGGAAACGGGATTATATATAAAAAGTAGACAGCAGCATTCTCAGAAACTTCTTTGTGATGTTTGCATCCAGCTCTCAGAGTTGAACATTCCCTTTCATAGAGTAGGTTTGAAACCCTCTTTTTATAGTGTCTGGAAGCGGGCATTTGGAGCGCTTTCAGGCCTATGCTTAAAATAGGAAATATCTACCTACAGAAACTAGACAGAAGCATTCTGAGAATCACGTTTGTGATGTGGGTACTCAACTAACAGTGTTGATCCATTCTTTTGATACAGCAGTTTTGAACCACACTTTTTGTAGAATCTGCAAGAGGATATTTGGATAGCTGTGAGGATTTCGTTGGAAACGGGAATGTCTTCAAAGAAAATCTAGACAGAAGCATTCTGAGGAACACCTTCGTGATGTTTGCAATCAAGTCACAGAGTTGAACCTTCCGTTTCATAGAGCAGGTTGGAAACACTCTTATTGTAGTATCTGGAAGTGGACATTTGGAGCGCTTTCAGGCCTATGGTGAAAAAGGAAATATCTTCCCATAAAAACGACATAGAAGCTGTCTCAGGAACTTGTTTATGATGCATCTAATCAACTAACAGTGTTGAACCTTTGTACTGACAGAGCAGTTTGAAACACTCTTTTTTTGGAATCTGCAAGTGGATATTTGGATCGCTTTGAGGATTTCGTTGGAAACGGGATGCAATATAAAACGTACACAGCAGCATACTCAGAAAATACTTTGCCATATTTCCATTCAAGTCACAGAGTGGAACATTCCCATTCATAGAGCAGGTTTGAAACACTCTTTTTGGAGTATCTGGAAGTGGACATTTGGAGCGCTTTCTGAACTATGGTGAAAAAGGAAATATCTTCCAATGAAAACAAGACAGAAGCATTCTGAGAAACTTATTTGTGATGTGTGTCCTCAACAAACGGACTTGAACCTTTTGTTTCATGCAGTACTTCTGGAACACTCTTTTAGAAGATTCTGCATGCGGATATTTGGATAGCTTTGAGGATTTCGTTGGAAACGGGCTTACATGTAAAAATTAGACAGCAGCATTCTCAGAAACTTCTTTGTGGTGTCTGCATTCAAGTCACAGAATTGAACTTCCCCTCACATAGAGCAGTTGTGCAGCACTCTATTTGTAGTATCTCGAAGTGGACATTTGGAGGGCTTTGTAGCCTATCTGGAAAAAGGAAATATCTTCCCATGAATGCGAGATAGAAGTAATCTCAGAAACATGTTTATGCTGTATCTACTCAGCTAACTGTGCTGAACATTTCTATTGATAGAGCAGTTTTGAGACACTCTTCTTTTGGAATCTGCAAGTGGATATTTGGATAGATTTGAGGATTTCGTTGGAAACGGGATTATATATAAAAAGTAGACAGCAGCATTCTCAGAAACTTCTTTGTGATGTTTGCATCCAGCTCTCAGAGTTGAACATTCCCTTTCATAGAGTAGGTTTGAAACCCTCTTTTTATACTGTCTGGAAGCGGGCATTTGGAGCGCTTTCAGGCCTATGCTGAAAAAGGAAATATCTACCTATAGAAACTAGACAGAAGCATTCTGAGAATCACGTTTGTGATGTGGGTACTCAACTAACAGTGTTGATCCATTCTTTTGATACAGCAGTTTTGAACCACACTTTTTGTAGAATCTGCAAGTGGATATTTGGATAGCTGTGAGGATTTCGTTGGAAATGGGAATGTCTTCATAGAAAATTTAGACAGAAGCATTCTTAGAACCTTGATTGTGATGTGTGTTCTCCACTAACAGGGTTGAACCTTTCTTTTGACAGAACTGTTCTGAAACATTCTTTTTATAGAATCTGGAAGTGGATATTTGGAAAGCTTTGAGGATTTCGTTGGAAACGGGAATATCTTCAAATAAAATCTAGCCAGAAGCATTCTAAGAAACATCTTAGGGATGTTTACATTCAAGTCACAGAGTTGAACATTCCCTTTCACAGAGCAGGTTTGAAACAATCTTCTCGTACTATCTGGCAGTGGACATTTTGAGCTCCTTGGGGCCTATGCTGAAAAAGGAAATATCTTCCGACAAAAACTAGACAGAAGCATTTGCAGAATCACGTTTGTGATGTGTGCACTCAACTGTCAGAATTG